>NC_000016.10:72138257-72441288 GCF_000001405.40 Homo sapiens | reverse complement strand
TTCCCTTAAACCAAAGCCTAATCCAGGGCAAAGCCCTAACTCTTCAATTCTGTGAAGGCCAAGAGAGGCAAGGAAGTTGGAGAAGAAAAATTTAAAGCTTACAGCGGTTAGTTCATGAGGTTTAAGGAAAGAAGCCATCTACATAACATAAAAGTGCAAGGTGAAGCAGCAAGTGTTGATGGTAAAGCTGCAGCAAGTTACCCAGAATATCTAGCTAAGATAATTGATGAAAGTGACTACGCTAAACAACAGATTTTGAATGTAGAGGAAACAGCCTTCTATTGGAAGAAGATGCCATCTGCGACTTTAATAGCCAGAAAGGAGAAGTTAATGCTTTGCTTCAGAGCTTCAAAGTACAGGCTGATTCTCTTGTTAGGGTCAGCTGGTAATTTTGAGTTGAAGCCAGTGCTCACTTACCGTGCCAAAAATCCTGGGGCCCTTAAGAATTATGCTAAATCTACTTTGCCTGTTCTCTACAAATGGAATAACAAAACCTACATGACAGCATATCTGCTTTCAGCATGGTTTACTGAATATTTTAAGCCGACTTTTGAGACCTACTGCTCAGAAAAAAAGATTCCTTTCAAAATATTCCCAAGTTTTATCTCATGATAAAACTTGAGTGGATAAGGAGTTGCTTCTTATGAATAAACAAAGAGAGTGGTTTCTTAACATGGAATCTACTCCATCTTGAGATGGAGTCTGCTGTGAACATTGTTGACATTGACAACAAAGGTTTTAGAATAATATATAAATTTTGTTAACAAAGCAGCAACAGGATTTGAGAGGATTGAGTCCAATTTTGAAAGACATCGTACTGTAGGGAAAATGTTGTCAAACAGCACACATGCTACAAAGAAATCTTTCATGAAAAGAAGAGTCAATTGACACAGCAGACTTCATTGTTGTGTCATTTTAAGAAACTGCCACAGTCCAGTCACAAGAATTGCTTGAACCCTGGGTGTGGAGGTTGCAGGGAGCCGAGATCGTGCCACTGCACTCCAGCCTGGGAGATGGAGCAAGACTCTGTCTAAAAAAAAAAAAAAAAAAGAAAAGAAAAGAAAAAAGGAACTGCCACAGCCACCCCAACCTTCAGCAGCCACCACCCTGATCAGTCAGCAGCCATCAACATCGAGACGAGACCCTTCTCCAGCAAAAAGATTATGACTCACTGAAGCCTCAGATGATTGGTAGCAATTTTTAGCAATAAGGTCTTTTAAATTAAGGTATGCACACTTTTCAGACATGCTATTGTACACTTACTAGACTATACAGTATAGTGTAAACATAATTTTTATATGCACTGGGAAACAAAAAAAATTCGTGCTACTCACTATATTGCAATATTAACTTTGTTGTGGTGGTATGGAACCAAACCTGCAATATCTCTGAGATATGCCTGCAGTAGACCCTAAATAATGTTAATTTTCTGAGTAAATGTTCCACTCTGAAAGAAGAACTTCAAGACAAATTCAACAATCAGCAAATGTTGTTAATGCAAAGATGATATTAACTTTATGTAAATAGGGCCTATAATTTCAATTGTTTATATAATAATAGTGATGGGCTACTTTAAGCAGTAAACACTTTAAGTTGAGGCTCCTTGTTTAACTGACAGCACACGTTTGTAAGGAGACTCATTAGGGTCTTTTGCTTAGGAGCAGAGAGTTTTTTTATGCCAAACTTCAGGTCAATCTTTTATCCTTGTATGATCAATCTAAGTGAGCTAATATGCTTATACAAATTAAACTATTCTAGCCTTATGTTCCCTGTACCCCTCTTCACTTTATATGATATTACTTCTTATTTTACAGATATGATTCTGTTTTCTTTCATTTAACATGCACATCACAAACGGGCTTCCATTTTACTCTCCTTAAAGCAAAATTGCCTGTGATGCCTTTAGTATAAGTTTCTACCCTGTTTAAATATCATAAATTTAAACTAGTTTAGGTGTAACCTCGATTTTTTTCTAGTGAGTTCCATTTCCCATGGTGTAGTGTCTCATCTGCTTCCAAAATAGACTTTCACCTTTCTTCCTCACCTGATCTATGATCTAAGATCAGTCATTGTCATATCTAATTATTTACTTTGTGTAGTATGTTTTGTTGAAAGATTATGAAGATCAGTGAAAATAGATCATCTTAATAATAAAAGTAACATTATTTTCATTATCATCTTTATTTATTGAGTTCCTACTATATACCTAGTATCATAGCAATTCTGTGCGTTGCTTTAGGATATGTAAAATGTTTTTCATTTAATCTGACTCTATGAGGTCCAAATTCTGGATTCACAGATGAGGAAAATGAAGTACAGACAAGTTAAGTAGCTTGCTCAAAGTCACACAGCTAGTAAGTAAGTAAAATTAGGATCCCATTATATGTCCTGTTGATTCCAGAACCTATGCTTTGCCATACCTCCTTTTGAGAAGCTCAGCAAAATGTGTTTTGTTGTTGTTATAACGTGATAGGCATGGTTTCTATCTCCATTTTAAGAGTGCCACTATTCATTGAAAACAAAAATTGTATCAGTTCACTTTCTTGTGATGCCTTTCTTTTAAAAGAAACAGTGTATGTGAAAGTGCTTTGTACATTGTAAAGTCCTAGACAAATATAAGGTATAATTATAATGGGAATTAATATGAAGCACTTTTATTATAACTGTGTTGATAGTTATGTATTTTTATCCCAAAGACAGGTATATCTTATTCTGTGTGATAAAAAAAAAATTCCTGAAAATTTGTAAGTAATTTTACAAAAAAAATGTAAAAACATAATACTATTTTTAATGCCCATAGAGGCTTGTTAATTCTGGGTGAAGCCTGTAACAAGTAAAGAATCCATTTGTAACGTGACTAATTCTCTAATTATCTGTTTCAAATCTTAAATTTTTTACAATTAAAGTTTTTAAAGGAGGACATTCTTAAATAATGTTGACTGGCACCTTTAATCTCTTGAAATACTATCAAAAAGACATCATGGGAAAGCTGCTAACTTATTTTTGAGGCCAGGAAACATCATAATTAGAGCTATATATTACAGAATTCCTAGGTCTGTATTATTCCAAAACCTGAACTATCATCCCTTCACATTGAGATCCACTAAAATATGGACAAACATATTTCATTAGAAAAATATTTAAATGCTTATCTAGAAATCAGTTCATATATTTCATATATGCATTGAACACACATATTGCACAATACTCAAATTTGGGAGATATTATGAGAGTCCACATGTTATTTCTCTAGTTTCATTTACTTTCAGATAACATCTGATTCTATTAAATGCTATTCTTTATTTTTTTAAGACCAATGGAAACTTTTAAATATTCTTCTGTAATTCTTATTTTTATGTATTTATTTATTTATTTTTTGAGATGGAGTCTTGCTCTGTCACCCAGGCTGGAGTGCAGTGGCGCGATCTCTGCTCACTGTAACCTCTGCCTCCTTGGTTCAAGCGATTCTCCTGCCTCAGCATCCCAAGTAGCTGGGACTACAGGTGTGTGCCACCACACCCAGCTAATTTTTTGTATTTTTAGTAGAGATGGGGTTTCACCATGTTAGCCAGGATGGTCTTGATATCCTCACCTCATGATCTGCCTGCCTCAGCCTCCTAAAGTGCTGGGATTACAGGTGTGAGCCACCGTGCCCGGCCCTTTTTTTTTTTTTTTTTTTTTTTTTTGTCACAGAGTCTTGCTCTGTTGCTCAGACTGGAGTGCAGTGACGTGATCTTGGCTCACTGCAGCCTCTGCCTCCTAGGTTCAAGCGATTCTCCTGCCACAGCTTCCTGAGTAGCTGAGATTACAGGCATGTGCCACCACACCCGGCTAATTTTTGTATTTTTAGCAGTGGCGGGGTTTTATCATGTTGGCCAGGCCTGGTCTTAAACTACTGACCTCAGGTGATCCACCTGCCTTGGCCTCCCAAAGTATTAGGATTGTGGGTGTGAGCCACCATACCCAGCCTGTAATTAATTCTTAATACAGGACATCCCTCACTTCATAAAACTAAATTCTTTACACTGAATTCTTTAAATTTAATCATTTATTTCATCCTTCTGGAAAATGTTGTTTCTACTTCATGCAAATCTATAAAATACATGCATTATGTATGTATCTATCTGCACATATATAGAAGCACACATAAGCATTGTAATAATTAGTTACAAGTTTTGTGTTAATCTCAAAGTTGGCCATTTAGTTGCATTCTCTTTCATGAGATTGCATTCTTGACTAGACACGGCATTCATAAATGACTATACAATGGCAGTTGGGAGCTGAATTTGAGAAGAAACATGATAGAAAGCACCTGGGTAAGCATAAAAGTAGAGATCAGAAGTAATTGCTTCAAAAGGATATGCTATAATTTGCTTGGTCAAATAAGTAGTATATTTCTAGAAATCCTGATTCAGATCCTTTTAAAAAGTATAGACTCAGGATATAATAATCATGTGTATCAGCTATTCAAATACATTCTCAAAATCCATTTTACTAAAAGTTGAATTTTGGGCATATTTTTGCCTTGCCTTGCTAATAATCTGCATCCTCAATAGATGAAAGAAATTATAGGGAAACTATATGAACCTAATTTTGATCAACACCTAAGAACTTATAGGTTAAAAACAAATAGAACAATAGTCACCCCTAGCCACATGTGACTATTTAAATTTAATAAATTAAAATTAAATGAAAGATTTGGTCCATTGTACTAGCTATTGGTTACCCTATTAGAAATCACATTTCCATAGTTTCCGAAAGTTCTTTTGGACAGTGTTACCATAGACGTTATAAGGCAGATTTTGAAAACCTTCAGACAACGGGTAAATATAACTTCATAGACATAATCTCTAAAAAAAAAGAAGAAGAAGAAGAAAGCTAAAAAAAAATGGAAATAACAAAATAACACTAAAATTGCACCTAACACATATCACATTGTATAGTTATTGACTTATTGCTTATATTGCAACCAGTCTTTAAAGTAGCAGTGTGTTTGTCTGTAATTGATGAATAAAATAATACCCCCCTTTTCAGGAAATGGGGGAGAGGGAAATGTAAAGAAGACCAATGTGATTTCATATTAAATTTAGGTATAAATGATTATATTTAAAATATAAGGAGGAGCATATAAGGGCAAGAATTTGTGGGTTGCTTCTAGGGAAAAGTGAAAGAAAGAGACTTGCGCTGCAGGATTTTCATGTCCTGTTAAGAGATTACTAAATGAGGCCTGGGCACAGTGGCTCATACCTGTAATCCCAACACTTTGGGAGGCCAACACGGGTGGATCGCTTGAGGTCAGGAGTTTGAGACCAGCCTGGCCAATATGGTGAAACCCCATCTCTCCTAAAAATACAAAAATTAGCCAGGCGTGGCAATTTTTGTGTGCCTATAATCCCAGCTACTTGGGAGGCCAAGGCACAAGAATCACTTGAATCCTGAAGGTGGAGGTTGCAGTGAGCTGAGATTGCACCACTGCACTGTAGCCTGGGTGACAGAGTGAGACTCTGTCTCAAAAAGTAAATAAAGAGAGAGAGAGAGATTACTAAAAGTGAGAGAAGGAAGGGGAGAGAGAGAGAATTATTATTCAGATTCTCTTTCTCTGTCAAGAAGAATAGCCTCTAGGGTAGGAAAGGACAAAACTAGCATTGATTAGTGAGGATTGCAGCACAGGATCAGTCACATAGATTGAAAGAGAACAACTCATTACTGGAATTCAAGTCTCCTGTCCCACGCTTATTATTTTCATAGGTACTGTGATAATTTGCCATTGATCCTGAAGAATTACATCTGCAGTTAAGCTTAAGGAATTGCAGATTTAAAAAAAATGCAGTTTGGGAGGGATGCCAAAAGTCTGAATCAGAGGAGAAATTATTCTCAGTTTCATTACTAGGAATAAATACAGGTTCACAAAGAACAAATGTCATCACTTTTTTGATGGTATTATTTCAGAGAGATTTTTTAATAAGAGTATAGCTCAGAGTTTCGGTTTGTCTTTTCCAGAATAAGATCCTAAGGCGAAATCTACTGAAAGCCCAGTAGAGCTTTCAGTAATCTCATAGTGCTGGGAAGACAAAAATCAGGGGTCAGGGTCTGTCAAGGAAATGGGACCTAAGAGATGAGATGAACCAGATGCAACGTAAGTCTTAAAAAGACTATAACCTAGCTTCAAAGCCAATTTACTCTTTTATTGGATTGAGGTAATCTGCCCTTGTTCTATCCTGCTACCTCCCAGGTGATATGGTAATTTTTCTTCAAAAGAAGATATCTTCCAGAACTTCTAAAATTTTTCACACACAATATCTGGCATCCATTCAGTACTTTCTAGGAATAGCAAAACACAGGACCAAAACGGGGGAAAAAAGCAGACAGCAGAAACAGATCCACAGTGAAGTGGATCAGATATACTTATCAGATATGGCTCTTAAATAGCTCTAAAATGATAATATGTTGGAGAACAAAAGAACTGCAGCTTACAAAAGAAGAATTAAATGTATATTCAAGAACTGAAAAATACAGCAACTTAAATTAAGACATTTATAAATAGGCTTAATAGCAGATTAGAAATAAAGAGAGAATTGTTGAGTATGCTAGATCAGTTAAAAAATGCTGAAACCAAAACATGAAGGGATAAAAGGCTGGAAAATAAACAGCATAAAGCCCATAGGAGATACATTGAAAATATTTAATGTATGTGTAATTGGAATCCTACAAGGTAAAAAAAGATTGCAGTAGGTAATTTTCAAACTGCTAAGGACTAACAATTTCCAAAAAGAGGAAAGATATTAAGCCATAGATATCCCAGGCAGGATAAATACAAAGAAAATCACACCTAGGCACATTAGTAAAACTTCTGAAGTTGAAAGAGAAAATCTTAAGTGAAGACAAAAAAAGAAGGCATGCTACTTGAAGGAAGCAGCAATAAGACTGACAGCTGACTTCTCAACGAAATGATGGCGTTCAAAAGACAATGGAATGACATCTTTTAAAAGCAGAAAGAAAATAACTGCCAATCTAGAATTCTGTGCTCCATGAAAATATACTTGAAAATTGAAGATGAAAATAACTGTAAGAAAACAAAAACTGAGAGAACTTATCAGCAGCATACCCAACCTAAAAGAAACACCAAAGGGAGTTATTTAGGTAGAAGAAACATGACCTCAGAAGGAAATGTCAAAATGGAAGAAGAAACACAGAGCAGTGCGTAAGGTGTATATGTGAGTGAGTCTGAATGAATCTTGACTGCAAAATAGAAAAATGAAAATATCTTGCGAGACTTAAAATATATGAATGATGAGATGCATGTCAATAATAACAAAAGGTGGGAGGAAGTAAACAAAACAATACCAATTTCAGTTCTAGCATTGTCTGGGAAGTGACAAAAGTACCAATTTATAATAGACTATAGTGAGTCCGAGATGTATGTTGCAATATTTAGGGTACCACTTAATAGTAAAATAATGTGTTACTACCAAACTAAAAGAGAAAAAATGTAATAAGAAAAGGACTTGATTAATTATAAATGATGCAAAAAAGATTTTGAAGAACGTAAATCAGGCAGAACATATAGGAAACAATAAGATGATATGTATATAATGCAAAATATATCAGTAATTATGTTAAATGTAAATTGACTCAATTTTGCAGTTGAAAGACAAGTTGTTAGACTGGATAAAAGACGAATCCAATAGCCTATAGGCAAAAGAGGAAACTATGGTATAAATTAGAAAGTATTTTGAACCAAATGATAATCAAAACATGACGTGAAAACCTGGGGTTCTATCTAAAGCTGTTCCTAGAGGAAAATGTATAACCTTTAAATACATGTTTAAAAGGAAAAAAAGCTGAAAAATCATGATATAAATATCTCATCAAGAAGCTAGAAACAAAATGTAAAATGAAGCCCAAAGAAAGTAGAAGGCAAAAAATAATAAGAACAAAAATTAACTGAATGGAAATCAAATGTTTAACTGAGAAAATCAACAACAGCAGAACAACAGTGGATTCTTCTCAAATGCACATGGAATTTCAGAAAGATGGACTTTATGTTGGGGCATACAAGTCTTGAGTTGGAATTACATAGAATATTTTCCCTGAAACAGTGGTATTAAGTTGGAAATTTATAGTAATAAGATACCTAGAAAAAAAACAAATATTTAGAAATTAAATAATATACTTAACATGTTTAAAAAATGACAAGGGAATTTTTTTTTAATCTCAACTAAATGAGAATGAATACACATCCTATGAAAATGTGTGTGATGCAGCTAAAGCAGTTGTTAGAGGAAAATATATCACTTTACACATCTGTTATAGGAAGTAAAGTGTAAAATTATCTAAGATTCTGCCTTATGAATCTAGAAAAAGAGAAGCAAATTAAACTCAAAGTAAATAGAAGAAAGGATATTATAAAATTGGGAGTTGAAATAAAAAAATTAACAATCAGATTGATTCTCTGAAAAGATTAATAAAATTGATTTTAAAAAGCTGAAGGAAAAAAACAAATCACCAATATCACAAATGAAATAAGGACATCACCAAAATTCTGACAGATAAGAAAAAGGATAATAGGATATTATTAACAAATGTATTCCAATCAGTTTGATAACTAAGGTGAAATAGACAAATTCTTTGAAAACCCCAGCTTACCAAAATTAACATAAATTAGAAATCTGAATAATCCAAGATCATTTTTCTAAAATTGAATCTGTAGGCCAGACACAATGCCTCATGCCTGTAATACCAGCACTTTGGGAGGCTGACGCAGGAGGATCGCTTGAGGCAAGGACTTCAAGACCAGCCTGGGCAACAAAGTGAGACCCTGTCTGTACAAAAAATAAAAATAAAAACAAATTAGCCAGGTGTGGTGGCATACACTTGTAGTCCCAACTACTCAGGAGGCTGAGGTGGGAGGATCACTTAAGCCCAGGAAGTTGATGCTGCAGTGAACTGTGATCATGCCACTGCACTCTAGCCTGGGTGACAGAGTAAGACTCTGTCTCAAAAAAAAAAAAAAAAAAAAAATTGAATTTGTTATATGAAAACTGTCCACAAAGAAATCCCCAGGCCTCATAGCTTTACTGATTAATTGAATTTAGCATTTAAGGACAAAATAATAATCTTATACAAACTTTTTCAGAGTATAGAGGAGGGAGACACTCTCCAACTCATTCTATGCTATTAGCAAGACCCTGATAACAATGTCAAAGTTATTACATCCCCCAAAAAATTATAGACTAATGTCTCTCATGCACAT
Organism: Homo sapiens; assembly: GCF_000001405.40. Taxonomy (NCBI): domain Eukaryota; kingdom Metazoa; phylum Chordata; class Mammalia; order Primates; family Hominidae; genus Homo; species Homo sapiens. The sequence continues at coordinate 72,432,035 of NC_000016.10, read as the reverse complement.
GGATTCAAAAATTCTTAACAAAATGTTAGCAGGTCAATTATTGCAATATACAAAAAGATTAATATATCATGATCAATGGGGCATTGTCCCAGGATTGCCAGGTTGGTTTAGCATATGAAAATCAGTCATTGTAATTCACTATACTCACAGCTTTAAGCTGTTATTTGTTTCAATAGAGGCTGAAAATGATTTGACAAAATTTAATAACCATTCATGATTTTTTGAAAAATTGTTAGCTAAGGATGGAAGGAAACCTCTTTCACATGATAAAGGGCATAATTCTTAGTAATGAAAGGCTGAATTCTTCTTCCCCTAAGACCATGAACAAGACAGTGACATCCCCTAAGATTGCAAACAAGGTAAGGATGTTTACACTCACCTATCACTACTTCTATTCAACATCGTACTAGATGTCCTCACCAATGAAATAAGGAAAAAGGAATAATTGGCACGATTACTGGAAATGAAGCTGTCTAGTCACAAATGAACTTATTGTGTTGACAGAAAATTCTAAGGAATATTGGTAAAAAGTATCATTTGTGTAAGATATAGGAGAGAGACTATATTAATATCTTCTTAATATATTAATAGCTGGTAGAATGAACAAGAAAACAGTAACAGTGATTACTTATTTGGGGGTTGGGTGAGGAACTCATGGGTAGAAGAGGGAAAAGACAGAGACCTTTTCCTTTCTACATTATTTAAATTATTGATACTTCATTGTAATGTATTACTTATTCAAAAATATAACTTATTTTTGTAAAAAAAAAGACTGAAAGTTGGCATTGCTTCATCATTGTAGTTAAATAATGAGCACCTTTCAGTTCCCAAAACCCTCCATACCAACCACGATAGAACTCTCTTATCAGACTATTCATGTCATGCAACATGAAAATTTCAGAATTATACATACATTTTTAATGGAACTCTTTCATGGGTCTAGTGTGCATTGACATAAGCTGTAGTTTGACTTCTGATTACAGATCATTCACAGTCTATTCACCATGAATATCTATTTAATGCTTTTCCACTCAGCCTTTTACCTGCATTGCTATTTAATAGTGAAAGTAAAGGTTGAATTTTAAATTGAATTTTATTTTCTTTTCCTTATTTCTCTCAAATGGTAACCAACACACTGAAGTAATAATAGTAATGATAGCAGTAATAAAATCTAACACTTATTTAGAGCTTGTTATGTGCAGATACTGTGCTTAATTCTTTACATGTATTCTTTCAAAATTCTATATCCGTAATTCTGGCAACAGAGATGGAAAGTATAAGAGGTTAAATATGAATAATTCAGATTAAATAGCCATTCTCCAAATAATCATCAATTCACTGTACTCTGTAGTTTTGTACACTGTACCAACAGTTGAGAATCGTGTAACAGTTGGAAATTATTGGAGGGGGAGTCTTAAAAGAAACTTATAAATGGAAGTTTTAGAGATTATAGGTGAAGAGCAACAGTATTTAGAACATGCTTATAATCAGACCAGTTCCAGGTCAACGTTATGATGTCATAATAGAAATTTATGCAGATATGTATATCAGATCAAAAATGTCTTCATGTAATTTCAACTGAAGTATAAAATTCTTTTAGCTGAATTATGAAAGTAATTTGAACTCTGTCCACCTGCCCAAGGGAAGTAACAAAATCTCTTTTTTTCCGACTACTGCTTCTTTGACTTTCTTTGTTAATCCTTGGAGACCATGAGTAATAGTCCAAATATTTTATCAGTTTTGAATCCACCCAATAGGCTCATTCACTCTTTGTCCCTCTCTATTTATTGTAAACATGCATTAAGCCACACTGGTAATTTTAACATTCTGAAAATACTAGACAAGTGCAGTTATCATTATCATGAGAATTAACCAACATAAATATTATCAGGCCTCCTTAAGCAGCCGATTTCATCTGCTCTTTAGCAATGTATACTATGATAGCACCAAGAATTCCATCTTTCACAAATACCTGGATCAGTAGGCACTCTACTGCATCCCCAAATTAGAAGTAGCTGTGCTTTTGGCTTCTGAACTGTAGACAGCTCTGGGGGACAGGCACCAAGTTGCCGCTGCTTTCCTCAGCCTCAGACCTAGAAAGGCCTGTCTCAGTGCTCATCTTGGTATACCCTGATAGCTCCCTACATCAGGAGCCCACAGGGGAGACTAATGAAGCAAAGATCGTTCCTGAAAACCTCCTGTACTCAAAATGCCATGCAGTGGCTCTGAATATACTCTTCTTCGTGTATTCTCTCTTCTCCCCTCCCTCCCATATCCGTGCCCTTGTTTAGTTCCAGTTTCCATTAGAAATGCTATTTGGGCAGCAAATTTCGCAGATTGGATCCATCTCAATGCTGCCATGCAAAGAAAACACATCTGTCTGACTCTTCATTTAAAATAAGGGAAAAAATTGAAATAGCAAAATGCTGTAGTCGCTCTGAGCTGTTTCCTAATGAACCTGTTTGTCCCAAGAGCTGTAGTGAGGAGCTTCTCCTCGTTGGTGAGAATTCTTTATGCATATTAATATTATTCATGTTTTCCACGCGACTCCGTCTGACTTGCCCTCATCCCATCCTTTGAATTCATTTAAATAAAAATAATTTATGTGGACATTCCTTCAGTCAGGATTTTCTCTCCCCCTTTCTTGAAGACATCCATAATATTTCGTTGATGCTTTGCGTCCAAACCAAATCGTTATGCTTTTGCATACATTAGGGCTTTATAAAGAACAACAGCGACATCTGCATGTGCCGCAGTGCCAAGGAGATAGGAAAAATACCGAAAACAAAACTCTGTATTGGCTTGGAGGCTGTCTGACTCTCTGTCTCCCTAGCAGCCCCTGACACCACCATGGATAGGAGTAATTGTACAGTGTAATCACATCAGGCCTCATCTGCATATTCATAACAGAGACAAAGCTTTGGAGGATAAGGGGGGAGCCGGGGTAATTTAAATATAAAGCAGCATCTCATTTCCAAATCAAGTTGTGCCAGTTAGACTGTGCACCAGGACTCAGTATTAAGCCAACATTGTTTTACAGTTTGGAAATTGGAGTGAAGAAGATGGAGAAGAGACTCACTAAAGAGGGGGTGATACTACATTTTCATTCTTAACTGAGGAAAAACAAAGCAAGACAACAACAACGGCGACAGAATAAAAATGAAGTAATATTTGAAGAGTCACCAGTAGTGGCTAACCAGCTGCTGTTTTACCAGGAATGAAATAGCCCATTGAGGGAGCTTTAAAAGCCCCCAATTAATATGTTGTGCATGTATAAGATCTACAAAGAACTCACTGTATTCTTTCTCTCCCCACCAAGTCCCCCCCTCCCCAAGTACTCACATATTCCCTAACCACCACCTTTCTGTCCTGTCGGGTGCAGGGGGAAAAGATCAGAGCTACAAAATAATTGACTAATTGCTTCAAAAGTAACAACATCCCTCTTCAAAAAGAAAGGACAAAAACAAACACATACAAAAAGGTGACTGTTCATTAATGAAGGGATAAATTACCGATGGCTTCTTCATTCTCTTTAGTTCATTACCCCCCAAAAGAAACAAATATAATCCACGTGTTAATATTTCTTGTCTTCGTTTTCTTTGTTTCTAATATGATGCTGTTTATTATATATTTTTAAGTGTTGGTATTTGTAGAAGCCTCTGCTACTGCATTCCCCAAAGAGCTACTAGTTTCAGCCCACTGGAGTTTATATTCCTTTAATTGTCTAGTGCAGGAACATTTCTGCTGTTTTGTAAAATACACTGCTCTGCAGGAATTAGAAGAATCCAAGGTTGTATCCAACTTCAAAGGTTTCCAAGTCATAATGATTTTAGCAAAAGTAGAAGACAGATCATGGAACAAGTCCCCGTTTGAAGATAAGCATCATAGGGACCTTTTTTTCTTCCCTCTCTCCCCAACTTTGTACTTCTCCTGGTTCTGAATGCCCCTCACTAACACAGTTTAATGATATGCAAATGAAATATGCATAAAACCATTCTACTGTATGATGATTAAACACTGGAGACATTAACAGCGGAGGCTTCACTCTGTGTAATAATCCTTCCCGACCATCCACTTTGATTGCAGAGTTATGGAAACCCATAGCAGTTGGCAGAGAGAGCGAAAGAGAGAAGGAAGGAAAGACGCAGGGACACATCACCCATCTCGGTGCTTCTCCCACTGCAGGAGAGGTCCCCCCCTTTGTACTGCGTTCCTATTGCTGTCTTTTGTAATCCATCCATGCAGTCGCACCAGAGCGATTAACGGAAAAAACCTCTTTTCTCTTAATGTTTCAAAGCTCATTAGCCAAACGATTATTCCTCATTAACAGCGAAAGCTCATTCATTAAAAGGAAGAATATGCCCAAAAGATGCCAGCGCAGCTAATCCTGAGTCCCGTAACTGGGCTGTAAATCCCATACTACTTGTATATTCCATGCAAAAGGGACACGCGCCAATCCACATTTTTTTTTAAGAAAGAAAAAGAAAACAGTTTATGTGTTTTGTAAAATCCACAAGAGCAGCAATTAATATTCCCATTGAATCACTTTATTTTTTTGTCTCTCCCTTTTGTTTCCAGCGCCTGCCCCTGGCTCAGCGCCCGGTGCCAACAGAACACCTTTCAGGATCCACAGCAACGCAGACAACGTAAGTACCAGCCGTTCCCTGAAACCCTTTTGCAGATTTTTTAAAAACAACCACCTAAAACATAGAGAGAGAGAGACAAGCCTCTTTCCCCTTCTTCTCCCCTGCGTTATGCCACCAGTGTTTCCTCAGTAGCCCCTTCCAAATCGCTCTGCCTTCAAGTTTGTGCATGTCTGTGTGGCATCCCTCCTCCTCCTTCACTCCCATAGTGGATCTTGTAAAAGGGCTTCAGATCGGCCCCATTCATCTCCCTGGTGATAGCAGTGAATGTAGATAAATCTCTGGCTGCCTGCTTGCTGCTGGAGTATGATTTTTATTTTGTCTTCTGTGTATACCTGGGTCAAAAAGTGGGATGTATGCATACACATACATGCACATACACATATTTCCTTCTCTCTCCTCTCTCTCCCTCCTTTTTCTCACACATGCATACATCCTACATATGTGTGTATATGCATAAACATATACACCTATATACATACCCATACCTGTAGCACAAAATATATACATATCTAAACGTTTGTCTGAAAATATGCATATTTATATACACATACAACCTTACACATGTGTTTATACGCAATCGATAGGTGCCTATCTTTTAATTTATACCCATCTATATCTCCATTTAAATATTCCCTCTCTTCTCCCAGCAGAGGCTGTGTGCAATTGCAATCCAGGATTATACAAGCAGTATTCTTTCCTTATGATTTCTAGTTGTAGACCTTTATCCTCCTTTCTCTGCCTTCTTCGCAGCTGTAGAATTGGCATCTTTCCCTGAGGTTTTCCGAGTGGCAAGTGGCACCGGCTGTGGCATGTATTCATGCCGCTTCCTATGGCATTTCTCTTCCGATGTCTGCTTTTTCTTTGTTTGTTGTTGACTAGGCTGAATGGTGGGGTTTTTTTTAAGTTAATTATAAACGAAGTTGAAATAGCAAACAAGCCAACAGCTTGTCCCCCCCACCAAAAGAAAAATTAGCCCCACACAAGCGCCTTCTGCTGCAACAGATGCCCAGATCACCCCTGGCACGGGCAAACGGGCAAACGATTTTGGTGGTTTTCAGTTTTTTCTGTTTGTTGCTGTATTTGTTGTTTGTTTTCCTTGTTTCTTTTTGATTTTTCGAGGAGTCCAGAATCCCGGCCTCTGCTTGGAACGGAACAGTGTCATGGCGGAGACGACGGCCTTTGTCTTGCTGGGTGTGAAAACATCCGCTGTGCTGGCTCCACTGCGGCAGAATCAAGTTTAAAGGAAAAAAAGTGATTAAAGTCAGCTTTGTGCCTCTGTGGTGTGGAAGACCCCCAAACCCCAAGTAGCCGAGTCCCAGGGTCCGAGGAAGGGCTCATAGTTGGAGCAGCCTAGGCTGTAATCCTGGCACTTGCGCCTTCGGTTGCTGCTTGCTGTTCGCTCCTGGGGGTCTGGATAATCTCCCTTGGCTTTACCGCACTGTCTGGCCCGCATACAGGGCCCCGTATCATATACCCGCTGCTGCTATCACACGAAACTGTGGCGTTGCCCCTGAATGGATGGCACGGTGCCAACTCTTCTGCCATCCGCCCTTGCAGCTTTTTTCTTTTCTCCCTCCCTCCCCTTCTTCTTCTCCTCCTCCCGTCGACTTGACGTTAATTAACACTCGGGTTAATTGATTTTAAAAGCCGAAGAATTACAGTTAACTTTTCCCACAGGGTACAGACGCCAGCCGCTTGGCACACTCTGCTTTTCGCACTGGTGCAGGGGAACAGGGAAAGCCCGCAGCAAAGCTAGCAACTGCTGAGGGAGCGTTGCCTGCTTATTGGAGTAGAGCCGATAGAAGTCGACGTGGCATTGCCTCATCCTTTACAATATATGTATCCATTATATATTTTGTTAAATAATCAAAACACCACCCTGTTTTTCTTCTTCTCCGTTCCTCTTTCAAAACAGGAAGACCATTCAGAAGTTCACCTAGAAAGGGATAAAATCTTTCCACCAAACCTCTCTTTCATCCATGATATGCTTTTTTTTCCCAATGATAAATAGCTGGTACCTTAAATTTTTTTTTTTTTTTTTTTTTTTTTTTTTTTTAGGTACAAAAAGAAAGGCTTACCCCTTCCCTAAAAATTACAGACATAGAAGTTTGGTGGTTTTTTTTTTTAAGAAAAAGTTCCGTAAAGTTTTTCTGTTTCAGTGTTTTGTTTTGTTTTGATGTCTCTTGGCTCAAAAGGGTTATTTATGGTGAAGGATTTCAATGAGAAAGTGGGTACATTGTAATTAACAACAAAATTCGTATGAAAGCTCTTTGTTTATATGTCTGTATATCTTGGCTTTTTGTCCCTTTCCCCCCAATCCTCTAGAAAATGAAAGCGACTGATACTGTAGTTGGGAAGAAGACAGGCAAGGCTGGGGACTTGATGCTTTCACCTTTTCATGCTTTCATTTTATTTCATTTTGTTTTTTAAAAGCACGCAGCAAGTGAAGCGACAAGAGGAATCCATTATGCAAATCATGTCACTTTGCATAACGTCTCATGACTAGAATATGCAAATGAACTGTATAATTTATGAGTGCCAGTGTCTGTCTAAGAGTGTTTCACATAATTTACAAAGTGAGCCTGAGAGGCATGAGGAAGGCAGCTCTTCCGATTCCATTGCCAGGAAAGCGCTATATATTTTTCTGTAAGTGATCCCTCATAATATCATCAAGTGCTATTTAAAAGAAATGAAGATTTCAAATGTACATGAAAGGCAAAGATTTTCCTCTCACTTCCTTCACCCATTGATTTTTTTTCCTAAAATTTGCAAGAAACTTGGACTCTAAAGCCTTAAATTTTGGATTTAATTTGGAAAAGAAAAGTTATTTGAGCCAAACTTGCTCTTTGTATGAGGGTTTTCTTTTTTTAAGCAAGGAATGTCTTAGAGAAGCAGACACCTTATCTATTAATATTTGCCTGGACCTATAGAAGGCAGAAGAATGGGATTTCTCATTTTGGTTGGTTTTATGTTTGCCCTGTAACATTTTATAAATAATAGTCTCATGGATGTATTAAATATTGATATGGAATACTCATACAATCAATATTCTTCTGAAGTTATAATTCTACTTTCAGAATAGTCTTCACAGGAGAAATTATATCCAGTAAAAATCAGATTCTAGTTAAGTGAGTTTAATTGGCCACTACGTGTCTCATTGTGCTGACTTTTTTGAGTAGGGGATTCTGAACCTTTTGAGAAGTCATAACATCTTTGATAATGTGGTCTAATCTGTCCTTATAGTTTTCATTATAATCATAAGTTCTGTGAAAGAGAGGTACAGACCATCAGGAAAGTGCAAACCACTGATCCTTAACAAAGAGGACATAATCCTTGGAGGGAACGTCAAAAAGACTTTCTAAAGAAAGTGAATTCAAGGTCAAGTCTGAAAGTTGAAGAGAACTTAACAAAAAGAGGGAGTATTTTTCAGATAGCGATTATATTCAGTAAATCCTGATGCAGAAAAAGAACATGTCTACTTGGAAGAACAAAAATAAGCCCAGTGTGACTACAGTATAGAGAATGGGTTATTGGCTCAATTGGGAACAGATTGAGAGGTAAGCATGTGAAGAGGTAACTTATTCATTATCTGCTTTCGTTTGATGGTGCCTAGTCTCTTATGTTATTATTAATTTATGTGTACAGGTACTTCATTAAGTTTATATGGATAACTACTTCAGATTTCCGAATCCAACCTTATGTGACGTTCCTTCTTTTTGCAAAGTTTCATTTTCAAATAATAGCCATTTAAGAAAACAGGAAAAATGACCCATCTGACGAGAGCAGAATACAAATTATTTTTAAGTGCACACAAAACATTTGCTAAAATAGAGCACATTGTGTTCCATTTTTAAAAAATCAATAAATTTAAATGTATTCAAGTCAAAATATCATCTCTTGACCACAAACAAATTAAACTAGAAATCAATAACAGAATGATATATAGAAAAATACCAAATTTTTGTAAATTAAACACATTTCTAAATGACATGGGTCAAAGAGGCAGTCACAGGGAAATTTTTTTTAAATGTTTTTAGTTAAATGCAAGTGAGAATAAAATTTCTGAGATGCAGCTAAAGATGTGCATCTAGGAAAATAAGTTTTAGTGTCTTGTTTTAGAAACCTAGAAAGTTTTGAGTCAATAATATGTGTCTTAAGAAAACAAATTAAACTCAAAGCAAGAAGAAGGAAAGAAATAATAAGAACGTAAACCAATGAAGTTGAAAATAGAAAAAGAGTAAAGTCAGAATACTCAAAAGCTTGTTCTTTGCAAAGATTATAAAAATCAGTAAACATCTAGCCAGACTAAATGAAAAAAAAGTGAGAAGACACAAATTACCAAGACTAAGAATGAAAGAGTTTGGATATCAATCACTAAGGCTGACATATATTAAGTGGATAATAAAAATAAATAACAACTTCATTAATACATTTGATAACCTAGATGAAATAGACGAATCCCTCAAAAGACACAAACTACCAAAACTCATTCAAGTAAACTAAACCTGAATAGTTTTATGTCTTTAAATAAATTGACTTTGTGGTTTAAAAACTTTCCTGTAAAGAAAATACCATGCCCAGTGGCTTCACTGACAAATTTTACCAACCTTTAAGGAAGAAATCATACCAATTCTAAACAATCTCAGGAAATAGAAAAGGGAAGAACACTCCCCCAACTCATTTGATGAGGTCAGCATTACCCGATGCCAAAAAACAAAGACAGTATAAGAATAGAAAATTACAAACCAATAACTCTCATAAACACAGACACAAAAAGCACAAAATATTAGCAAATTGAATCAAATTTGCTAATATGTCAAAAGAATGAGAAATAACAACCAAACCAAGTTTATTCCAAGAATGCAAGGTTGGTTCAATATACTAAAATCAATGAAATTCATCATATCACCAGGTTATTATTTTAATAATCATTTCAATGGATGCAGGGTAAAAATGATAGAAATTAACATCCATTCCTGATAAAATATCTTTGCTAACAAGGAATAATAGGTAACTTCCCTTGCCTAATTAAAGGTATCTATACAAGAGGATTACAGATTAGAAAGGAATAGATAAAATTATCTTTATTTTCAGATGGTATCATTGTCTGCATCAAAATTCCAAATTTATGAGAAAGTTTCTAGAACTAATAGATGTGTTTTGCAATGTCATGGGATACAAAATCAAAATTCAAAAATGCACTAGCAATAAATAGTTAGAAATTTTTAAAAGAAGTACATCATAATAATATTAAAAAGCATGAAATTTTAGGGATAAGCCTAAGAAAATAAGTTCAAGGTTTACATACTGAAAACTATAATAAACTGAAGAAACAAATTAGAAATACCATGCTCATGGATTGCAAGACTCAATATTATTAATGTAATTTCTCTTTAAATTGATATATAGTGAAATTTAATTCAATCTTCATCAAAAACCCAACAATCTTTTTCTAGAAATTGACAAGCTGATCTAAAATGTATAAAGAAAAGCAATAGAATAGCTAAGATAATTTTGTAAAAAGAACATTAGAGGACTCACATTAGCTTCGTAATGTTGCTTAAAGCCACAGTAATCAAACAGTGTGATAATTACATAATGATAGAGGTAAAGAACTCTGGAAAAGATTAGAGAGCCCAGAAATTGACATGCAATTTTTTGGCAAAGATTCAAAGGCAATCTGATGTAGAGAGAATAGTCATTTTAATACACAGTGCTGGAACCATGTGAATGAGAGACTTGACCCACTCCTTATTATTTATACAAATACTAATCTTAAAGGGGTATTAGAATAAAATAAAAACGTAACACTAAAATAGTTCTTCAAGAAAACATAAGTTTTGTGACGTTGGGCTAGGCAAAAGATTTCCCTGTAGATGGCAGGGAAAGAACTTATACCACGAATGAATTAGATAAGTTGGACTTCAGCAAAATTGAAAACTTCTACTACTTGAATGGCAAAAAGTAAATGAAAAAATAAGCTACATACTGAGATAAAATATTTTCTACCAATAACAAGGAGGAAAATTAAACAAGACTAAAAATGACACAGAAGATAGAATTAGTGGATGAGGACATTTAAACAGCTGTCATAACTGAGTAAAGCAGAAACATGTTAAGTAGAGACATGAAAGATAAAGATTGTAATTTAACTTGTAGAGAGTAAAAAGCTACCATGTCTGAGATTAAGAATACCACTAGAGGGGATTGACAGGAGATTGGATATTTCAGAAGAGATTAGTGAAGACATAGAAATGATCCACCATAACACCCAGAAAACATTGGAATCAATGTAAGCTAGAAGACAATGGAGAAACACCTATAAAGTATCAAAAGAAAAAAGTTCAATTAAAATTTTATACACAGCAAAAATATCTTTTAAAAGCAAAGGTGAGGCCAGGTGCGGTGGCTCACGCCTGTAATCCCAGCACTTTGGGAGGCCGAGGCAGGTGGATCACGAGGTCAGGAGTTGGAGACCAGCCTGACCAACATGGTGAAACCCCATCTCTACTAAAAAAAAAAAAAAAAAAAAAAAAAAAATACAAAAATTAGGCAAGAATGTGCTACGTGCCTGTAATCCCAGCTACTCAGGAGGGTGAGGCAGGAGAATGACTTGAACCTGAGAGGCGGAATTTGCAGTGAGCCAAGATCATGCCACTGCACCCCAGCCTGAGCAATAGAGTGAGACTCTGTCTCAAAAAAAAAAAAAAAAAGTGAAACAAACTTTTTCAGATGTACAAAAGCTGAAAGAGTGCATCATTAGCAGACCTGCTCTACAAGAAATATTGAAGAAGCCCTGCAGGCAAAAGAGAAATTATACCACATCAATAAAAGTCCTTGGAAATGGTAATTATGTTGGTGAATTTAGAAAACTTTTTTTATTATTACAAACATTTAAAAATAATTTATAGCTTAAAGCAAAAATAATAATAATGGGCCGGGCACAGTGGCTCACACCTGTAATCCCAGCACTTTGGGAGCCCGAGGCGGGCGGATCACGAGGTCAGGAGATCAAGACCATCCTGGTTAACACGGTGAAACCCAGTCTCTACTAAAAATACAAAAAATTAGCTGGGCATGGTGGCGGGCACTTGTAGTCCCAACTACAGGCTTGGCAGGAGAATGGCGTGAACCTGGGACGTGGAGCTTGCAGTGAGCCGAGATCACGCCACTGCACTCCAGCCTGGGTGACAGAGCAAGACTCTGTCTCAAAATAATAATAATAATAATGTATTAGTTTTATAACATGTACAAGTAAAACTCATGACAACAATAGCATAAAAGGTATTAAAGAAAACAAATGGAAGATTCTATTATAAGGTCTTATACTATACATGGAGTGGCATAATGTCAATAATATCACTTGAAGGTAGACTAAAAATTAAAGTCTGATTTTTTAAAAACTAAGTTAAATGGCAGTTATGGTTAATAAGCTAACAAAGAAGAGAAAATGAAATTACCAAAAATGTTCAATTAATCCAAAACGAATAGCAAAATAATAGATTTAAACTTAATCTTCAATAATCACGTTAAATGTAAATGGCCTAAATTCCCTTATTTAGTGACAGATATTCTCAGATTGCATTAAAAAATAGCAAGACTGATATATAGGCTGCCTACCACCAAACCACCTAAAATATAAATAGTTTAAAAATCAAAGCGGGGAGGATAGATATTACCATATTAACACTAATGAAATGAAAGCTGGAGTCAGTATATTAATATGACAGTATTATTCAGACCTCGCAGAACCAGATCCCAGAAAGATGAAATTAGCCACTAATATATTGGTTTGCTGTCTTGTGGCAACAAGTGGACCCTAGTTTCTCTTTTAGTTGATGAATTCTGAGTCAGAACTAAGTTAGATGTGGAAACTGAGCACAGGATTATGACTTTTCATAGTGGCTGACTTCATCTTCCTGCTCATCTAATCTCAGTCTCTTTTGAATATAAGTTTTATGTATATGTAAAATATTATATAATTATGTTTGTGGTATACATTTCCATCATGCACCTGATAATTAAGTGCTGGCACCCAATCTCTGCTATTCCTGGATCGTGTCATCCACATTGGTAGAAGAGATTCCAGTCCTGTAACACCATCACCTTCAAAGTCCCCATCTACAGAACAGTCATTACTAAGCTCTTCATTGATGCTGGTAAATGAAGCAACTTGCAGATCCTTCCAGGGAACATCATAAGCTGGTTTTTAGCTTCATATAACATGTCCACTTCTGCATCCCCACTTTTCTGAGGTTTTTATTATGCTCTGAAGAGTTTACAACATCAGTTAACATATCTATTTAATGAGAGCTTTCACTTGTTTGAAGTACACAAGAACCACCGCATCAGTGTATTAAAAACTGATTCCTGCTGGGCTCAATGGCTCACGCCTGTAGTCCCAGCACTTTGGGAGGCTGAGGCAAGTGGATCACGAGATCAAGAGATCGAGACCATCCTGGCCAACATGGTGAAACTCCGTCTTTACTAAAAATACAAAAATTAGCTGGGCGTGGTGATGCACACCTGTAGTGCTAGCTACTCAGGAGGCTGAGGCAGGAGAATGGCTTGAACCCATGAAGCAGAGTTTGCAGTGAGCCAAGATCACGCCACTGGACTCCAGCCTGGCGACAGAGCAAGACTCTGTCTAAAATAAATAAATAAAAGTAAAAACCTGATTCCGAGGGCCTCTGTCAGAGTGTTAAGTCAGAGTTATGGAAAAGTTTCTTCATTAAGCCGCATTACATTATACTTCCCCTGGTCCAGCACCCTTAGGATTTACTCCCAGGCATACTCCACCAGTTTCTGCAGTACTTATTAGCCAGGTGCTGCCGCTCTATTGACATTAAATGTCCTTTCTCCCTTAGCAGATCCAAGATTTTCCCATGGGGCTACGTCGAGATTTGACACAAGTTATTCCTCTAATGGCCAAGGTTTTGAGGTTAGGCTCTAAGAAAGGAAAGCATTATTCTGTAGGGTACTTTGAAGTCTCTGCATGGTCATAGGGAAGATGGAGCTCCTATATGCTAACGAGGAACAAAGGGTTCCTTCCACAGGCCCACAAGATTCAAAGTAATATTTTCTATCAGGAACTTAACTTTGGCATAGAAAACTTGGCTGGGATGAGAAAGTAGCCTTCTCTTAAATTCTGCCACCTCTTACCATTAACTCACATTTCTATTCTTAAACCGTGTTTGCCTTTTAATTTTTATTCTTTACTGTAAGTTGGTGTTTAATTGACCTAACTTGTCATTCTCTTTCTTCATTAAATCATTGGTGCTCAGCAATAATTACCCAGCTTCACCGTCCTAATACCTACTCTCTTACACAGGCTAATACCATCTTTCTGCATTGTATCACATCCCCATTTACTGTAGGTGAAAGTCTTATAATTTACACTGCAACAACCTGCCAGGGACTCCACAACCTTTTCCATACTATTTTTCCAGTGATCACTACTGGTAGCAACTATCCTAGTTAGGATTGTCAAAAGGCAGAGCCCTAAACAGCAATTTTTGTATGAGTGATATATTAAGATACCAGTCTCTTTCAGGAGATTCTTGTGAGGGAGGAAATGAAACAGGATAGGACAGGGAAGAAGTTAAGCAAAGATAGGGTTTCAGAAGATGTCTAGCCTCAGCTTCATCCAATAGGGAGCTCTGGAGCATGCATTGTATCCCAAAGCTTGTCCTTACCAGACATAAGGTAGCTAGCTAGCCTGTTGTACCCCCACATCAGTCATTCATTGGCTCTGGGCTACCTCTGGTGGGGTGGCATATCCTAGCCATTCCAAGCAAAGTGGCTTCTGAAGGCTGAGGTGGTGCTCCCATCAGCCAACGACAATCTTATAAGAGGCAAATGTAAGCTGCTATCGGCAGTTGAAGTATAGTTGCAATGTCCTGGTTAACAAGATCTGGGGCAGAGCAACAATAGCATCTACAATAGCCAGGTAGTTAATAATCATATAAAGGTATGTTTATGCTCATTCGTTATGAAAATAGAAATTAAAACTCGATGAGATACCATCTTTTCTATATACATTTGAAAAAAGCATGTATTTTGCGATTGTTAGGCATAGGATTCTAGTTGATGGTTGTTCACGTCTGTATCTTTTCTGATTTGCTGTCTATTCTATCAATTACTGAGGAATGACTTAAAATTTTCAGTTATGAGCAGGTACTTTTTATTTGTCTTCATTTTTGTCATATTTGTTTCATGTACTTTAAAGTTCTATTATTAGATGCAAACACATTTAGGAATGTAATGCATTCTTAGTGAATTGAACCTTTTATCATTATGAAATCTTTTTCTTTGACTCGTAGTATTTCTTGTGAAGTTTACTTTGGTATTAATTGATTAATCATGTTTTCATAATACATCTTGTATCTCTGTAGTGTTTTTGGTTTCGGTTTTGGTTTTGGTTTTTGAGATGGAGTCTCACTCTGCCACCCAGACTGGAGTGCAGTGGCACGATCTTGGCTCACTAAGATCTCCACTTCCTGGGTTCAAGCAATTCTCCTGTCTCAGCCTCCTGAGTAGCTGGGACTACAGGGGTGCACCACCACGCCCAGCTAATTTTTGTATTTTTAGTAGAGGCGGGGTTTCATGATGTTTGCCAGGCTGGTCTCAAACTCCTGACCTCAGGTAATCCACCCACTTCGGCCTCCCTAAGAGCTGGGATTACAGGCGTGAGCCACCACACCCAGCCACCTCTATAGTTTTTAGTAATGAATACTTAGGTGGTAAACTTATTAGAAGAACCAGGGAACTAGTTAACCTAAAAATCAAAGCATTAGCTGGGTGTGCTGGCGTGTACCTATAGTCGTAGCTACTCAGAAAGCTGAGGCAAGATTGTTTGAGCTCAGGAGTTGGAGGCTATAGTGCACTATGATTGCACCTGTGAATTGCTGCTGGACTCCATCCTGGGCAGCATAGCAAAACACCATCTCTTAAAAACAAAACAAAAAAATCAAGGCATTGGTTTTCTTCAGGAGGAAGGTTGGCACTGGTATTTGGGAGGCTTTTCTGTCACTAGGTTCTGTTTTTTCACCTAGGTGGTAGTAACACAGGAGTCTGCTTTATAATAATTCACTAAGTATTTAATTTTATTTGGTGTACCTTCTGTGTGTTTTATACTTCACAATGAAGACTAAAGCAAACAAAGAATTTTATTATGTCATGCATACAAAGAATATTTACAAAATTAACCACATACTTTGCACAAAGAAATTTCAATAAATGTCCTAAAATTGATATCACTCAAATTGTATTTTCTGAGTAATACACAATTATATTCAAAATCAAACATAAAAAGTAATTTTTAAAACCCCATGTGAGTAGATTATATAATACAAGTAATGAATTAAAACCTATAGTATTAAATATCATTGAGTCTATACTGATTAAAAAATTTGAATAAATAAATTAAGGCAAAAGGACACAGCTTGTCCTTATAGTAAATTCTAATAAATAACAGCAGAAAAATAATGGAAATAGAAAATCACCATTTGGTAAATACAGAAATCATTTTTACAGGCAATAATCATCTATGGGTGCTAAAATTGTTATTTATGATGAGAAAGATTATTTTTTATTTATTTCCTTTAAAAAATCTTATCTCAAATATATCCATGAATGATATGTATTAATTACAAAGGAAAAAATAATAACTTTACTGTGGAAAAACAGGTAGATGCCACCTTAATTACATGTTCAGAGTTAATATTAACCAGTATCTTGACATCAGGTATCTCCTGATGTTATGTACTTAACATCATGTTATGTACATAACTTGGGCTTAACATCACCTTGGCAAAAATGAGTAATTTCAGTCCAAACATGAGAGAATTTCAGACAAAATCAAATTGAGGGACATTCTACAAATTAGCTGTTATGCCTTTTAACCTTTCACCTTGGCAAAAATGAATAATCTCAGTCTAAACATGAGCGAATTTCAGACAAAACCAAATTGAGGGACATTCTACAAATTAACTGATCAGTATTCTTCAGGAGTGTCAAGGTCATGAGAAAACAAGGAGAGATTGAGAAACTGTCATTGATTGGTAGAGACTAAAAAGACATGATGACTAAAGGCAACCCCTTCTTCCTATACAGACATCTCAGTACAAGGTTTGTAGCTGTATTAAGACTACAATAACTGTTTTTTAAATCTAGTAGGAGATCCTCTATAAATATACTAAGGGCTTCTCACATATACAAGTGCCTTACAGCGCTGTGGCAAAGACTCCTTTATGGCTGCTTGTCATGGACCTTAAGTATGTCAGCATGCCATTTCCACTTAATCAAAGGTGGTAGTAAGCCAGTTCACCGAGGGGTATCCTGCTGGAGAAACGACACGACTACAACAGAGGTACAAGAAATCCATGATGATCACCTGTCATGAACAACTTAGTCCTTCATTTATAAACATGAACATACACGTAAAGATCACCAGATATATGAGGAAGATCAGTAAAATGAAAATGAAAATAGAAAAATGAATTATTGATTCCAGAGAAAATGTAGATGATGCAAGAAGGAAACAGCAACTTTTTTTTTTTTTTTTTTTTTTTTTTTAGATGGAGCCTTGCTCTGTCACCCAGGCTGGAGTGCAGTGGTGCAATTTTGGCTTACTGCAACCTCTGCCTCCTGGGTTCAAGCAATCCTCCCACCTCAGCCTCCCGAGTAGATGGGACTACAGGCATCCGCCAGCACAACCGACTAATTTTTTTGTGTGTGTTTTGTAGAGACAAGGTTTTGCCATGTTCCCCAGGGTAGTCTCAAACTCCTGAGCTCAAGTGATCCACCTGTGCTGGCCTCCCAAAGTGTTGGGATTATAGATGTGAGCCACTGCGCCCAGCCAAAAGACAACTTTAAAAACTTTAGTCTGAAGGCTTAGAGAGACTCAAGAGGATTGATATCCACCAAAGTCAACTAGAAAGATAACAGATTTCCATGCAAAGCAGAAATCAGAGCAGGAAAGGTTCAAAGGCATGACAGTTAAAACAGAAAATGTAATAGAATTGATAAAATGACACATCTCTGACTGAATAATATGAAAGGAAATCCCCTATAGTGCTCTAGAAATACCACATAGGAGTTGAGATGTAGTTACCAACATTTATTTCATTATTCTGTTTATTTTAGAGCATTCCCTTAGGCTTTCTTAGCCATTCCAGTTTGAAAAAGGTGTTTCACGCTATTTTTCTACTATCCAGAATTCATAGACCTAGAAACATTAACAATATCCAAAGTATTTAAACTGAGATATAAAGTAGTTTTTCTATAGCCATCAATTCTGTTCTTACATTTTCATACAACATTTACTATTGCCTTTTCCAAAGCTGAATGTCTGTTACTTAATTAGGAAATAAAATATTGTGTGAAAATGAACCCTATAAAAAGTATACCCCTCCCTACTATGCCCATTGCAAGTCTCCAAAGTAGCCACTGCTGACAGCTTTCTTTGTATTCTTTTCTATGCATTGACAACTACATATGCAAAATGTTGAACAAAAATGGGATCGTATTTATTTTTCAGCATCTTGGGGTTTTTTTTACTCAATAATAAAACATGAGAATCTTTTCATACCTATGTCTACATATCTGTCTTCTGGGGTTTTTTTGTTTGGTTGGTTGGTTGGTTTTTCTTGAGACAGGGTTTCACTCTGTTGACCAGGCTGGAGTGCAGTGGCATCATCACGGTTTACTGCCACCTTGATCTCCCAGGCTCATGCGATCTTCCTTCCTCAGCCTCCCAAGTAGCTGGGACTTACAGGCACATGCCATCATGCCTGGTTGATCTGGAACTCCTGGGCTCAAGCCATCTGCCCAACTGAGCCCCTCAAAGTGCTGGAATTACAGGTGTGAGCCACTGGGCCCAGCCTCTGTCTCATTTTTAACAGCCAGAGTCATGCGCCATATAATGACATTTCAATCAATGACAGACAGACCACATATACAACAATGATTCTTGCATATTATGGAGCTGAAAAATTCCTCTCACCTAGTGATAACGTCATAGTATAATGATTACTCAAATGTTTATGGTGATGCTAGTGTAAACCTACTGTGCTGCCAGTTGTATAAAAGTATAGTGCATACAATTATGTACAGTACATAATACTTGATAATAAATGACTATGTTACTGGTTTATGGGGTTTTTTTGTTCTATTTTGTTTTTTTGTTTTGAGACAGAGTCTCACTGCATCACCTAGGCTGCAGTGCAGTGGCACAATCTCCACTCAGATCATAGGGCATTAGATCCTCATAAGGAGCACGCAACCTAGATCCTTAGCATGTGCTGTTCACAATGGGGTTCATGCTCCTGTGAGACTCTAATGCTGTGGCTGATCTGACAGGAGGCGGAGCTCAGGCAGTAATGCCTTGGCTGCCGCTCACCTCCTGCTGTGCGGCCTGGTTCTGATGGGACCAGTACCCATCTGTGGCCTGGATGTTGGGGACCCCTGCTCTATGATGTTTGCCCAATGACAGAATCGCCTAACAATGCATTTTTCAGAACATATCCCCATCATAAAGCAATGCATGACTGTACATAGAATTCCACACAATAAATGCATTGTACTTTAACCATTTTCCATTTGATGAACCTGTTTCACTATAACAATAATTATAAGAGTATCTTCAGCTTTCATTCAATCAGTCATCCATCTTTTAGTGTTATTTTGTTTGCTTTTGATTTGCTGTCCCTGTTCTTAGTATGTTCATCCTTCCTTCTGCCCTTTCTTTGAAAGCTGTGTTTTTGGTACACCCATTTATTCTTCCTTTTCTTCCTGCTTAATATTCTCAGTTGTAATTCTTGTTGTTACAAACACTTTGAAATTTTAAATTAAATTTAGCTAGAAGTCTTTAAGTTCCAACTAATGGCTAATGTTTGTAGTAGGTGCCTTTCAGTAGAATTTGAGGGTGGTGGGAAAACCTGGCATTTGAAGCTTCCAACATTCTGAGACTGAGGAGGAATAATCAAGATTAACAGAGTAGAACCCTCTTAAATAATACCATTGGGACTTGTAATTGGGCAGTTAACTGAAAAAGTCGGTTATAGCTGGGACTAATAAAATGTTAAGACTTAAGCATTTTACTTTCTTTAAAACGTAAAACTGCATTTATTCACCAATCCTTAGATGTAAAGCTGCCAAGATCTTTTCTTCGAGTTTAGATTGTTGAATGGTGTTCTCAGAGCTCTCACAAAAATCACACCCTTGATGCATGATGTATGATTTCCCATTTTGATTTCTTTGGAGAAAGAAACTGAAGACATTTTGAAACAATTTAAATGTAGAATACTTTTAAATATTGACAGTTGTTCCAATCTTTTTCAATGTCTCATCCACAAGTTAATTTTTAGTGACCTCTTTATTGAGTCCTTTTGAAGCATTCAGCTTAGTTTGTTGCTGTTTTTATAGGCTACAGTTCTTTTGCTGCACTCATATTTTATCAGTTTATATGTAGTTAATTAGATTGTGTAATAAAAGTAACAAATAAAACAGGCATAAACAGTATTGGAAACAAACACAATTTATCTTTAGTAAGCTTCTACTTAACTAGAGGAAAGAGTATCTGGCCATACTAGAGAATAGATTATTAGCCATGAACCTTCAGCAAGGTGGATATGTCATGTTTTTAAAGAGCAAATGGGCCGGGCACAGTGGCTCATGCCTGTAATCCCAGCACTTTGGGAGTCCGAGGCTGGTGGATCACCTGAGGTCATAAGTTCAAGACCAGCCAGACCAATAGGGTGAACCCTGTCTCTACTAAAAATACCAAAATTAGCCAGACGTGGTGACAGGTGCCTGTAGTCCCAGTTACTGGCGAGGCTGAGACAGAAGAATTGCTTGAACCCAGGAGGCGGAGGTTGCAGTGACCTGATATCACGCCACTGCACTCCAGCCTGGGTGACAGAGCGAGACTCCATCTCAAAAAAAAAAAAAAGAGCAAATAGTGCTGGGTGATAGAATGAATCACCTATGTGGAGACTGTTTAAGATAATTTTTACTGTACATTAAGATTAAAGGAGATCAGCAAACTGCACACTGGCAGAACTAGGTGACAAGTAGTCACGTAGTTTTCTTGGCTGTTAACACCTGGGTTGTTTTCAGGAGTGTATATCATATTTAACTATTTTTTATTGTTATTAGGATGTTGAAGGGAAAATCCATTTTTATCTACCAATACCTGTTTGCATTGTTGGAACATGGCTTGGGTTAAGACTGAATTTAGCCATCCAAAATTGCTTTTTAGTGTGTGCTTAACTGTGAATACTAATGATATGTCCCTTGCTAATAAGTAAGTAATATTTTATTCTCTCTTTTTAAAATAAGGCTTACCTAAAACAGATCTTAAATCTACTTGTATTTCCAAAGTATTTTGAGAATTCCATTTGACAGCAAAATTTAAACCAATAAACACATTTACACTGCTTTTTCTTAATATAAGTCATTTTTAACCTCTTCCTTCAGCGGTTATGGGATATTGCAGTAAAATGCTGAGATCACCTCTCTGTGTTCTCCAAATACCCTGCTTCCTGGCCATGCACACTGCCTAAGGGTTCAATAAGCAGGTTAATTCTTCCTTCAGGGTTGGCCTGAGGGTTAAGGTTCCTGATGAGCCAAGTTGAGCTTACAAGTAGGAAGAAAGTGGGCGGATAAAGTGTACATGAATGATGGGGGAGAAAAACCACTCCCATGCAGCTGAGGTCACACAGTGATCTCTATTCTATTTTACATGTTTTATGCGTTTCTATTTTCTTGTTGATGCTTTGTTTTCAGCTTATCTTATAACTCTATTATAACACAGCTCTTTCAACATCTGACAAAGGATTGTTAGGAAAACATTTTCCAGTGTTTTCATCCAGCTGCTTTGGTGAAAGTTTTGGATTCTGTTCTTTTTTGCTTTTTTGTTTATCCTGAACCTGTTTCTTATTTTCTGTTTTTATGAATAAGATGAAATAAGGGAGGGAAAAATTGTGATAATATGGAAAAGTTTATTTTTGCTTGATTATATATTTTTCTATGATATCTCTAATATAATAAAGATGATCACCATATCTGCTGGTATTTTATATATTTTACATATTAACCATTATCCCAATTTTAAACTGACTTCACATTTTACTGATCTTCCTGGCAAAATCAGACTCCCTGAGTTTAAGTATAATAACTTGCCCCATGTTATGTAGGTAGTAAGCAGCTGAGTAAAACTAGAAAGCTAAGACATAAGCCTCTAAGCCAAAGCTTTTTCCTTCATTCCAGCATTTCTCAATCTAGGAATCCTGAAAGGCTGGGATGTCCCCAGATGTCATCTTATAACAAAGTTTTTTATTCTTTCAACAAATATTGACTGAGTGCTTATTATGTGTTGGACACTGTTCTGGGCACTTGAGATACATTATGAAAAAAGAAAAATGTTGCTGCCCTGAGCTTAAATGAGCTTACATTCTTGTGGGAATAGAGGAGATAGACAATAAACAAATAAAGAAGTAAAATATATAATATGTTAGAAGGTGACAAGTGCTATAAAAAAAAATTCAACAGTTTAAAATTGTGCTTTTATCTTTTTAATTATATTTAACAATGATAATGCAAATAATCTTAGTAACCTCTTATAACAAAATACTCCAACCTGGGCAACAAAGTGAGACTCTGTCTCTATGAAAAATTAGCTGAGCATAGTGGCACGGGCCTATAGTCCCAACTACTCAGGAGGCTGACCTAGAAGGATTGTTTGAGCCCCAGGAGGTCAAGGCTGCAGCGAGCAGTGTTGATGGCCCTGCATTCCAGAACAATTATTTGGTATTTTCTCTAGAAACACAATTATTTGGTTGTGTTTGGCTAGATAAGAGAATGCAAAAAATGTCATCGTACAATGTAAAACTGAAGGTCCCATAGTGGTTTAAAGAGGATTGATCTGTAACATAGCATGTGGTAGTAAAGGCAACATGAACCCAAATGAACACTGCTGTCTTTGTTACCATCTTGAATTTGAAATAGTCATTGTATTGCGGAGACCATATTTTTGTATGTGCCTATTTGAAACAATTCTGTGGTGCCAAATACCCTGTTCCAAATCCCATCAGATTATTTAATGCAAATTGAAATAATAGGAATATTTAAACTTACCTTTAAATAAAAGTTCTATAATGTTAACAATGACACTGATACAGTTTGGCTGTGTCCCCACTCAAATCTCATCTTGAATTCCCACATGTTGTGGGAGGGACCCAGTGGGAGATAATTGAATCATGGGGGGCGGTTTCCCCCATACTGTTCTCTTGGTAGTGAACAAGATCTGATGGTTTTATCAGGGGTTTCCACTTTTGCGTCTTCCTCATTCTCTCATTTTTTGCCTGTCATCATCCACATAAGATGTGACTTGCTCCACCTTGCCTTCCAGTATGATTGTGAGGCTCCCCCAGCCACTTGGAACTGTTTAAGTCCAATTAAACCTCTTTCTTTTGTAAGTTGCTCAGTCTCGGGCATGTCTTTATCAGCAGCGTGAAAATGGACTAATACAGACACCTTATTAAAATAGGCATTCAAAGATTGTTTCTGAGCAGGACTTTGTTAAGTCTGATCATACTGTACTATCAAACAAAGCCTTTACATTGTGAAAACTATTTTTTAAATAAAGGTTTAACTTATTAAAGTACAGAAATCTTGAGTGTACAACTCAATGAACATTAGTGCCATTTTATAAAACATACTTCTGTAAAGAGGCAGTGTCCACAGTAGTAACATGAAAATTTAAAAATATTAAATTTAGAAATATAGAACACCAAATAATAAATTTAACTATAGACACATGCCTGAAGAAATACCACCTTACATTAAACCTAACATTAGCAATTTTAGTAAAACAAAATAATTTATCATACTATTTTTATTTAAATACTGATTTTACAATTTTTTAAAATTTATTTTAGTTTTATAGTTATAAGAGCTTAAGAAAATGCATTAAACCTAACTTTATGATTTTATGTTTCCATGTATTTAAGTAATATAACATTAAGATTATGCAGAATTTCATTTTAAAGGGTCTGTATAGTTCTTACGTTTGAGAAACAATTTACTATGCAGCATTGTCTTCCTCTAAGTAGAAATTTATTTGATAAACAATGAATTTATTTGAGTACCTTTAATGAAAAGCTGTAACTTTTCTTGTTTAATGCCAAGTTGCAATTTGGTAGGGTAACGACTTCTATAGAAATATAATCTACATCTATCCAGTCCTCACTTGTGATCCTATCAACAAGTAGTGGTTATTCAAGTTGTTGATCAGCCTCAAACTATATTGTCATTACAAAAATTTTATTTTTATTGGGAAATTTTTATACATATTAATTTTCCCATATAGGTTCTTATTACAGAAACTTTAATTATTCTATCCTTTGCCCTATTTTTATGTTAACATTTTTATAATTCCAAATTCCTGAATTCTTGAATCTAGATTATTAAAAGACTTGATTGAAGTAGACTTAACTTAGTAACCACAACTTATATGCAATGACTAATCTGTGTTTCCCAGGTCAATTCTGGGGAAGATTTGTGGATGTGAATTGGAGCATGTGTTTACATCATGGCATTGAAAACAATTTTAAATTCAATATTAGCCATTCCCATTCTTTTTTTTTTTTTTTTTTTTTTTTTTTTTTTTTCGTTTTTTGAGACAGAGTTTCGCTCTTTCACCCAGGCTAGAGTGCAGTGGCACAAGCTCGGCTCACTGCAACCTCCGCCTCCTGGGTTCAAGTGATTCTCCTGCCTCAGCCTCCCGAGTAGCTGGGATTACAGATGCGTGCCACCACACCTGACTATTTTGTATTTTTAGTAGAGACAGGGTTTCACCATGTTGGCCAGGCTGGTCTCGAACTCCCGACCTCCAGTGATCCACCCAACTTGGCCTCCCAAGGTGCTGGGATTACAGGCATGAGCTACTGCACCCGGCTGCCATTTCCATTCTTACCCTACTATGAATATAATTAAAGCCATTACATTGTATACTTGGAATGGGTAGGTTGTATTATGAATTGTATTTCAATGAAGGCATTTTTTAAAAATTAGAGCCATGTGACCAGGTGCAGTGGCTCACACCTGTGATCCCAGCACTTTGGGAGGCTAAGGCGGGTCGATTACTTGAGGTCAGGAGTTCAAGACCAGCCTGGCCAACATGGTGAAACCCCATCTCTACTAAAAATACAAAAATTAGCCAGGTGTGGTGGCACACACCTGTAATCCCAGCTACTCAGGAGAATGAGGCAGGAGAATTGCTTGAGCCTGGGAGGTGGAGGTTGCAGTGAGCCAAGATTGTGCCACTGCACTCCAGCCTGGCCGACAGAATGAGACTCTGTCTCAAAAAAAAAAAAAAAAAAAATTAGAGCCATGTAACAGTCTGTTTCTATTTACCATCTCATCCTTTGTGATATTATCTTATAGGTAATATATACATTAACCGAGAAGGTGTTATTATATTTCATTAGTCATTTTCTTTTAAAGATAAGAAAAAGTATAGTCCTTTATAGTTACCCAAGTATTTACCATTTCATATTTCTTCATTCTTTCTCTATAAATTTTCATCTGATTTTTCTCACCCTGAAGAATTTATATTTCTTTTAGAACCATTCTGCTGATAACAGGCTCTCTCAATTTTTTCTGAAAATTTATTTATTTTGCTTTCATTTTTTAAGATGATTGTTTTCCTAGGTAGAGATTGTAAGATTGGCAGTTCCTGCTTCCCTCAGCACTTTAAGATGTTCCATTATTTCCTCACCTCCATTGTTTCTGATGAGAAATCAGTAATAATTTGTATAATTGTTCCCCTGTTTATAATGGAGCTGTTTTTCCTCTGGCTGCTTTTCTCTTTATTTATGTTTTCAACTGTTCGGTGAAAATGTGCCTAAGTGTGGTTTCTTTGTATTTATCTTAATTGGAGTTCAGATCTTGTATCTATAAATTTATGTCTTTCATAATTTAGGAAAAATTTGGTCATTATTTCCTCAAATCTTTTATTATACTGCATTTTCACAGCTCTGAGAATACATTTAAATATAACTTAAAACCACTTAAATATAGTCCCACAGAATAGTGAGTCTTTGTAGGTTTTTTTCAATATTGTTTCTGTCTCATCTTCAGATTGAATATTTTCTATTGATGTATTTTCAAGTTCACGGCTTCCTTTCTTTGGCTTTCTCCAACTTACTTTTTTTCCATCCACTGTTTCTTCATGTGTTTAGTAGTTTTTAATTGTGCTATTGTGGAGGCTATGGCTATCTTTAAATACTGCTGATTTTGTTCTAGCAAGCAATTCAAGGGACTGAGCTCAAAAATGAAACTCCTCCCTGAGCTAAACTCTTCACTCATTTTTTTTAGCCTTCCAGCTGTTGTTTTTTGCCAGGTCCTCTGCACATGCATTAATCAAGACCAGCCAAGGATTTGAGGGGGTTTATATGAAGATTTTATACCTCCAGGCCCTCAGCTTTCTCCTGTCTGAGGTCTTCCCATGATTTTCTAGCAATTCCATCAGCCCAAAATTTTTTCCTTTGAATCCTCAAATCAGGTAAGACTATAGCTTTCTGCTTGCGTTCCAGCCGTTTCATGTGGTGTAGACTGACTGGAAAGAGCCTTTAAGTGAAAAGCCAGATGCAGAATCAATGCAGTTCCCCTTTCAGTTTCTACCTGCTTTAAGTTGTCCCAGTGCCTTCAAATAGTTGTTTTTATATTTTTCCCCAGAATGTATTGCTGTCTATTGGAAGGTTAACATAATACAAGTCAATCTACCATTGCCAAAAGTGTAACGGCATCATAATTTTAAAATTTGGATAATACTTTTGCACATAGAATGTTCCTTTTTTATGCCCTCTCGTTCTTGTCTCATGAATGCAATCAAAATATTTTCTTATTTAACAATATTGATTATGGGTCTTATGAGATTATTTTCTGCTTCCTGTTCTCTTTTCGTCAATTTTTTTTTTTCCTTATTCAGCTTTTTAGTGTATGGAGAGAGGAACTTTGTTTAGATATCTGGTCCTTGACTTTCCATTCATATTTGAGGGTGAGGTTCTAAAAAGACAATTGAAATCTTCTTGTGCATAAATGTGGATTGTTATCTGTTGAAATCAATGTTAGACAGAATGACTAGTCATTTTATTAGGGATCTCCAAATGTCAGTATTACGAAGTCTCTTATTTTATGATGGTGCTATTTCAGAGAGGATTTTTCTAAGTTCCTGTCTTGAAATTATGAGTTTGGTTGTCAGCATTCTTGGAGCCACACTGGGGAAAGAAGCTGGCATGGTGATATGGTTTGGCTTTGTCCCCACCCAAATCTCATCTTGAATTGTAGCTCCCATAATTCCCACATGTCGTGGGAGGGGCCTAGTGGGAGGTAACTGAATCATGGGGGCAGGCTTTTCCTGTGCTGTTATCGTGATAGTTAATAAGTCTCACAAGATCTGATGGTTTTATAAAGGACAGAGACTAAGTCTAGAAAGTCCTTCAAACTTATTCACCCTGGTACTATGGGTACCCTTAAAGAAAATATTTGTATATGCATGCCCAGATTCAAAGATGTGAGCCTCATACATTGGTACGTGAAGACCTGGCTGTGAGCCAAAGTCACAAGAAATGTAGGTAAGTACAGCTGGGCTCCTCCCATGCATTGAGAGGTACTCACAGGCTCAGCCCTAAGCAGGCTTGCACTGGGCAGGTTTTCAGAAAAAAGCCATGCCCAATTTATTGTTGCTTATCCAGCAATGACCAAGAATTATGGCATCAGAGTATTTAAATAGTGACAACAAAGAACATGCTGGGGCTGCTGGGTTCTCCTTGTTTCAATAAGGATATCTTGTGCCAGTGACATTAGTAACAGCTGTAAAGAATTCAACTGCTTGGTTGACTAGTCAGAGGATGCTTACCAGAACTGACCTGTAAGTCTGAATAAGCATCCTTAGAGGTCTTGAAGTTGTCAGCAAAGCAAACATCCTGGGGAGAAAATAAAGCATAGAGACATTTAATTTGAAAATTAAAAGGAATATGACATTATTATGTATCTTAGGCTTATGATAACAGATGTGTGTATACACATATAACAAACATTATATATGGACTGCAAAGTACTTGAAAATGATACCATATCAACAACTGTGCACTTAAAAATTCTGAATAAAGAGCACAGATACTAAGTAGAGACAAATTTTATCCATGAACAATCAGTCCAGGAAAGATTCCTGAAGTTAACTTCTCAGCTGGATTTTGAAGAGGATGAAGCCTATGTATCTTTATGGATGAAAGAGGGAAGTGATATAAATTCTAGGCTACCAAGCCAAAAAAAAATCAAGTTGAATTTTATTTATTTAATTGTAGAACAAATGATCAGCAGCAGAAGTCTCCCCACTGACCCCTAGCCACACACACACCCTTTTTTAATGATCTGCCACTCATCACAGTAATGAAGATGTTCTTTAGGCAATGTTATACCATATGGCCTAAAAGCTTAGAAGGCAAGAAAAGTCAAACCTGAGAATAGCAAACATAGTGAGCAGCTGAAGTGGAATATCTTTTATGGAAATAAACTCGTAGTTAATAAAACAGTAGTTCTAACAATGAAGTACCTTGAGTAATAAACTTACTGATTAATACGTAGCCAATGGGATACTTGAACTGAAGAATAATATTGTACAAATAATCTCAAAGTTTAGTTGGTGTACGAAAAGTCAGATGATGAGAATTTTCTAGCGCTTCCTTCTGCAATCATCTACACATGAGATAGTTAAGGCCAAATGATACAGTTGGCTGTATCCCCACCCAAATCTCATCTTGAATTTTAGCTCCCGTAATTCCCACGTGTTGTGGGATGGACCGGGTGGGAGATAACTGAATCATGGGGAGGATTTCTCCCATACTGTTCTCGTGGTAGTGAATAAGTCTCACGAGATCTGATGATTTTATAAGGGGTTTCCCCTTTCACTTTGCTCATTCTCTTGCCTGCCGCTATGTAAGATGTGCCTTTTGCCTTTTGCCTTTTGCCTTTCGCCTTCCACCATGATTGTGAGGCCTCCCCAGCCACGTGGAACTGTGAGTCCATTAAACCTCTTTTTCTTTATAAAATGCCCAGTCTCGGGTATGTCTTTATCAACCGCGTTAAAACAGACTAATACACCAGAGATCTGGGAAGTAGAGGAATTGGAAGCTGGGAGTAGGAGTATGGGGAGACCAAAGTTGTTACAAAGAA
This sequence comes from Homo sapiens, assembly GCF_000001405.40. Taxonomy (NCBI): domain Eukaryota; kingdom Metazoa; phylum Chordata; class Mammalia; order Primates; family Hominidae; genus Homo; species Homo sapiens. Next base: position 72,403,149 of record NC_000016.10, on the reverse strand, counting down.
GTGATTAGCAGAATTTTTAATTGTAAGTTAAAATAGCAGTAGGGAAAAAATGATACCACAGCTTTCAGCCTGGAAACACTCAAGATGTTGTTGATAGTGATGGGGAAATTAGTGAAGATGACTCTTCGGGGAGATGGACTTGTTTTTAAATATGATGTTTCAGGAGTTGTATGGCATTCAAACTGAAATGTTCCATGGACAATGGTGGAGAGAAGTATAATCGTAGATGGCAGTATGGTAGCCCAAACTTGATAACATCTGAAGCCATAAAACTTATTTAGATCCTCCAGAAGGGGTATCAAAGGAGTAAGAAACTTGGAATTTAGCCTTGAAAGTGCCCAGTTGTAGGAAATGAACTAAAGATGGACACATCAGAGAGAGTTGGAAGGAATTGTTGAATCTCTAAATTGTCATAAATCCATACAATCCATATAATAGACAATGTTATAAATTCACCTCAAAATCTACCAAAGGGGACCTCCAGTAAGCTATTAAGAACCTGAAGACAGTGTTTTACTCAAGCCAAAGCAAGAGAGAAGAGAAATAACTGTGCTGGTTTACACCGAATTACATTACAGGATTATACAGGGCTTTTCCAGACAGTATCTTGACTTCTACAACAACTTACTGAAATGATTGTTTTTATGCTCCTTGTACTGATGAGGAAGGGAAAGAAGGACTAATTGCCTAAATTTCTAGAAAATGGAAACAATGTGGAGAAACCACTGAATCTGGACAAGGAAGACATTTCCGAAAAGATTGAGTCTCTCAAATTTCACATTGTGATTGGGGAAAAATTCTTTCCACATAGGCCTTATTTTGTATTTCCTTTTTTTTTTTTTTTTTTTTTGAGACAGAGTCTCACTCTGTCACCCAAGCTGGAATGAATCTCGGCTCACTGCAACCTCCTCCCACTGGGTTCAAGCAATTCTCGTGCCTCAGCCTTCTGGGTAGCTGGGACTACAGGCACCCGCCACCACACCTGGCTAATTTTCTGTATTTTTAGTAGAGATGGAGTTTCACCATGTTGGCCAGGCTGGTCTCGAACTCCTGACCTCAAGTGATCCGCCCACCTCAGCCTCCCAAAGTGCTAGGATTACAGGCATGAGCCACCATGCCTGGCCAGCCTTATTTTAAAGATGAGAATTTCTGAACTCTTAACAATCCTTGCTGATAGTAGAAGACTTTCTGTAGTTTGTCATGGAGCAGTCTCCCATAATTCAGAGCAGTAATAAGCAAACCAAAGCATCTATGCTGTTTCAATTCTGCCAAAGTTTATTATAAGGAAGTCAAGTTCAGTGGTGAATAAACTATCTTAATATTTTATTCAAAATTCACGTATGGGCCGGGAGTGGTGGCTCACACCTGTATTCCCAGCACTTTGGGAGGCCGAGGCAGGCGGATTGCCTGAGCTCAAGAGTTCGCAACCAGCCTGGGCAACACAGTGAAACCCCGTCTCTACTAAAATACAAAAAATTAGCTGGGTGTGGTGGCATGCACCTGTAGTCCCAGCTACTTGGGAGGCTGAGGCAGGAGAATGGTGTGAACCCCAGAGGTGGAGGTTGCCATGAGCCACGATCGTCGCGACACTGCACCCAGCCTGGGTGACAGAGCAAGACTCCATCTCACAAAAAAAAAAAAAAAAAGTATGTGTTTAGCTAGAGATGTTTTATTTTGATATGACTTTGTCCTTCTGTGTGTACTATTCTTGAGGAACTTCTCTGTTTTTCCATAAACTACTAATTTAAATTGTAGATAGGGACTGTTTGTAGAAAATACCAAGGGGAAAATACATTTATAAACATAGGAAAATACAACTGTCTACCTTTCATTGTATATTTAAAGATGCTCACAATAAGCTGTAATCATTCCTCTTCCTCTTTCTAAACCCTTCTTAACATTCTCTTCAATTCATTGTACTTCTCTTTCCCAGTTACAGCACTTTTTCTTCTCCCCCCCTCCCTCTCCCTCTCCTCCCTTTTCCTCTCCCTTTCTCTCTCTGCCTCTCTCCCACTCCTCCTCTCTTCCCCCAGCCCACACCTTTCTTTGTCTCTCTTTCATTTATGTAAATCTTTCCAGGGTGGATCTACTCTCTTAGCCTGGTCCAAGTGAATCATCAAAGAATAATAGCACATTAGACAATCTCCTCAGTATGTGGCCACAAGCAGCCTCCATAGTGGGAAGATGAGATGTGGGCTGAGAGAGGCTTATTTTCTAAGCTGAATACCTCTTTTTACAGACCTAACAATTAAATATTTTTCCTGTTGTAGGCACTGGCATGTTTATAGTATATGTACATATCAATCCATTTCTTTGGTAGGACATTTAATCTATAATTCATAATTTATTCGTGGACTCCTAGACAGTCGTACCATTCACTACTAGTCTGTCCAAAAATTATTTATAATCTTTTAAAATTATTTAAATCTGCCTTTTTATAGGTGTTTTATACATTTTCCGTTAGTTAAATGACTCTGGGAAACTACTCATAAACATTGGAAATATACTCCCATATGTTATTTATCCAGATTTGCCAGTTGTTTCATTTTGTAGGCCCCAAAGACTCTAGGTCCGTGGATCCCAAACTGCGTACCAAGACACCCCTGAGCATTGCAGCCAACTCATTGCAGGGGCTCTGTGGGATAGTTTAAATTTTAGAGAGAAACACAGCGACATCTGTTGGGCATGACCTGAACTACTACTACTACTAAGCTGGGACTTCTTTTCTTTTAGCCCTAGAATAGCCCTGAAAAAAACCTATTGCAACACTAAGGGCCTCAAGAACAAAGTTTGGGAATCTCCTCTTAAAGCATTAAAATATCTTTGTATCAAATTATCATTACATTTATTTTTTTACACAATTGATCAAAATAACAAATTTATTACCCAAATTTTATAAGTAATTATTTTAAAAAGTAATTGTTTTTATCAAAAACAAAATTAAAAAAAATTTTTTAAATGCACCTCTGTTAGTGAGATGCATAAGACTTGTTTCCCCAATTAGCTCATGTGCCTGTATGTCAATTTTACTGATTGACTGAGTGAATTTTTTAATTTATATTTTTGTTTTGCTGATGTAAGCCTTGAGAAGCCTGTTAGCATAAATAAATAGATGGAAATAGGAGGAGACGTATTATAGCAGTGTCATCATTCTTTAAACTCAACTTTTGAGTGATATACCAAACATATAAGAAAAGAGTTGAGGAACTACCATACTTGTGGAAGAATGTATAGTCTAGACTTGTGTTAACCAGTAGCCATTAGCCACCTCTGGCTATTTAAATTAATTAAAATTTTAAATTAAAATTCAGTTCTTCAGTTGCATCAGCCATATTTTAAGTGTTTAATAGCCATATTTAGCTAGTACGTTTGCCAGCACAGATAATAGAACATTTCTGTCATTGTCGAAAGCTCTATTGGATAGTGTTGGTCTAGACATTCTTTCTTCTTTATTTTTTAGAGACGGGGTTCCTCCATGTTGGTCAGGCTGGTCTCGAACTCCCGACCTCAGGTGATCTGCCCTCTTCGTCCCTCCAAAGTGCTGGGATTACAGGTGTGAGCTACCACACCCGGACAAAAAAACCAGGGGGATTTTTTTTTTTTTGATATGGAGTTTTACTCTTGTCGCCCAGGCTGGAGTGCAGTGGAGCAATCTCAGCTTGCCGTAACCTCTGCCTCCCAGGTTTGAGTGATTCTTCTGTCTCAGCCTCCTCCGTAGCTGGGATTACAGGCATATGCCACCATATCCGGCTAATTTTTTGTATTTTTAGTAGAGACGGGCTTTCTCCATGTTGGTCAGGCTGGTCTTGAACTCCTGACATCAGATAATCAACCCACCTTGGCCTCCCAAAGTGCTGGGATTACAGGTGTGAGCCACTGCGCCCTGGTCTAGATATTAAAGACATCTTCTTTCTCAATACTTGCACTAATATTTTTAATTATTTTCATTTTTAGTACCCCAGAGCTTTTTCTACCCCAGAATAAATGCAGCATCGTTTTTTATTTTAATATGCATGTTATCATACTGACATCTTTTTTAGTAATTTGCCTTTTTTACCCAACTTTATGTGTTTGAAATTCACTCATTGAATATGTAGCTTTCTTCACTTGTTTTTTCTGTTGAATAGTATACCATGGTGTGAATATCCTTTATCAATTTTCACACACATGGATAGTATTTTTTCAGTTGTTTTTTGTTATTAAAACCAATGCTGCTGTGAAATTCTTGTTAGAATTCTTGTCTTCCATGGCCCATGTGCAGTTGTGTCTAGGATATATAACTAGGAGTAGAATTTCTGACTCATAGAATATTTGCATCTTCAGCTTTACTAGATAATACCAATTTGTGCTTCAAAGTGGCTATATTAATCCACACTCCCATCAACAGTAGGTAAGAGTTCTGACTATTTCATGTATTATTTCAGATTAGATTTGGCTATGCTTGACAAAAACAAAGAAATGAACAAATGAGTAACAGTAGCTTCAACAAAAGTACAGTTTATTTCTCTTCATGTAGATAAAGTTCAGAGGTAAACAACTTAGTGCAATGTGGTAGGTCCAAAATCGTTAAAGTCCAAGTTTCCTATCTTGCTCTACCATCCTCAGGGTGTGCTTTTTCACCTTAAAAGGTGAAATGTTACAAGATTGTCATTTTCTCCCTCCTCACACCATTTCTTTCTCTCTCTCTCTCCACCCCCATCCCCACTCCCTCTCTTCAATGCCTACTCCCATCTAAGAGTAATTTGGAAAGTTAGCAACATTATTCCCCTTTACCCCTGATGCTTCAATATATATTTTCTAAGAATGGGCCATTCTCTTACATAACCAAAGTACAATAACCCAAATCAGGAAATTTGACATTGTATAATACTATTATGCTTTAGCCCATATTCATATTTAGTCAGTTGTCCCAATAATGACCTCATAGCTATCTCCCACCTACTCAGTCCAGGATCTAATCAAAAGTTCAAATTGCTCCAAATTAAATTTAGCTGCCATATCTCTGTAGGCACATTTAATCTATAACATTTCCTCAGACCTTTTTCTTACTTGGCCTTGGCATTTGGGCTTGCATAATGTTTGCTCATAATTAGATTTTGATTAGGCATGTGGGGAAGAAATAGCACAGAACTGATGGCATATCCTTCTCAGCCAACTGTATCAGAAGGCTCATGATATGAGCCTATCATGGTTTGCTATAATATTGGGGTGATGATAAGTTGTATCACTTGGTTAAGGTGGTATGTGCTAGGGTCTTTCCACTCTATAAGTTACTGCTTTTCTCTTTCTAATTAATAGATAATGTATGAGTAGCTACTTTGAGACTATGTGACTATTCCACTCCTCATCAAACTTTTACCTATTAGCAACCTTTTTAAAGTATTATATGACACCACTATTCCTTTTCTATTAGTCACATTTTACTGTAAGGTAGATCTTTCCCTTCTCTCTTATGTTTGTTTGTTTTCTTGTTTATATCAGTATGAACTTACCGACACTAATTTTATTCTATAGGTTATAATCCATTATTATCATTATTTTGATATATAAGTTGTTCCAAATTTGTCAAGTAGCCCCTTTAAACTGTCTCCTATACTCTTTTGATATGTCCCCATCATTCTTTGAGCGTTTTCTCATTTGCTGGAGCAAGATATTCTAGGCTCACCTTATACTTCCCTGTACTGGTCAAAAATTAGCCTTTTCTCCATGGAGCCTAATTGCTTTTAGTAGACAGTGGCATTTTTAAACCAAAATCTGTGTACTAAGTGTGCTCACTGATGTTGGTGTATCATTGCATCTATGCTCCCTCAACTGATAGAAGTAGGAAATTTGTTTTTATAGTTCTAAAACACACTTTTTTTATATATACCTATATCTATATTTTTAATCATTACTTTAAAAGTGTTCATCTTGATAACTTTAATTCCACTTCAACATCATAGGTTAAATTCTAGTCTTCCCCCTTTCCATATTTATAACTCCTGTCTCTAACACTGAAGAAATCTGGTTTCCATTATTCTTAATGTATTTATTCATTTGCTCAAGCCTAGACACGGAAGTTAGTTTTACATTACTCACTCAGATTATTACAAAAACCCAAGCCTACTAATTAGAATTTAATATTTTGTAGTTCTTTTTTGAGATAAAATTCACATACAGTGAAATGTCCATTTTGATGAGTTTGGTTTTTTCAAATATATCTATCCATGTAATGCATGCCCCTATTAAAGTATTGAACATCATTCAAGAAAGGTTTTTTTGGGGTCCTTTTTTTACTCAATCCTCCTGATACAATTTTCTGATATATTTTTCACCATAGATTAGTTTTACCTGTTTTATAACTTTATTTAAATTGAATCATATAGTGTATGTGCTCTGTTGTGTCCAACTACCTCTGCTCAGCATAATGTCTGTGAGATCCATTTATGTTGTTTTGAGTGTCAGTAGTTTATTCTTCATTGCTGAGTAATACTTCATTGCATGAATATAATATACTATGATTAGTTTATTCATTCTCCCATTTGTGAATATTTGAGTTTCCATTTTGACTATTTTGAACAAAGCTGTTGTGAATATTCTTGTACAAATCTTTTGTATCTAGGTTTTTATTTCTCTGGTAATTGCTGGAGAAAGGGCAGGTGAATATCTAACTATATAAAAAACTATCAAAAAGTTTTCCAAAATAATTGTGCCATCTTACATACCCACCAGCAATATATAAGAGTTCGAATTGCTCTAAATCCACACTAACATTCAGTGTTTTCAATTTTACGAATCTAGTGAGTATGTAGTGTTATCTTATAATTTAATTTTGCATTTCCTTGATCACTGATGACTTTAAGTACTTTTTCATGTGTTTAATGGTCATTTATATCTTTCTTTGTGATATGTCAGTTCAGATCTTTAGCCCTTCTTAAAAATTGAGTGATTATTTTTAGTCATTGACTTGTGTTTTTTACAAGTCCTTTGTCAGATACATATTTTTCAAATATTTTTTGTCTGATTCTGTAGCTTGCTTTTCCATCTTATCAATGGTGTTTTTTTGTAAATTTTAATGATTTTTTTTCTTTTTTCTTTTTGAGACAGGGTCTCACTCTATCATCCAGGCTGGTGTGCAATAGTGGCACAATCATAATGAGGTTTGTTTTTTGTTTTTTTTTTTTTTGACACAAAGTCTTTCTCTGTCACCCGGGCTGGAGTGAAATGGCGTGATCTCGGCTCACTGCAGCCTCCGCTGCCCAGGTTCAAGTGATTCTCCTGCCTCAGCCTCCCGAGTAGCTGGGACTACAGGTGTGCACTACCATACCTGGCTAATTTTTAATATATTTTATTTCATTTTTTATTAGTAGAGACAAGGTTTCATCACGTTGGCTAGGCTGGTCTCGAACTCCTGACCTCAAGTGATCGGCCCACCTTGGTCTCCCAAAGTGCTGGGATTAACAGGTGTAAGCCACCGTGCCCAGGCCTGAGGTCTTCTTTTATAACTATTGCTTTTTGTGTCCTAAGAAATATTTACATGCCCTCCCCATCCCCCAGCACACACACCTGTCAAGAGATTCTCCTGTGGTTGCTTCTTAGACACTTGATAATTTTAGCTTTGTCTATAAATCAGTGCCTTTGAGTAGCTCTTTTTAAAATATTTGTCCAGAATTTATCATTGTTATCTACAGAATGGTTCACCCGATAACAAAATCTACTTTACTAAAGTAGAGCCGTATGTCTTATCATTTTACACAGCAATGTTTATTTAGATATACCCATATCTAATATATTCCTTTTCTGATTGTTTGTGTTTTTGGCTGGCATTTCTTATTGCAGCACATACCTTCTTTCTGGGATCATTTACCTTCTTCCTGAGGTACAGCGCTTAAGAATTCTTCAGTGAGGGTCTATTGCTTGTAAACTTTCAGTTTTTATCTGAAATGTGTTTATTTTAACCTCAGACTCTAATTTTCTGGGAATTCAGTTATAGGTTGTAAATTATTTCCTCTTAGTAATTTAAATATATTATATTGTAGTTTCCAGTTTTCATTGTTGCCATTGAGAAGTCAGATATCAATACTGTTTCTCTCCTGGTGAATTGTCATTCTCTCTGATTGCTCTCAAGATTTACTCATTATGTTTGATGTTTTGAAGATTCACTCTGATGAGGTATGGTGTATTTGTGGATTTCTTTATATTTATCCTGCTTGAGATCATTATGCTTCCTGATTCTAATGATTCATGTATTCCAAAATTTCTTGAAAATTCACAATAATTATCTCCTTGAATATTGTCTCTTACTTTCTGTATTATCACTTCTTCTAAAGTTAAGAATAGATTAGATTTTTTCATTGTCCCCTCCTTGCATTATCATTTCTGTCACATATTTTTCATCTCTGTGTTTCTCTATGCTTTATTCTGGCTAATTTCTTTAGTTTTATCTTCTAGTTCACTAATTCTCTCTTTGTCTATGTCAAATCTGATGTTTTACTTATCTATTGAATTTTAAATTTTAATTATTTTTCATAAGCAATCTAGTTGAATCTTTATTTAAAAATCTGCCTGGTTATATTTTGTAGTCCCTTTTTTCTGGCTCATATTTCTATTCCCTTCTTCCATCTTTACACATGTTAAACATACTTATTTTATGTTCTAAATTATGTGATCCAAATGTTTGAAATACTGTGTTTCTTCATTAGATTTTATTCCTGTTATTTCTGTTTGCTTTTGCTCATAGAATCTTGTTTACTCATGGGCTTTTGGTGACTTTTCTTTGTCTATTCTATTATAAGATCATGTAAACTCGAAAATCTGAGCAAATTCTATGAGTTCAGGGTTGAGGATGCATTTTCCTAGAATGGATTTGTATTTTTTTTCACTGCTGAGTGCCTAGAAAGAACTATGAACTGAGGATTACTTTAATTTCTAAGCTTGGATATTTTTTAACCTACATAGATGGCCTGATTTCAATCCCCATGCCAACCTGGCAGCTAACCTGTGGTTATAGAGTAGAGTGTTCATACGTCCTGCTTTGCTCAAGACAGTCCTAGTTAATGCCCTTTGTCCTTGTGTAATTATTAATAATGTCCTCTTCTACTGTCAGGAGAATCCTTGTTGGGATTATCAATTACATGTGCCCGTATTAAGAATGTTAATATTAAGAAGAGAGATTTTTGCCTGTTCCAACCATACCCAAGACTGAACAGAATTTTTATTGTTTCTCCATTTGCAGGGCAGAATTCGTACGTTACTCTTTCGGGGAAGGTGTATCTCTTCTGGAATCCTGATTTTAAGTTGGGGTTTGCATTCCAGCTTCACAAATAAGATGCTTTAGGTTTCTGGGGAATTGGCAGTTGCCTTCAGGGCAGCCTCTGGCTTTAGCTTGTTTACCTCTCTGGATTCATGCTTCTGCTTAGTTCTTTGCCTCTAAGGATTTTCCTTTCTTTATTGTGAGCTCAGCTATATATTTAAAAGGATGTTGTAAATCTTTTATCCAGAATATTTAGTTGTTTGTTTGCAAGAAGATTTTTTTTCCTCCTAGAACAAAATTCCTGGACTCCTCATAAATACTGGCTTAGCTGCATTTGGTGTTGAAAGAGCCAATTTTTCTAATATTAAGTAGCCCAGAAGCTTCAAAGAGCAGGTTTTCTATTTGAAAACTCTCACTTGTCCCACTTTGTTGAAAAGAGATGAACAATTTACTTGAAGGAAAAAAATATATTTTTAAGTGTTTTATATTCTCCAGAAAGGAATGAGAGCATAAAGTATAATCACTTTTGTTTTTCTAATAAAAGAAATAGACAAGTTCTAGCACAGGAGATAAAGGTACTATGGCTATATGCATTTTATAGATGAAGAAATTGAGGCCAGAAAGGCTAAATAACTTACCCATGACCCACTATTAGTAAGTGATAACATTGAAACCCACACCCAGCTTTTCTCTAATACTCATGCCATTAACAACTACCTCATATGCCCCTTTACACAATTATATGCATTCTTCTACCTCGTCAACATAAAATGTATGCTCATGGAGAGAGTACTGCTATATTCGTATCTACTAGAGCCTTCCTACTATTTTGGAGTATTGGTACATATCTAAAGCCTCTCAGTAAAGGGTATAAAGGATACACACGGAGAAGTAAAAAAAAAAAAAAAGAATGTCAGCTCTGTAACAGATTATTAGTACTATGGGAGAAATTCTGTCCTTTTAATCCTAAATCATAAATGCTTCCCATTTCTCCATCCTTTTTCTCATTCTCTTTCATCTCCCTGGAAAACTCTTCACTGTATGTTTACCTGAAAATTTCTTGCTTATACTTTTAATACAGCTCAAACATTATGTCCAGTTTTCAAAAATTTTCCAGGAATTCCATCCTGCACATAGACTTGCTCTGATAGACTAAACTCAATTATCTGTGTTCCTATAGCATTTTTAAATATTTTATGATAACAGTTATTAACTGTATTATGTTGAACCATATGAAATCACCATTTTTCTAGGTAAAAAAAAATGGTTGAATGTTAGCAATGTCATATGGCTTGACCTGAATTTATTGTGTATATGTATACCCCACTAGATGTAAGGATGGGGCCGTGTGTCATTTACCTTTCTTTGCTTCTTTAATTTAGTGCCTGGACATATACTCAAAATATGCTTAATTGAATGAATGCCCATACTCTGCAGGCAATATTAAAAAATATTAAACTCTGGCATCTACTGCATGGACACTAACCAGTCAAAACTGATACTGGCATTAAACAACTGCTAAAGCTGTGCCGATACTGTCAGCTATATATCAGCCAGGCCTATGCCAAGGAAACATGCAGAAAAAAAGACTTTGGAGGTTTTAGTGAACCCTAAATGGGGTTCTAACCAACATTTATCACTTGAAACCTCTACAACAGTGCCACCAAATATCACTCTGACCTTTAATGACAGGAAATCAGAATTTTCTGGAGTAACCAGTTCTATCTTTGAGCACATCTCACTCTAAAAAATTCTTTCTTCCATTAGACATTACATACTCTTTCTTAATTTGCACAGAACCTAATTACATACTGAAGGACCTTAGCATAGTCTATTCTTCTAGATGTTTGAATAAGGCCATCGTATCTGCCCCTAAGTAATCTCTTCTAAAAATTGATATCCTTGTTTTCTTAAACTAATCCTTATTTTTCATGTTTAATATTCCCCCATTATTTTAGTATTCTCTGTTTTGGCTTAGCTATGATGCTCAGAGCTGAGCTGTGTAGGACATACCAATTTAGGTTATGGTTCAACAGAATGTTGTCCATGACAGTGGGATTACACTAAGGTATTTCCTGTGGCATAAAATGAGAGTATAAGCCCAGTTCCAGGGAGCCATGCTCTAGGAAGAAAAGGCTAGGCAACTAACACTACACCTTTGGTCCTTAACCCTGGCTGTGCACTAGAGCTACCTATAGAGCTTTTAAAAACCACAGATTCCTGAGTCCTGTGCCAGGCCTACTGAACACAGCAATCTAGATTTTGGATCTTTGAAAAGGGCATGGGAGGCAGTATAAAGTAGTGGTTAAGAAAGAGTACCTGCTCTGAGGCCAGACTACCTGGACTCAAATTCATACTCGTGATTTTATAAGTTGCTTAAATCCCCTAAGCTTTCTCATCTCTAAAAAGGTATAACAACCTTGAAGGGCTATTGTAAAGATTGAATGAGTTACCATAAGTAAAAAACCTAAAAACCACTTAGTACCTGCTAAGTTAATATTAATCATTATTATGACCTATGTGTATTTAAATATTTGCTGCTGATTTTCATGCATAGACTGAGAAAGCACTGATATAGGACATGGTATGACAGTATAGTCATCTCTGCCAGGAGGGACAGAGAGCAGGTGATCCTCATACCTTTCGTGAGCAAGAATTCCTCATTCCTAATTCTCTCCTTCCTCATTTGCTTATCACCACAGGGAACTCACAAGGGCTTCGGTTCTCAAGAGGCCATCAAAACATAACTGCTGCCGAGACAATACCTTTCCTTCCCCTCACTACATTCACTGAATGTTCTGGATCAGTGCGTCTCACACCTTTGGATCTTATAAGCTACTTGGAAAAGTGAGTACACCAACAGATTTGCCGACACATATTACCAAGCAAGAACATTCAAAAATTATAATCAAATATATTGTCATAAAAGACATTGTAACACGAAAGAAGTGGGAACAGTGTAATATCAGGATAAATAATAAGCCTACCATAATCAAGTTAAACATACAGCCTCTCTTTTTATCTATGACTATAGTTTGTTTAATTGCATATCTTTGTTAATTTACAAATTGAAAAAAATTTATTGTAGTTAACATAATCACTGTCTTTGCCTAAACCTTCATTTGCAGTTATAATTATGGCATACGCACAGAAATCCTCCAAATTTGGTAAATGCTACCTGAATAGAAAAAAAAGTCCAGGCGCGGTGGCTCGCGCCTGTAATTGCAGCACTTTGGAAAGCTGAGGCAGATGGATCACCTGAGGTTGGGAGTTCAAGACTGGCCTGACCAACATGGATAAACCCCGTCTCTACTAAAAATACAAAATTAGCCGGGCATGGTGGCACATGCCTGTAATCCCAGCTACTTGGGAGGCTGAGGCAGGACAATCACTTGAACCCGGGAGGCGGAGGTTGCAGTGAGCCGAGATTGCACCGTTGCATTCCAGCCTGGGCAACAAGAGGCTGTCTCAAAACAAAAAAGTGCCACTCTTGGTTATAACTAAGTTTTGGCATATTTATATTTCTGTGGCTTTATTTATTGAGTTCATTTTGATAGTCTCTTTTAGTAGAAATTTATGTAGCCATATTTTAGAATTAAAAAATAAGATCTGTTTTCCTATACAAGTATTTTTTGTTTTAGCTAATGAAAATTCTGCCGATTAGACACTAGAAAAATATCTGTTGGTAGTTAATGCTAATAGAGACACCAGAGCATTCTCTCCACTATTAATCTATGGATAGTGGAAGGCCCATTTCTTAAGTACACACAGAAGAAAGAATAGAAAAAATACTGGCTATGACACCAAATGAATTGCCTTCCTCCTATACTATTGTGCCCTTGTAACCTAGGGCATGTAGAGCAGGCTGGCAGCCATCGCATTACAGATTTAAAAGTGCTGGAATCTCTCGGTCCTGTAGCAGGTTGCCTGATGGATTGGTGAGTAATGTACTTGAAGAGTGCATTACTGAGCTCTAGACTAATGGCTACCTCTTGCCTATGGCCTTTATGGTAGATCATTCATTGTGCTGCCTCATCAGCTTCCTGCCAGTCTGTATCTGGCATGAGCACTGCCTGTTCCAAAGCTGATTAATACCCCGGGAATAAGTCCCATTGCAGGTCTCAGGGTGGATTACACAAAAGTAGGAATGTTCTGGTGCTTGGGGACAACATAACTTTTCTTTCATGAATAAAACAGAAAAAAACATCTTTCTATATTGTCAAAGTAGAGGTCTGCACAAATTATAAATTTTCTAAATTATTGTTGATTACAGTTAGCATGTTAAAGGAATAATAACACACATTAAATACCAGACTCTTTGGTGCTTTAAGCAGCCCAAGATTTCTTCAGATTCAGTTTCCTGAAATTGTGTGCGTGAAATAAGAGCCAAGAAACAAAAGCAAATAATAGAAGACCACTTGTGACTCAGGATTAAATGCGGACTGTAATTCTAGGAGAAGTTGGAGGAGAGGGAAGTTGACAGTGACCAGAGATATAGACACCATGGAGGAAATGCAGGTTAAGCTGACTCTTAAAGGCTAGAATTGGGTAGGCAATGGGGAGGGTGGCTATGACAAGTCAGAAAACAGCATGAGCAAAAGCATAAAAGTATTAAAGAGTATGACATATTGATGGGCCAGAAAGAAGAAAAGCCTGACTAGAGTAGAGAATGTGGGTTTGGAAGTAGAGGTAGTAAAGAATCAAGCACAGGCTGACAGGACTTCTGATAGTGTGATAGACTGACTCACCTAAAAGACATCCAGCTGTAATGACCTAGAAATGGTACATATAACATAGAATATATTTCCTTTGGAATAGTTGGCTGACCTTCTAGAAAAATGAAAAAAATTATATACCGGGGTCAGAAATGACCTAGAAACTTATAATCGGAGTGATAAACACATGTACCAAGTCTGTGGCTCACCCAAGAAGTTGGACCTGATGAGAGACAGAGATTATTAGTCTTGGAAATCTGGAAGCTTGATTTAACACCCATGAGTGGACAGAGAATGAGACCTTGAGCTCACATAGGCCAAGAACTGAGCTACCACTTGCTTTTCACTCCCTCATACAGCCAGCACCTTTAAATCCTTGACTGCACAGGGAAATGACAAGGAAGCTTGTCAGTCTTTCAGTGTTTAAAAAAGATGTTTTTTTTTAATTGAGAATAATAATGATCAGCTGTGTATGAGTTTGGGGAACATACTATTTACAGGACTGCATAGTTTGGGTAATTCTGTAGGCCAAAAAATAACATAGGAAGTTGTCATGGAACATTAAAATCCCTTGAAAGAACTAACACAAAACTCTTTGGAAGGACATTTTACAGATAAAACCCATTGAGGATTAGCTCATTTGTCAATATTTTATAACACTAAAAGAAACAACCCATAATAAATGGCAATTACTAAACATAATAGCAGAATTAAGCTCTTCAAACAGCCAATAAAAGTTATCTAGAGAGATATTAGAACAAATGGAGAGAACTAATAGAAAGAACATGACAATTTTTCAGAACAGATGAAAGCTGTGAGTCTTCAGATTCAGGTTACATAACAAAACCTGAGTGTAATAACCTACTCCAAGATACCCTATAGTGAAACTTCAGAATAGCAAAGACAAAAAGAAAACTTTTTAAGTGACCAGAGAATTTAAAAAGACATTAGTGAAAAAGGAATAATAAGATTTACAGCAGATTTCTCAATAGCAACAACAGAAGTGAGAGGGCAATGGAGTAGTAGCTCCATTGAGGAAAATTTGTTTTCCAATGAGGAAAAGAATTAAAACTGTCAACCTGAGATTCTATACTAAATTATTCAAGTGGGAGAATTTTAAACATTATATTTCCAGACAAATAAAACTGAGAGTTTTACATACTTTCACTGGAAAAAAAATAATGTTCTTCAGAAAAAGAACTCAGAAGCAAGGTGCATTAGGGAAGGAGCAATGCTGAGCAAAGAAAATGACAAACATATGGGTAAATCTAAATAATTTTTAACTGTATGAGACAATAATAATAAGATGGAATCTTGCTCTGTCACCCACGCTGGAGTGCAGTGAAGTGATCTCAGCTCACTACAACCTCCACCTCTTGAGTTCAAGTGATTCTCCTACCTCAGCCTCCTGAGTTGCTGGGATTACAGATGCACACCACCATGCCTGGCTAATTTTTGTATTTTTAGTAAAGACAGGTTTCGTCATGTTGGCCAGGCTGGTCTCAAACTCCTGACCTCAAGTGATCCGCCTATCTTGGCCTCCCAAAGTGCTGGGATTACAGGCGTTAGCCACCATACCTGGCCAACAAAAAAGCATTTTAAAAAACACTTTAGCATAATTAGTATAATACAATAGCTATATTATATTATATTATATTATATTATATTATATTATATTATATTATATATTAGTATAATGTAATACCTATATTATACTTTAGCAATGCAGTGGCATATACCGTGTTCACAAATGGAAATGCTTAATATTGTAAAGATTTAATTTCTCCCAAAATTAACCTACAAATTCAATGAAATTTACATAAAAACCCATGGAAGTTGACAGACAGCTTTGCAGTAGATTATAATATCTGATAGGAATGGTGGTCTCCCATACATTTTCACTTCATTGTTTCCAGGGCCATTCTTGCATGTTTGTTTTTGCCTATGAAATTTAGTATCAGCTTGTCTAATTCCATAAAATTGCTTGCTGATATCTTACTGGGATTGCATTTAATTTATAAATCAACCTAGGGAGGAATGACATTTCTGTAATGCTGAGTTGCACTATCCAAGAATAAGTGATGTATTTCCATTTGTTCTACTTTTTCCCAAAAGTCTCCTTTAGAGTCTTTGGGGGAATGTTTTAACATTTTTTTCTATGAAGTTTTACACATTTATTGTTAAACTTACTTATAAGCATTTAGTATTCTTTATTGATACTGTAAATGAGGCTTTCTCTACTATTATGTCTTCTGTTTATTATTTGTATATACAAGGGCTACTGATTTTCTCTGCTAACTTTAAATCTTGCTACCTCACTGAACTCTTTTATTGTTTGAGTTAGTTTTATTATTTATTTTTTCTGGGATTACCCAGGTATACTGTCATATCATTTGCAAATAGAAATAGTCTTACTTCTTCTTTATTTATTCCTATGCCTCTAATTGACTTTTCTTGTCTAATTGCATTAGCTAATACCTCTAGTACCATGTTTAATATAATAAAGGTAGTGGTCATCTTACTTTGTTCTCATCTTAGTGGAAATGTCTCTAGTGTTTTCCCGTTATAAAATAATGATTTTTACATTAGGTATATAAATTTTATCATGGTTAGAATATATTCATATTCAAGAATATAGTCTCTATATTCTTGAGTGTTTTTCTAATGAATCAATGTTGAATTTTGTCAAAGCTTTCTCAGTCTATGGAGGTAATCATATGATCTTTTACATGTAAATACAGCATATGGTATTAATGGATTTCTTTTTATTGAATCAGCCTTGCATTTCTGTAATAAATCCCACTTGATCATGGAGTATTCTTCTCTTAATGTGGTTAATGTGGTGTTGGTTTTGGTTTGCTAATGTATAGTTTCAAATTTTTGCATCAGTATTCATTGGATATGGACACTGGACCACTGTTCTCTCTTTTTGTACTATACAGGTTGAGCATCTCTAATTCAAAAGTCCAAAATCTGAAATGCCCCAAAGTCTGACATTTTTTTGAGTGCTAACATGATGTCACAAGAAGAAAACTCAACACCTGACTTCATGTGACAGATCACAGTCAAAATGCAGTCAAAACTTTGTTTCATACATAAAGTTATTTAAAATGTTACATAAAATTACCTTCAGGCTATTTGTATTAGGTGTATATAAAACATAAATGAATTTTATGTTTAGACTTGGGTTCATCCCCAAGATGTCTTATTGTGTATATGCAAATATTACAAAACCTGAAAAAAACCCAAACCTGAAGCACTTCTGGTCCTAAGTATTTTGGATAAGGGATACTCATAAGTTTTTATTTTAATTTCTTCTCTAATTGTTCATAGTAGTTTCTTAGATCCTTCATATTTCTGTGGTGTCAGTAATAATGTCTCTTCTTTCATTCATAATTTTGAGTCTTCTCTCTTCTTTAGTTACTCTTCTAAAGGCTTGTCAGTTTTCATTCAAATCAATGCAATAGGATATAAACCAAAAATAAGAGTTAAAATGTATAAAAGAAGACAAAAGTATTAATTTTGGGAACATCATTGTTTTCCTGCACTTCCTAAACCATTAGAACTAATAAGAAAATATACGCTTTCTTATTAGTTAAGGTTAACAAAGTATACACTTACAGAGTCAACATACACAAAAATTAATAGTAATGATTCTATTTATATGAGGTTCAAGAACAGGCAAAATTAATCTCTGGTGATATAACAACAGGTGCTCTGAGGGAGACTATTGCCTGAAAAGGAGTTAAAGAAAGTTCCGGGGTAGCAGGGAATGGAGATGTTCCAAATCTTGATGACTGTGTTAAGTAATAGATGTATAATCTACATTTAAGATATGTGAATTTTACTATATGTAAATTGGAGTCATATAGTATGTAGGCTTTTAAGACTGATTTCTTTCACTTGGCAATATGTTTTTAAAGCTTTTCCATGTATTTTTGTGCTTTAATAACTCATTTCTTTTTATTGCTGAGTAATATTCCATATTGTAGATGTACCATAGTTTCTGTCTATTCACACATTGAAAGACGTCTTGGTTGCTTCCAGCTTTTGACAATTGTGAATAAAGCTGCTCTAAGCAGAAAAAAAATTATTTTTTTTACCATTTTATATGTTTTTAATTGCATAATTTAGTGGTATTACATATATCCACATTGTAATGCAACAGGCTTCTAGAGTTTTCCATTGCAAAACTAAAACTCAGTACCCATTAAAAAACAACTGCCCATTTTAACGTTCTCCTGAGCCCTTGACAAACACATGCTATTTTCTCTTTCTGTGAGTTGGACTACTTAAGATATCTCATAAGTGGAATCATACACTCACTGTCACTTTGGTTCCTGACATATTTCACTTAACGTAATGTCCTAATGGTTTATTGTCACTGTAGCGTGTGATAGGATTTCCTTTTAAATTATATTTCATCGTATGTATATATCGTATTTTCTTTACTTGTTTATCTGTCAAGGGACATTTAACTAGCTTCTACCTTTTGGATTTTGGGAATAATTCTATTATAAACATGGTTGTGCAAATATCTCTTTCAGGTCCTGCTTTGCACATTTAGATAGATATCCAGAAATGGGATTGCCAGATTGTGTGATAATTTCATTTTTAATATTCTGAGGAAACTCTTTACTATTTTTTATAATGGTTGCATTATTATTTTTTCCAGCACCAGTGCACAGTGTTCCAATTTCTCTACATCCCTGAAAACATTTGTTATTTTTTTCTTGTTTGATAGTGGCCATCTTAATGAGTGTGAGGTAATATCTCATTGGGGTTTTGCCTTGTATTTCACTAAAGATTTGTATTTTGAGCATCTTTTCAAATTCCTCTTGGCTATTTGTATATCTGCTTTGTAAAAAACATCTCTTGAGTGTTTTGCCCATTTTTAAATAGGATTATTTGCTTTTTGTTGTTGAGTTTTAGAAATTGTTTATACATTCTAGATATTAACCTCTATCAAATATATTATTTGCAATTTTTTTCTCATTTCTTCGGTGGCATTTTTACTCCACTAAATGTTTTCTTTGATGTCCAAAAAGCTTTTTGCTCTTGATGTAGTCCCATTTTTCTGTTTTTATTCTTGTTTCTTCTGCTTTTTTTTAATTATTATACTTTAAGTTTTAGGGTACATGCGCACAACATGCAGGTTTGTTACATATGTATATATGTGCCATGTTGGTGTGCTGCACAAAATTGTTTTATTTATTGTTTCAGAAAACAGCTCTTGGTTTTATTGATCTTTTATTCTATTGTTTTTCTGGTGTCTTTCATTTATTTCTTCTGTGATCTTTATTATTTCCTTGCTTCTGCTGACTTTAGACCTAATTTGTTTTCTTTTCTAGTTTCTTGGGTATAACCATAGGTTGTTTATTGTGATCTTTCATTTTTCTTAATGTAGGCATTTATCATAATAAACTTACCTCTCAAAACTGTTTTTGCTGCATACCATAAGTTTTGGTAGTTGGGTTTCATTTTTGTTTGTCTCAACATACTTTTTGATTTCCCTTTTCATTTTTTCTTTGACCCTTTGATCGTGAGTGTGTGGTTTAATTTCCACATATTTGTAAATATTTCCATGTTACTCTTGCTTTTGATTTCCAATCATACCATTGGGGTTGGGAAAGGAACTTCATATGATTTCAGTCTGAAAATTTTTAAGACTTGTAGCCCAACACATGACCTTCTTGGAGAATGTTCCATGTGCGCTTGAGAAGAATGTGTATTCTGCTGATCTTGGATGAAATGTTCCGTAAAAGTTTATAAGGTCCTTTTGGTCTATAGTGTTATTCACATCAGCAGTTTCCATATTGATTTTCTGTTCTATATATTATTGAAAGTGGGCTAAGTCCCCTACTATTGTTGTAACCTTGTCTCTTTCTGCCTTTATATATTTGCTTTATATATAAACAGTCCTTGATCTAAGATGGCTTAACTTACAATTTTTTGACTTTATGATTGGGTAAAAGTGATTCAGTAGAAACCATACTTTGAGTGCCTAAGTAAAAAACCCATCTGTTTTTTACTTTTTGTACAGTATTTAGTAAGTTACATGAGATATTCAACACTTTATTATAAAATAGGCTTTGTGTTTGATGTTTTTGCCTAATACCGCCTAATGTAAGTGTTCTGAGCACATTTAAGGTAGGCTAGGCTAAGCTATGATGCTTGGTTAGTTAGGTGCATTTTTAACTTACCATATTTTCAACTTATGTTGAAGTTTATCAGGACACAACCCGATCATAAGTTGACAAGCTTTTGTATTTGGATACTCCAATGTTGGTTGCACCAAACCTTGCATTTCTGCTATAGACCCACTAGGTAATTTGTGTCATCTTTTTATTTATTATTAGATGCAATTTGATTAAATTTTGTTTTGAATATTTGCATCTACGTCCATGAGGAATATTGGTTAGTAGTTTTCTTTTCTTCTAATGTCCTTCTCAGGTTTGTAATCCTTGTAATTTCCAAGGTAATCCTCGTTTCATAGAGTGAGTTTGGAAGTGGTCTGTCCTCTTCAATTTTCTGAAAAGTTTATGTAGAATTAGTATTGCTTACTTAAATGTTTGATAAAATTCTCCAGTGAAGTAATTTGAACCTAGAGTTTCTTTGGGGAAGATATTCAAATCAAATATAATCTCTTCAATAGGGCTTTTGAGTTCTCTATTTCTTCTTGAGGGAATTTTGCTAGTTTGTGTTTTTTCAGGCATGTTTACATTTGACTTCAGTTGTTGCATTTATGACTATAAAGTTTTTAAAAATTATATCCCCTTACTAGTCTTTTTGTGTGGAATGTGTAGTGATGTCCCCTTTTACATTCCTGATTTTGGTAGTTTGTGTTTTCTCTCTTTTCTTCCTGGTTAGCCTAGGTATACATTTATCAAGTTTATTGATCTCTTCAAATAACTGGCATTTGGTCTTTTCATTTTCTCTATTGTTTTTCTATTCTCCTATTTCATTGAATTCTGCTCCGATTGTTGTCAACTCTTTTCTCCTATTCATATTGGGTCATATTTGCTACTCTTTTTCTTTTTTCTTAAGGAGTCTGAGGTCCTTAGTTTAAGACCTTTATTTTTTTCTAATATACGCATTTTATGCTATAAATTTTCTCCGAAGTACTACTTTAGAGATATTCCACAAGTTTAGATAAGTTATTCTTTCCTTTGTGTCCAGTTCAAAATAATTTCTAATTTCCCTTTGGATTTTTTCATTGATCCACATGTTCGTGTTTTTATAAGTGTGTTACTTAGTATCTGGATATGTATGGACTATAATATGCATTATTAACTCATCAAAGTTGATCTTGAGTTATTATACTAATTCACATGTAAATTTAAAAGCTTTAATGTTGGCCAGGCATAGTGGCTCATGCCTGTAATCCCAGCACTTTGGGAGGCCAAGGCTGGCGGATCACGAGGTCAGGAGATCGACACCATCTTGGCCAACACAGTGAAACCGATCTCTGCTAAAATACAAAAGAATTAGCCGGGTGTGGTGGTGCACGCCTGTAGTCCCAGCTACTCTGGAGAGTGAGGCAGGGGAATCACTTGAACCCGGGAGGCAGAGATTGCAGTGAGCCAAAATCGCGCCACTGTACTCCAGCCTGGCAACAGAGTGAGACTCCGTCTCAAAAAAAAAAATTAATAAGCTTTAATGTTATAATTTTATTTATCCCCTTCTATACTTGGTGCTATTTTGTTACATATTTTGCTATACTTTAAAACTATACGTGAAAGTATTATCATTTTTGCTTTCAAAAATCATTTTTCTATTAAAGGAAGTTAAAAAAAAGCATTCTTTTATATTTACCTGGTTTTTTAAATTTATTTATTTTTACCATTTTCAGTGCTCTTCATTCCTTCCTGTAGGTTGGAGTTTCTATTTAGTATCATTTTCTTTCAATCTGAAAAACTTCTTTTAGTGTTTCTTATACTGTAGGTTTGCTGTTAGTAGATTGTCTCAGCTTTTGTTGATCTGAAAATATTTTTATTTTGCCTCCATTTTGAAAGCTCTTTTCACTGGCTATCGAATTTTAAATTGACAGTTTTCTTCTGTTAGCACTTAAAAAATGTAATTCCATCTTTTCCTGATTTTCATTGTTTCTCAAGCAATCAACCATATTTCTTGTCATTGTTTCCTTTCTGGGACTTCAATTATAGATGTTAACTGCTTTGCTCTTTCTGTTCAGTGTGAGTTTTTTTATTTTTTTATTTTTTATTTGCCTCGGTTTGGATAATTTATCTTGGCCTATCTTCAAATTCCCTCATTCTTTCTCCTGCAGTGTCCAGTCTGCTGTTAAATACATCCAATATGTTTTTCATATCACATATTTTATTTTTAGTTCTAGAATTTTCATTTGGTTCTTTTTGAAGTTTCAGTTTCTCTGTTGAGATTACCTTTCTGTTCATAAATTCTGCCCGTTTTGTGCTCTAAACTTTTGAACGTATTTATATTGATTTTAAAGTGCTGATCCGCTTATTATGCTATCTGAGGCATCAGTCTGTTTGTTAATGCTTTTTTCTCTTGATTGTGTATCACATTTTCTTGCTTCTTTACATGAGTCATGATATTTTCTTATATGCCAGACATTGTGTATAGACAAAGCATGGGGAGACTTAAGCATGCTTTGTTTTGTTTTGTTTGAGTTTTCCTCACAAAAGGGTAAACTGTTTCTTATGTCTGGCATCTAAAATGAGAGGTGATAGAATTTAAACTATTTGACGGGTCAAGTTAATCTGTGACTGAGCTACAGCCTTAATAAAAACTAATCTCACCTCTGATAGCTCAGTCCTTAATCTCCCAGGGTGCCTCCACTGAGAAACAAATCCCTCTTATTTTATCAGTATTTGAGCTTTGAGGAGGTTGGCCTGTAATTTCAGCTATTTTCCATTCTTTGTATTTAGCTTCACTAGAGCTCTATGGCACTAGGTTCCAGGCACCCTAAGAATGTAAAAGATTATTCAAATTCTTCACTCTTTTAAGCCTGCCTTCACTGTTGCTTTCTCAGCAAAATTTGGGGTAGAGAAAGGATTATTATGCCAAGTAAATTATTGGTATCTATGGGGCTCCTTCAGACTTCAATCTGCCCCCGTCAACCCTCACTATTGCTACTAGCTTGACTGATTACCTTTTGACTCCAAAAAATCTTTTCATCTTTTATAGGTTTTTTTCTTTCTGCTTACCTTCAAAGGGTTACTTTTTCTAGAAATGAGTTCATCAAAACTACTTTGCACCCACCAGTCTTTAATAGTCCCCTACAGTCGTGTGATTTTTATTTTGTTTGTTTTGTTACCACAGGGCAAAGGCCACCCGTGACTTTTTACATCCTAGATGTAAAAACTATGTGCGTTCATTCTTATATGCATTTTATGGCTGCCCTCAGAATCTCAAAGAGATCTACAAAAAAAGAGAAAGATTAAGAAACATAACTGTAGGGCAATGAGTTACTGTTGAAGAACTTTAGGCAGAGTAATGACCTAGCTAGGTTTATGATTTAGGAAAATTCTATAGCAGCTGTATGGTTTCTGCATTAAAGTAGCAAGAGAATAGAGATAACTGTGAAATTTGTTATAAGTGATTGTTATAGTCTGGACTAAAGACAATAACCTTAACAAAATCTATTCTGGAAGAATGTAAAAGAGAGAACCAGTCTGAGAAATTAAGATCTGTATCTATGGCAGTATGGAGATGCAAAAGAATGGAGATTATTAATGGGAAATAATATTACAAGATTGTCTAAGGTCAGTTTATGAACTTGACAGAAGGGTTTTAAAATTCTGTAGGTCTTGAGGATTTTTTATCAGAGAAGTTTGAATATTAAAGTAGTGTTTTAAAAATACCAGCCTAGAAATGGCGAGGAGAATTGGTTACAGAGGAAAATAAATTTAAGAAAGGGAAACCCAACTGGGGAGTATGTTAGTATAAAACACAAGAGTTACCAAAGGCCTGAGCTAGAGAAGTATAGCAGAAATGGAGATAGAAGAACAATAATGATAAGCAATAATAATCTTAATAAGTTTATTCCTTTCCATTTTATAAAGGGGCACATAATTACTAGTCAAAAAATTAATTTGAATGTTTCATCATATTCAAAGTTGCTATGCATCTTAGCATTTGGTACCATATTACTAAGTAATTACTCAATGTGCAATAGGAGAATAAAAGAAAAATAAATCAATTAAAATGATTAAAAGCTTAATAGTATCTGGCTGCAATTAGAATCCAAATTAATAAATGAAGCCTCATAGATTCTGAAGAGTATTCCCTATTAAAAGCATTTTAAATGGGAACAGAATTATGCTTTCAATAATATAAAAGAATAGTGCAATTAAATACACAATTATAAAAGGTAAAGGATTCTAATCCTGATTTTCAACTACTGTGAGAATATTTTTCAGATATAGTCACACATTTCTGTAAACAAAGGCTTTATATGCAATCTGAAAGTGAATCCTGAACCATCCTGAATTAGAAAACAATGGGGCCTCTTCATCTTCCCTCTATGGCAAGGTTCAGCAAACTTTCTCTGTAAAAAGCTAGATAATAAAAATTTTAGGCTTTGTGGGCCATACATTCTCTGTCACAGCTACTCAAATCTGTTGTTATAGCATGAAAGTAGTCACAGATGATGTGAAATAATAAACCTGGCTGTGTTCTGGTATAACTTTATTTAAACAAATAGGTAGTGGCCATTGTTTGCCAACCCCTGCTATACAGTCTATCTGTATGGGAGAGTCTTGGAGGCTTGACTCTTCCAGTATGATCTAGAGAAGTGTTCTCGAATAGAAATGTAATGGAAGCCACATACAAATTTTAAAATTTTCTAATAGCTACCTTTAAAAAAAGGTGAAATTCATTTTAACAATATATTTTATTTAACTCAATATATTCCAAATATTATATCAACATGTTGTCAACATTGTAAATTTATTAATGAAATATTTTACTTTCTCTTATTCATAGTAAGTCTTTAAAACCTGATGTGCATCTTACCCCTACAGCACATCTCAAGTCACACCAGCCACATTTCCAATGTTAAATAGCCACATGTGACCAATGGCTACCATATTAGAGAGTACAGCTCTAAACACTTTATTGCTCCCCCAGATTTGAATGCTTCTCCTACGGACTGGAACTTACCCACTGGTAAGACCACTTCTCACCCAGCAAGGTGTTTCTGGTACCCTTTCCCTTCCCTGACCTCATCTTCATCAGCCTTACCACTTGAAAATGCCCCCAAGCAATGCTTCTCAATGTTTACTGTGCATAATACTCAACTGGGAATCTTGTTAAAATGCATATTCTGGTTCTGTAGGTAAAGGATGGAACCTGAGATTTTGCATATTTAAGAAGCTCCCAATGCTACTAGTCTAAGAACCATACTGAAGAAGCAAGGATTGAAAAGACCACTCCAAAGAAGATGACCATAACTGGAATTGATGGCCTACCCTCCTCTAAAAATCTATCAGGTCTAATCCCAAACTTGCCAAACATCCCTGTTAGGTCACCACCAGAAATAAAAGCTTCTAGAAAGGCAGCACTGTCCAGTAGAAATGTAATTTAAAATTTTCTAGTAGCCACATTTAAAATAATTTTTAAAAAGTGAAATCAATTTTAGTAACATTTCTTTAAGCCAAAATATCAAAAACATTAAACAATTAATTAATATAAAAATTATTTATTTTTAACTTCTATTTTAAGTTCAAGGGTACATGTACAGGATGTGCAGGTTTGTTACATAGGTCAACTTGTGTCATGGAGGTTGGTTGTACAGATGATTTCATCACCCAGGTATTAAGCCTAGTACCCATTAGTTATTTTTCCTGCTTCTCTCCCTCCTCCCACCCTCTACCCTCCAATAGGTCCCAGCGTGTGTTGTTCCCCTCTATGTGTCTGTGTGTTCTCATCATTTAGCACCCACGTATATATGAGAACATGTGGTATTTTGGTTTTCTGTTCCTGCATTAGTTTGCTAGGGATAATGGCCTCTAGCTCCATCCACAACCCTGCAAAGGACATGGTGTCATTCTTTTTTTGTTACTGCAGAGTATTCCAGGTGTCTATGTACCATATTTTCTTTATCCAGTCTATCATTGATGGGCATTTGAGTTGATTCCATGTCTTTGCTACTGTGAATAGTGCTGCAATGAACATACACGTTCATAAGTCTTTATAATAGAACAATTTATAATCCTTTGGGCGTATACCCAGTAATGGGATTGCTGGATCAAACAGTAGTCTTTAGGTCTTTGAAGAATCACCACACTGTCTTCCACAATGGTTGAACTAATTTACACTCCTACCAACAGTGTAAAAGCATTCCTTTTTCTCCATAACCTTACCATCATCTGTTATTTTTTGACTTTTTAATAACAGCAAAAAATATGGAATTCTTCACAAATTTGTGTGTCATCCTTGCACGGGGGCCATGCTAATCATGCTAATCTTCTCTGTGTTGTGCCAATTTTAGCATATGTGCTGCTGAAGCAAGCACTGAAAAATTATTAATAAGAAACTTTACATTCTTTTTTGTACTGCCTTCAAAATCCAATATATGTTTTATACTTAGAGTACATCTTAATTTGGGCCAGATACATTTAAAGGGCTCAATAGGCACATATTTGCTAGTGACTATCATATTGGACAGTGCAGCTCTAAGGTCATCATCAGACCTCGGTGCTTATCCCTATGTGGTTCTGTACATCTCCAAATCTGACCCAGTTTCTCATCTCTTCTTATTCTCCCAAATCCTTTTCCTGTGTTCTCTGGAACTCATGGTCTGTCATTAGAAAAAAAACCCAAAACTCCTCTATTATTAATCTCATCTCAAAAATGTTCCTTTCAACTTCTTGTTCTAACCCAAACCTGGTTATCCCTTAGCACCCTGCTTCTCCTTCTGCTCTGTTAAAAGTGGTGGCTGCCTCTTCTCACATATCTTCAGGATCTGATGTGGGATAGATGCCTTCCTTCTGCCTCACTGCCCTGTTCAGGCCCTTTCTCCTCCTTCTTCTCTCAAAAACCCATTCCTTTGAATCAGATGCCAATAGATTATGGTACCTGCTATGTCTCCTTTGTTGTGGTCATTTGTTCAGTCTTCTGGTTGAGCAATTTATGTAGTCAGCATTTGATCGATCATATTCTTCTTCACCATCACACCTCTCAACATTCTTGGTGACTTCAGCATCTGCCTGATTCTTTTACCTCCTTACTTCCACTCATCTTTTCCTCTATCCCTTCTCAGGTACCCACCACACCACATCCAAATCTAGATTTAAGAATCCCATTTAAAAATGTTTCTAGCTCACTCAAAGTTCAGAATTCATTTGCCAACAATTCTTCAGCCACATTGTACCTACCCATCAGCTGATTCAACTTCATATTTCCTTCCTCATATCATCATTTCTCATGTCACCAATAATGAATTCCATGGTCCATGACTATAATTAACCTGATGTATATCCCCTTGCGCCTCTTTCCCTTATACTTGCTGGTAACCCTAAAGCTGATAAACCCAACATCTCACCTACTGTCATCCTTACCTGAACAGCTAAATGTGGTTAAGGAAAACGTACGATCATACTGACTGGTCTCATTTAAAATTTTTACTACAAATCTTAAATCATCCTTGGTATTACTCAGTCTTAGTTGATAACTTCATGTCTTATTTCACTGAGAAATTAGAAACCATCAAAAGGGAACCTATTCCTCCCACAACCAAATCTACCATCTATCATCTCTGCCTTCCCTCCAACTACACTGAATGGCATCTCCCTACTCCTAAGGCCAGTGCGTTGGCTTGGGAATTGGATTCCATCTCTTCCTCAAAGCCTTGGTCTCTGCAATTGTATGCTCTCTTACACATCATCCTTTTCCTTTTCTATTATAAAATTTTCTTAATGGCACACAAACATGCTATGGTTGCTCCCAACATAAACAAAGCCTTTATCTAAATAAAATCCTCCAACTAACACCCCATTTCTCTGGTCTCCTTTCTAACTCATCAATAGAGTTGTCTATACTTGCTGACTCCATTTTCTTCACCACCATTTCCCACTTTGTCCTCCAATCAAGCTTTTGTTCTTGTTACTCCAATGGAACTCTGTGGTCAAGGTGGCCAATGACTTTCATCCAGCCAAATCAAATAACCAATTCTCTGTTCTCATTTTACTCAAACTTTGGGTGGCATTTTATACAGCTCATTACTCCCTCCTTTTTCAAATCTCTGTTTTTGTTGTTTTTGGTAGTTTCCGGTTATTCTCCTGTAACACAGGTCACTCCTTTTCTGTCTCCTTTGATGCCTCCTTTTCCTCTTCCTGGCCTCTACTTTTTGGAGTACCCCAAAGCCATCCTTAGGCCTTTTCTCTGTCTAAACTCACTCTTACAGTGATACCATCCAGTTACATGGCTTGAAATGGTATCTATAAGCTTATGATAACAAAATGTACGTTTATCTTCATTCCAGACTTCCTGTGAGCCTCACTTTATCTACCCTTGGATGTTTAATGGTCATCTCAAATTTAACCTGGTTAAACTGAAGCTTTTTATTTCATTTTCAGTTTGCTCCCCCTTCTGTCTTCTGCCATTCAGTTAAAGGCTTACTACTCACTCTCATCCGATTCCTCTACAGACTCAAAGCTCTATCTTCAAAATATGTCCTGAATCCCTCTACTTCTTACCACCTCCACTGTTGCCACTTTAGTCTAAGGGACCATAATCCATAATCGTCTCTTGCTCAGATTTCTGTGGTAACTTCCTATGTGGTTTTCTTGCTTTCTTTTTGCTACTCCATCCGCACCCTTCAGTTTAGTCTTATTGTAAGGTACCCTTTAGGCATGATTGTAAGGTACCCTTTGATTGCTTTCATCATGGCTAGAATAAAATTCACACTCCTTATCATGGCCTTTAAGTATCTACTTCTCTTGGGTGCTGGGGTACTGCCTGTTTCTCCCACCACTCTCTCCCATGTTACTTTACTCCAGCGACATTGGCTGTATTTAAAATTTTTTAATATGCCAAACTTGTTCTAGTCTCAAAGCCTTTACATTCTATGTGAAACATTCATTCCCCCAGATCTTCATAGGGCTTGCTATTTTACATCATTAATGCCCCAGTTTGAATGTCAGTTCCTAAGTAATAGATCACCCTGTTTCAAATAATTCCCTTTATTAATCTCTACTCTTTTACATGGCTCAATTTTCCTTCATAGCACTTATAACTACCTGAAGTTCTATTTTTAATTAACTGTTTACTTTTTATTTTTTATTTTTTAAATTATTCACTAGAAAGAAAGCTTTGTGAATGAAGGGACGTTGTCCTACTCACTGCCGTGTCTCCTTCATCTAGAACACTACCTGGCACACAGTGAGTGGTGAGTAAATGAGTCTGAAACATTTCAGGAAATAGATCATGTAGTTGATGAAATCAGAATTAGTTGTTTGAATTGTCTTCTAAGCCTTCTAAGAACAAAAGGCTCTAGTACAAAGTAAGCCCTGCAATCTAGTCCATATCAGGAGCTTGTCCCAATGCTCATTAGTGGTTGGATGCAGAAATTCCCAACGATTCCTGCTAATCCGCTAATTTGCCTATTTCCATCAATAGTTACTGGCTATTTGTTTCTGCTGCCCAGTCTTCACCTAACTTGCCTTACAAGAGCTTGCTTTTAAACTGAGAATTTCTTTGCTTGCTTTGCCATATCCTTGCTTGGCTTTTCTTTCTTTAACAAGCACAACAGCATGCTGCTGCATCTTCAAAGAGTAAATTAATTCTGTCCGCAAAAGGGTCAAGTGCTAGAAAGTGCATAGCCATGCAGTTTGCATGGCAGGATATAGAAGATATGATGCTAATAAGATTCTAAGATGAGAACAGCAGACTGTCTCTGGGGATTCAGATGAAGGGGTCTGTAAATTTTAAAAGAAATGGTCTCCGAAAACTAATGATGTCTGCTTTCCAATTCATTAATAATGTGGAGTGGGGAGATGGGAGTGAAATCCAGGCCATGCTGTGAAATATCAAAATGTAACGAGGAAGAAAACAGTAAGAGCCATCTCAATGGGGTCATAAAGCTGGGAGAAGGAGGCAAACCGTAAGAAGATGTGGTGGTGCTGTATGGAGGGGAGGGAATCTATCCACCCCATGTGTATATATTTATGTGCATATAGTACCTTTATCTGTACACGAGTAGATAAAAAGTTCTGCTAGGAAAAAAATACTGCAACATTGATAAGGCTTTTGCAATTTTCACATTTAAGGTGACTCAGAATATTTCAAGTATTGTAAAAACACGTCTAAGCTGTCTGCCTTTCCATATTTACAAACCCTGCCCTTCACCTCTTTGCATTGCATACAAGGAACTGAGTAATAAGAACCTCAGCCTTGTTTGTAGTTAATAGTGGAAGAAAAAACCTTCAGGCAAAGCCTAATGAACCAAGAGCAATTCTGAGCTCTCCTCTGTAATATCTGCCGAGGCAGTGTCTTTCCAAGGGCTGCCTGGACATATCGTGTGACCTTGCTGCTTTACATCATTAAAATTTCCCATTACTGGAATGGTGTTTGCATGGAGGGGCTGTTGTGCAGATATTATGGCTGAGTTTCTCCCTGCTGCCTTCCGAGTTTGCTCTAATAGAAAATGCCTCTCTGCGTGAACAGTTCCCGCGAGCTGGGAGGTGTGCAGCAGCAGGAGAGTTTAGCTTTGGCTTTTATTTTGACAAAGCTATCACATTTTGCCGATTGAGGTTATGGTCTTTCCTTCTATCTCTGTATTTTATCTGCATGATATTTTCTGATCTCCCTTTTAAACCCGCATTAGTTACAATTGAGGCTCTGGGGTGGCAGCCTGCCTTGGAGCCATGATATCGTCAGCTTTTCTTATGAGCCACTAAATTGACTGACTGATTCAGTGGGGTTCAGTCATGTGGAACCTTTCCAACGGGCCTAGCCTCAGAAAGGAGACCCCTCTGTGCCAGATAGAGGCCTAGGGGGTTAGTGCAACCCCCAAGGGGCCAAAAATTTTAAAAGCAAAAAGAAGTGCTGCCTCATTTTCCAGGGCCATAGGTTCTGTCGGCCACTTCCTTCAGAGCTTCCTTCTTCCGCATGTAGCCGCCTGCACCATGAAGCTATGGAAGTTGAAGAAATTGGTGGCATTTCCTAATCCAGGCCACAATCCCCAGACCCATTTTATCACCCTCCTAAGAAGCTGTTACACTTTCGTGCAACTCTGATCTTATGATTTTAGCAGAAAGTTTCACAATAACAAATGCTTTTGCCTAGAGGGAGCGGAAATATTTCAAAGTACTGGTTATACAGCTGTAAACTGTTTAGAACCAATTGAAGGGGGGGAGAGATTCATTGGCCACCTCTCCCAAGTCTCTAAACAAACCATAGCAGATTGAGAGGTTTTGAACCCAAAGCTAGTGCCCTAGTTTCTAAAGCAAGATAGTGTGACCATTTCTTTTTCCGTGGCTTTACTATTTTCAGTGAGACAGTGAATTCTTACTGATAAATGCTTCTGAAGCTGGGAGGATAGCACAACCACATGCCTCAAACACTTCACTTTGTTCACCTTCTCTTGAATGTGTGGGACGTGGCAGTCTAGAGTGGGGGCTGTCGGGAGAGGGGGTTGTAGAGGTGAGGAATTTATTTCCCCAGGAAATCTCATTAGCGATGCAGTGCCTGTTTTTCATTGAGGTTTCTGCTCCTTAGCTTTGTTTTCAGCTGAGTAACCGAGCCTGAAAGCCGTCTGGTGACTCACAAAAGGTCACGCTGAGAGTCGGGGGCACAGACCAGAGCACACTGCCTACCTGTGATTGATGTGTATTAAAGCTGTCTTGAGCCACTCATAAACACAGCAAGAATCCTGTTCTCTTTTCATCAGTGCTCTTGACCAAGACTTGATTTACTGTTTTGAAATCAGCTGCTGCTTCAGTCCTCTACAATAGCTTCTTTAATAGCTTGTCATAACAGTTGATGACAATTTGGAAAAGCTCACATATTCAATATATTTTTAAAATTGACTTTGCACTATGCCAGGTACCAAGGCTTTGTAAACAGTCTAATTGTTCCTTGAGTGTTTGCTGACCTAAAGGAAAGTGTTGATGAATCACACCCTCCTCTTCTATCTATGAGGGTATTGAGATGTGTATTCAATATTGTAGCAAATCACTGTTGAAAATTGGTTCCATGTCCCTGAGGCTACTTACCTCAAAAGGTGAAACGGCAGAAGTACCTGCTAGAGAAGACTGACCAGCTCTGCTATTTCTGGATGAGATTGCTTTAAAGTTTGTAGGAGAAGGGATTGAAATTGGATCAGAGTGTTATAAGTGACAGTACAATTCTCATTCTGGTAAAGAATAATCATCATCATCTATAGCCATTGAGTGGGTTTTCTCAGTTTGATACTTATGGCTATGCTATAATGAAGTTTAAGACTGATGTCAATATGACTGAGACAGTAGTTGTATAATCTCAGAATAAATGTGTGCACAGAATATGTGACTTATCTGAAGTGCAACAACAATTAGATGTAAATATTTCTGATCAATTTGATTGTTACTTTTTGATGGCCTGCACAAGTTGAAGGGCCCCCTGACTTCCCAGTAGCTACTCTAAACCTGTGTCCAGGAATGCCCCCTGGGGTGATTTTCAGAACACGTACAGCAGCCATTTAGAATGAATGCACCACTTGCACAGAACAGATGCTCCCCACAGCAGCCAGTGCCACTGTACCAAAACATCCAACTGAGTTTCAACTCTGCTTCTCACTCCTCTCCATACACACAAATTTAACCTATCCTTCCTTGGCCTAAGTTGTACTTTCTTCATGAAGCCTTTCTTATTCTATAGTTTCTTTTTTTTTAAATTCTGAATTCCTACAACACTTAACAACCTCTGCATCCCAATTGTCCCTATATTGCTATTATTCTACTTTTCTATATTCATCATAGCAGGATGTTGTGCACCTGCAGACATTTCAAAAATATTTTTGAACATGGAATATTCTGGTGAAAATGCCCAGAGATGATGTTTTAAAGTGCTACGTTTGGTATAGGGCTCATGTGAATTTCTTTTGTGTGCTTAAGCTTGGTATCCAAGTTCTCCATTTTCTTTTAGAGGAGCCACCTGAACAAAAATTACATTTCAGCAAAGAACTGTAGCATCAGGACACTGTTACCAGTGCCTCTTTTATTGTAAACATTCTTTTCTCGTATACTATACTCTGCACATTTTCCAGATGAGAAACTTTGCTCCATTCTCTTTAATTTGGAGTGGAATTATGAGTGAGGTCTGCTATAGTGATGGAAGAGTTCAGTTTTCACCAGGTCCTATGGAGAGTTGTATATATTATAATTGATTCTGTATATAATAGGTCAGAGTTTCAGATTTGTGCAGCATGTAATTTCTCTTCAGAACAGCAAAAAATACATATTGAGATAAATTCACAGGAAGTTCCCCAGCATTCGGCTTTTTGCTAAAAGGTTAATTTGATTATCTGAAACTGGGAATGTGGTTTTTTTCCTCCATAGAAATGATATCAAGAGAGACAAGGTTTTAAGCCAGCCCTACTGTGAGTTATCCTCAAAGCCTCCAGCAAAGAAGGGAGCCTGAACTCTGCCAAGAGCGTTTTAAAAAAGAAAGACAGAGATGGATCTTTGAGTAAGACTGTGAGGGGAGAACCCTCAAAGCACTGGGTATTGTCCCTAGATGATGGCTAATGTATTTCTTTTGTAAAGCTAGAGTAGGGTGTCAGGGGTCTTGTAAAGCTGGTGTGAATAAGTGGGGAATTACCAGTTGCTTCTTGGAAACAGCTAGGATAAGCCATGTGTGACAGTAAAACAGACATCAGAGCAGAATTAGAAGAGCTAGTTCTAGTCCTGGCTCTGCTACAAACTCTGGTTAACCATCAGCATGTCACTGTACCTCTCTGGCCCTTTTCCTCGTCTACAAGATGAAGGGTTTCACTATACAAGGCTCCTTTCAGCGAAGCATACTATGACAATCATCTTTTTTGTTTTGTTTGTTTGTTTGTTTGTTTGTTTGTTTGTTTTTTGAGACAGAGTCTCACTCTGTCACCCAGGCTGGAGTGCAATGGCGCAGTCTCGGCTCACTGCAACTTCTGGCTCCTGGGTTCAAGCAATTCTCCTGCCTCAGCCTCCTGAGTAGCTGGGACTACAGGCACACACCACCACGCCCAGCTATCATCTTTCTTATAATGCTGTCTCTACTAAATCTCCGTTCTGTCCTCCTTTTCATGATGCCTGTGTATATTCTTATATTTCTTTCATTCTGATGAATCCAGCCACTCTTTCCACTCAACCCACTCACGGGCTAACAATAATAAAACAGAGAAGGGAAAAATACTTAAACACATACTGGTTATCACAGTCCATATTTTATTTACTATAAATATGTCCATGTTACTCTCTGTCTTAATCGGAAAGCCCCTTGAGAAAAAAGACTATGCCTTCTTTTGTTTATAACAGATTTTAAAGCACCTGATGGATTTGGAAAATATTTAATGAAGACAATGATGCTGACATCTCAAGTTAAAAGGTAGTATTCCTTTTTCTATTATTTTAATATTTCTGAATGCATAGCAGAATATTGCTTCTTGTACATACACTTGTCATTTTTTGCTAGTGCTAATGGATACAGTTGGTACAATTGTATGACACTGACAAAGCCACCTGTGACTGTATTAATTTGGTTTGAATTATATAGTGTTTCACAGTGACCTGAAAACCTACTCAGTTATATGCCAGTATGTGTGTGTGATTATCTTCCCTTACAGAAATATAGATAGCATTATTACTTCAAGTTGATTGTTCAGACTTTCTGTCCCTATTTACCCAAGACTAGTTTTTGTAGCTCAAATTTTAGCATTTTGTCAGGTAAGATTGCAGGTGGCAGATGTCACCTAATATTTGGATGAATATTTTCAAAATCAGTTTTTTCCTATAAACCCCTAATGGATTATAGAACAACTTCCAAGCCTGTGCTTTCATGAGTAACTTAAGTTCTTAACTGCAGTATCACTGAATGTGAGAAGAGTTGCAAGTAATATGCTAAAAAGCTTTCAGATCTTTTCTTTTCTTTCACAGCAAAAGGATTATAGCCAATGACATGGCTAGTTACATTTCCCAGCCTCCTTCCCAGTTAATTACAACCACATGAGTAGTTTTTCTCCAGTGTGAGTTGGCAGGATGTGTACCACTTCTGGGCTGGTCTTTTGAGAAATCAGGTGTGCCTTCTCCATACTTTTTCCTTCCCCTGGCTAGAGAGAAATCATGTTCTTGTGTTTTTCTGCATTAGTGACAGTAAAAAAAAAAAAAAAAAAAAAAAAATCTTTTCTCATATGCCTCTAGAACACCTCCTCTTATATCTGGAACACATGACCATACCTAACTCCAAGAATATCTGGGAAATGGAGTATCTAGCTATTTCCACCTCTGTGGTTGGAAGTGGGCAAGGGAGAAGAGGGTCAGAAATGGGTAGCTAATAAATCATGTCTGCAATAATGACCTAAACACGTAATGCAAGAAGTTTGAAGAAAAACAAAATAAACACAATTTGGGTGGAGATAATTTAGAAAGTAGCAGAAAATAGTGAAGTAAACAAAAAACCTGAAAGAACTAGCTAATAGCCATTAGAATAGCTAATAGAAAGAACTGATAGCCAACAAAAAGCCTGAAAGAACTAGCTAATGACTATTAGCTAGTTCTAATTAGCTAGTTCTTTAAAAGTCCAACCTAAATGGTGAAAATTCTGGCAATTCTGACAAAGGAAAACAGAGTCACTAATAAACAACTTAAGGCAGCAGACATAAATATGAACACAGAGTTTTTTCCAAGTGTAAAAAAAAGCTAAGTATGAATTAATGCCAACAAATTTGGAAATCTAAAGTAAAAGGTTGATTTTTTTAGAAAATGTAAATATAAACATTGACTCAAGAAGCAGAATACTAACATAGAAGAAATGTTTTAAATAGTCAAAGATGTAATCCTTAAAAAGCCTTGAGACTAGATGGTATTATGGGCAAACTATTTTAAAACTTAAAGAGATAATTTCTAGGTTATATAAATTTTCCAGAATAGAGAAAGATAGAAACCTTCCCCATTGGCTGTATATGGCTATCATAATCTTGTTTATAATTCATACAAATAATAACAGAATAAGCCAATTTATGAACATGTTTAAATTCTAAATATTAACAAATTAAGTGCTGTTTTGAAAGAAAAGAATGTGTTCCTAGCTGATATGAGATTTAAGATCTTGAATGATTAAAATTTATTTCTGGAATGCAAGGATAGTTTAACATTAGGAAATCTATTATTTTAATATATTACATTGCCAGATTAAAGTAGAAAACCAGACCGTCTTCTTAAAAGATGCCAAGGAACAGTTTGATAGCACTTGTTTCTAACTGAATGCAGTTTTTAAAATCCTTTAGTAAACTGAGAAAAGGAAAAAACAAACACTTTTATCCAATAAAGGTTTATGCTAGAAATCTACAATAAACATTATAATTGAAAGTATTTGGCAGAGATGGCTAGCTGTACTCCACTATCTGTTTCCCTGTTCTTCCTCAGTTATATGATGAATCCTGTTTTTAAAGCCAGGCTCCTGGCCACGTGGAATAAAAATTACATTTCTCAGTTTCCCTGGCCACCAGGTATAGCCATGTGATGAGGCTGGCTAAGTTTGACAAGTTAGCTATAAACAAAGTTATCAAGAATAATTTCAAGGGAGTGTCCTTGTCAACAAAGATGAATTTCAACAGACCACAGTATCAAGTTACAAAAGGCTACAGGCATTGTAATACCAACTGTATAGATGTAAAACATACAGATTCATAAATATGACTTAAACGTACACAAAAAATATAGAAAATGTTCATGAGAATGAAACACCAATATCAGAGGGAATGGGAAGGGAACGGGGTGGGGTAGGGGCATCTTAGCTTTATTTGTAATGTTTTATTTCCTTAAAGCTAACAAAAACAATAGCAAAGTGTTCCGAATCAACTGTGGCAAACAATTAACAGCTAGCTGTTAAACCTGGATTATATTAAAAGGCCCAGCTATTTAATTAGATCAAATTATTTTATGTGTTTTTCTATGTGTATAAATGTTGCATAATTTAAAAATCTTTAGTTGTATAAAATAAAGGCTCGAAACAAAAGGAAGTCAAAATAAAATATCAGAGGTTTCCTTGTTCTTCTCAGATTCCAGGATGATTGAACATATGTGAGCCTCAGGGGTTGGCCTAATTGCCCCCTCTCCAAGTAAAAAAAAAAGTCCCAAAGCAAAGGCTAAAGGTAGTCACTTTGATTTGTCATATCCTAGAGATCGTTCTGATGAAAGAATCAATTCAGATGCTCTATTACTAGCAATAGATTATTAAGTGACTACAATCAGAGTAAAACTACCCTTATAATTACTGCAGGGATTCTTTTGCTGAATTTGTCCACTAAAGGTAATGACAGTAGAAAATAAAATGTAATACAGCCCATTCATAAACAGCAACAAAAAGCATTAAATGGCAAAGAATAAACCTAACAAGAATTATGCAAGACTATAAAAATTTATCAAAAGTTATAAAAGGAAATCTAAATACATGGAAAGATACTCTATCTATTCCCTAGATGGAAACACTCAATATTTCACAGGTATTAATTCTCCTCAACTTAATCTATACATTTAAACAGAGTCCCAGTAAAATGGAACCTGATAATCTAATTCCCAGATTCATCTGAAATAGGATATCCAGAAATACTTTTTAAAAGATAATGAGGAAAGGTGATCCATACCAGATATATAAATACCTTATAAAACTTTAATAATTGAAACAGCATGGTATGAATAGCAAAATAGAAAAATGGAACAGATGATTCAGAAACATTTATATAAAATTTTAATATAGTAAGCGATGTATTTGAAATCAGCAAAATGAGTAAAAAATGATATATATGCAAATATTATGTATATGGTTAGACCCTAACTATAATGTTCACAAATATAAATTCCAAATTGATAACAGAGCTAAACCTAAAGACAAAAAATTTACAAAACTATCGGAAGAGAAGAGAGGAATATTTCTCTATTTTATAGTAGCTAAAAACAATACTCAGAAGTCATAAGTGAAGAAATGTATACATTGGATTTCACAAATGGTAACATAAAGTGGGAGAAGATATTTGCAGTGTGTGTAACTGAAAAAGGGTTAATAACCACAACACGTAAAGAGGTCCTAAAAATCAGTAGGGAAAAATTCAATCAAAAATGATAAAAAATATATAGAGAGACAAATACAGAATAATATTAAATAAGAAATAAAACGGTTAATACTCATGTGAAAATATTCTTCATCTCATTAGTAATCAGACAGAAAGGAAGTTGAAAAAAAGGAGTGAGATTTGTCAGTAGATTGGCCAGTATTTTAGATAGATAATTCTCAGTATTATCAAGAACCTGAGGAAACAAGTACACTCTCATACACCCATTACCTGTCTGTTCCATTTTCCCCCTTGCTTACTCCTGTCTTGCCACATTAGCCACCTTGCTAGTACACACTAGCTCTCTGTCCACCCTTATATACTTTGACTTGCTGTTTTCTCTACCTTGAATCCTCTTCCCTCAGATAGTGGGGTGGCTAACTCCAATACTTCCTCCAAGCTTTTTTTGGAGATTACCATCTTAGCATAATACTTGTACCACCTAATTTAAATAAGCAACCCACCCCATTACTTCCAATACCTCTAAACCTGCTTTATTTTCCTCCGCCGTGTTAAATAGGTAGTAGGTAGGTAAGTAGCCGCTGAAAAAACATGTTTTGAAAGAATAAAAAAACATGCCTCTGGTTAAGAGTATAAATTGGTACAAATTTTCAGGACATTTCACATTGAATTAAATACTAAAAGAACTAAAATGTGATCCAGCAATGCGGCTACTAGGTATCTTTTCTTAACAAATATATTTGGTCTGGGCACAGTGGCTCCCCTCTGTAATCCCAGCATTTTCAGAGGCCTAGGTGGGAGGATTGCTTGAGGCCAGGAGTTTGAGACCAGCCTGGGCAACAGAGTGAGACCTCTATCTCTACAAAAAAATTTTAAAATTAGCTGAACAAGATGGTGCATACCTGTAGTCCTATCTTCTCAGGAGGCTAGGTGGTAGGATTGCTTGAGCCCAGGAGTTCCAGATTACAGTGAGCTATGATTGCACCACTGCGCTCTAGCCTGGGTGACAGAGTAAGACCTTGTCTCTAAAAAAATTAAAATAAAAATTAAAACATTTGTACACAAGGCAACATGTACAAAGATAAGCCAGTATGTTTTGTGCAATGTTATTTTGATAATAAAAAAGAAACAGCCTAAATATCCACCAATTTGGAAGAGGTTAAATTTAAATATGGTACATTTATATGATACAATACTATGCAGATGTTATAAAAATAAGATGGGCTGTAGGTACTTATATGGAAAGATATCTTATGTTGTAATGTTAAGTGGAAATTAAACAAGTCACCAGAAAATATCTAAACTATAATTTTATTTATGGAAAAAACACACTATGCATGCATTTGCATATTTATACACACGTTTGTTTTTAGATATATAAACACATGCGTACATATAAATAAATGAAAGTGCAAATTTAAGATGCACACCAAATTGTTAATAATTTGTTAACTTCTCTGTGGAGAGTAGGAGTTTGGGTGTGGAGGAGCTGGTACAGGAGTGTATTCTATATATTTTCCTATTTCAGTCTTTTACAATGAGAATATATTCATGTATTACATTTTTAATTAAAAAATAGAATGTCTGCAAGGTTATCCTCCTCCAATGTCAGTCTCACTCATTTGTATCCTGAAATGCTCTCTTGGGTGGCAGTGAATGAGATGAAGTAATGGCCAGTATGCTGGGAATTGGGTTTAGAAGAGCATTGTGATAGGGAACATTAGTCAGCCACGTATGCCCCCATAGAAAAAAAGATTAAAAACCATGTTCCTGCCCCATTGTTTCATTTCCTCCTGCAGCATCTAGAAACAAAAGAAGCCTCATGTTGCCTTCACTGTGGTCACGATATGTCAAAAGTCCAGGAGGGGGATTTTTTTTTTCAGCTTAGGCACATTTCATGCCTACTGAATAGCTCATACGTACAGAATAGCTCTTTGTGCTGTATTCTGAGTGATTTTAAATAAATAAATGCTTCCCTGCCAACATCAAATACAGTGAAATAAATTGCAGGACTCAGGGTGTGTAAATGAGCATTGTGGCAGTCCCCTCTTTTAACTCATATATGTGGATCAGAAAATGTAAGATTATATATGGTACACTGACCTCACGCTTGCAGGCATTTATAAACCTTTCCTTACGTGCATTTATTCTCAGTTGTTGTATTGTTTACTTGCAATTTATACACAAACTTATTTGTGCTAACACATGAGAACACACATGCACAGCTTCACAAATACACTCACATAGCTAAATTGACCGTCTCACTCCCAGGCTTTTTCTGGGTAATCATTACATTGCTTGACCTTGCATCTATTTGTCATCGACATCCTTTTAATGACTACCTAGGGTTACAACTCACTGACCCATGGGCTAGTGACAACCTTTTGGGGCATCTCTGTTTAAATCAGATTCCCTTCTTTCCTCCTCCTTTTCTTCTTGATTTGACAGGAAAGAATTGAGTTGATAGGGTATGAGAAGGAGGAGAGTGATTTCCACTTAGATATATTAATAACGATAGAAATAACGAAAATGATAATGATGACTAATGTTATTGAGCACTTGCTGTTTGCTAAGCACAATTCTAGGCATTTTGTGCATCTAATTTAATTTATACAACAACTGTACAAGCCAGGTATTATCATTATTATTACTATGTCCAGTAGAGAAATTAAATAACTTGTTCAAAGTCACACAAGTAGTAGCTGGCAGAGATGGGATGTGAGCACAAGAACAACTATTATATGATAAAAAAATCAGAATTGAAGGCCTGTGTGAATTCATTTTGGTTTTTGATATTTTAAATTCATTCAATACTTTTAAATTACTAGCATAATAATTTCTTATAACAAGTGAAAACAATAAAATAAAAAGTTGTATCCTGGTAAGACTGATCATCTACCTTTTTATTCATAATCCTGGTCATATCGCTCTACTACCATCTCCTCCTAATGAAACCAGGCTTCACAGTTGGGGTGTATCCTTCTGTGCATTTCGTTTTATCCATACCAACATAAAGGTATGCATACACTTACATAGGGGTCCCATTTATTTGTATGTGTGTATGTGATGGCTATGTTTCCCAGAATTTCTCTCCCCAGAATTCCCTTCCCTGAATGGTTCTGGGCTAGGATTGGCCACAAGAGAAATTTGCCTGAGATTTGAAAGGTAAAATAAAGCACCAGGCGTGACTAGATTGGGAAGGTTGAAATAAGCTCAGGTACTGTAGAAGCTTACACACACTGTAGATGTGCTGGCTCACCTGGTTGGCATCAGGTAGCAGCTGGGCCCACAGATTCTCCAGCTGCCACAGGATTTCCTCTTCCAGCTTCTCCTACTCCTATTCAGGTTCTGCTCCATGACCAAGGGCATCAGATTCTCCTGCAGGACACCCACATCATAAAAGTTGGAGGTTTGAAGGAAGTAAAAGAGCTACCTAGGTTCCCACTTGACCTTATAGGTTCTAATATGTCCTTGGAATGGCATGTCATTTCCTGTCCATCTTTGCTTCCCAGCTGCCTGCCCTGGAGACTTTAGGCCCAACACCCAATGCTGAAGCAACAGCTATACAGAAGCTGTTTAACTACTTTCCACCACTGTATAAGGTCAAGGCTCTATAATAAATTCCTTATTCTATATGACTCCTTGAATTCCTACTTCTCTGATCAAACCCTGACCAATACAGTGTGTTGGTGTGTTTTCATCTACACAGAATCAAATTGTACATGTACTCTTCAACTTGTTTTCTTCACTGATATATTGTGCATATTCTTAGACGTCAACAGATCTCTCTCCTTGCCCGCATCCATTTCTCTATATATGCTTTCACACATCACACTAAAATATAAATTCACTTTCATGGTATACATCATACATTCTAAGTTTGCTTTACAATTTTATCATTTTTCTTTTTGTCCTTTCTACCCCAATTCCTGCCTCATGTCCCACACTTACCCTCTAGACAATTTGCATTAACGAACTTATGCATTCTTCTGAATTTTTCTTTATGCTCATGATCTGTATATTAAGTATGAATGCAAGCACTGTTGCTTAAGTCAGTTGTACTTTACTTCCGCCACAAAGCTGAGCCACCAATTTTTTCACATGCTGAATTCTCATATATATTACAATCTACTTCTGAATTTTCTATCCTATAATCTTATCTCATCTCATGCTGATACCATATTGATTTGATTACAAAAAACTGTATAATATGTTCATACATAACAGTAAATTAAGAATCCTCACACACACACATTGTTCTTTTTCATATTAAAAGACATTTATTCTTACATATAAATTTTAAGATAACAAAAACTTATTTTTTAAAAATTCTGTTAGGATCCTAATTGGAAATGCACTTTCTTTTACATTAATTTGGAGAATTAACATCTTATCATCTTTGATCTCCCTGTCCAAGAACATGAAATGCTTTTTCA
The DNA here is from genome assembly GCF_000001405.40 of Homo sapiens. Taxonomy (NCBI): domain Eukaryota; kingdom Metazoa; phylum Chordata; class Mammalia; order Primates; family Hominidae; genus Homo; species Homo sapiens. Next base: position 72,360,534 of record NC_000016.10, on the reverse strand, counting down.
ATTGCTTAGGTCATATTTTATGTCCTTCAGTAAGATTTTATACTTTTCTTCATATAATCCTATGCCCTTCTTTGTAACTTTATTCGTTTTATTTTATGGTTTTTGTCACTGTTGTGGAAAAAAATTCTATTATTTTCATTTTGTTTCTAGTTTCTTATTGCTAAAATACCAAAAAAAACCACATTTTTTTTTAACATTTATCTTATATCCAGCCCTGTTAACCAACTATTTTACTGATTGTATTATTAAGGGTTTTAGTCAGGGAAGCAGAACAACTAATATCATGAAATAGGGTTTAATTATAGAAAAAGGACCTTACATAATTGTGAGAGATGTTCGGAAGTAAGGATTCAAAATGGGGAGTCGGAGGATTAGAGAAAAGTCATTAACAAGCCCTCTTGAAGATATGTTCTTAGAATTCTGGAAAGCTAGATACACTCAGGTGCCAGAGAGAAAACATGAAGAGGACATGGCAGAAAAGTTTCTGGAAAGCTGGTACCTCTGCATAGCTCCCACTTGTGGAGCCATCAGTCAGGTAACTGGTGGAGGACCTGGGGCTACTTTTGGTCAGCAGATCTAGCAGTCAGGAAGTAGAGCTGGACATGGAGTGGGGAAAACAATGACAAATGAATTTACTGGCCACTTCTGCATCCATCCTTCATTGTATCTGACTCAGAAAATCTTCAAAGATAATGGCTGTTTTTGCTTCCCAAGTCTCATGTGACCTCTGATTTTTGTCAATTCTTGCACAAAACCATGAAAGAAAAGATTTCTGAAAAACACAGTTCCCGTTGTAACTCTGTTAACATTAGAACAATCCAGCACACCTGTCTTAGTAGTTTCTTTCCCAGTGCCTTTCCTGCAGTCACTAATGACACTGTTGTTAATAAATAATAAGTATGTATTATTATAAGCTCCAAGATAACATTAAAGTAACAATTAGTATTAATGGCCCTTCCCAAATTGTTTCTGATTTTAATTGAAATGGTCTTAGGGTTTTGTTAAGAATGAAATTTTCTGTTGGTTTCTGGAAAATTGCCTTTATTATAGCTAAATAGATTCCTTCTACTTATTACTTATTAGGAATGACTTTGGGACTGTATTAAATGCCTTTTCAGCATCTACAGATGTAATAATTTTGGTAATGTAATGAATTATGTTGATAGATTCTCTAATATTGAAATACTCTTTCATTCCTGAAAACAAACCCTTCCTGGTCGTACTGCATTATTATTGTGATACATTGCTGGATTCCATTTGTTAGAACATTATAACTTTTGTTTATGTATTCACAAATGAGTTTGCCCTTTTTAGCTTCATCTTTGTGCACTGTAGAGTATTTTTCTGGGACACTTCACACTGAAGACTCAGTAATTTGAATAGATCATTTGCAGCATTAATAGGTGACCAGCAGGATGGAGAAAGAAGAGGGGAATGTTCACTCTCAAAGCAGCTTTCCCATTGGTTGACCCCTGCGTCCTGAGATAAATTACTCACTGCACAACTCATCTGCAATTTCTCATGTCTTTCTCTTCAGCATGTTTATTGTTTCATTACATACTTATTAATGGGAAGGACCATCTGCTATGATGTTTTCATATAACAGATTTAATTAGTCATTCATTTAGTGCTGAGAAGATAGAGGAAGGTATTCAATATAAAATGCTCTTTTAAATACTTTTTCCAAATTCAGTAAGAAATAAATACTATTTTCTGGCCATCCCCTCAACAAAATTAATATCTAAACATGTTAAAAACATAATTTTGACTCCATGAAGACCTCACTAGGAATCCAAGTTTTTTTCATGTATGTCAACCACAGTGATTTCAGAAAGTTCATATTAGGTTCATTCCATGAGTTTCATGTTATCAGTCAATAAAAAATCACATCTACTTCACATGTTCTCTGAACAGATTTGCTATTTGAATTACTAAAAGCAAGCAAGGATATGTGTACATTTAAAATTTATGCAGTTTGCTGTGAGAGAGGAGAAAAAGGTTGCCTTAGTTCTCACTTGCCTTTGTAGGGGACAAGCAGATATAGGTTTGTGGGGCTAATTCCAGGCTCCTGTTGGAAGAGCTCAGAAACAGAGCAAGGACTTTTAGGGGTCAAAGAATCCATAAAGCAAATTGGTCTGTGCCTGCCTCAAGCTGGGGTGTTAATATTAGTAGACAGGATGCTGTAGAAATGTGAGGGAGAAAACTATAAAAAGTGATACTTAAATTGCCGTGAAGCTCGAATTGAGCCCTTTTCCATTATTCCAGAATCATTACTAATATGAGGAAAGCAGAGAGAGACCCAAACCCAATGAAAAGCCATAAGAAGCTACAGAACACATGAAAATCCCAGCTGGTGAATAAAATCTATCACGTTGACAAAACAGCGTGAGTGAAAATCTTTTAAACATGCATCAGCTGCAGGAGCTGAGTGTTGAGAAATACAAGATTAAGATGATGCTGGAGAGAACTGAGGGGCACTCACGTTCACCCCTCTAGGAAAACCCTGCCTGTGCTCTACTGAGTCATACACCATTAGGGTGATAAGGCAAGCTCAGCTGCTAAAGACATGTCTTTCCTATAATGTATATATCAAAAAAACATGGCAGAGACGTTATGGCTCAGCTCCCTGAATCAAGTTATCTCTAAAATGAAGATTAGATATTAGTTTTATTACTCTATTATTAGAGTTATAACAAATCTAAGTGCTAAATTCCTTTGAATATATTGTCCTTCATACCAAGCTGGCAATACCATAAAGATAACAACTGAGGTAGAATATTTAACAAATATTTATTGATCACCTACTATGTGCGAAACTACAAAGATAAATCAGACTTGGTCTTGGACTTGCAGGAGCAAAACTTCATGTTCCGTGAGGATAATAGGCATACATAAATAACACCCAAGCTGACTATAACATGAAGAAGAATGGAGGAGTAGAATTCTGTCATGGTGTGTGTAGGGAGGAGGGTGAGGAAGAATGAATAAAGATGACAGTTGGGAAAAGATAGTTTATATAACATTCCAGTGTGGTCTCGGAGTTTTCATCCTGACTGGATTACTAACAAGCTGCGTGACCTTCACCCAGTCTCTGTGCTTTCGTTGTCTCATCTGTAAAATGAAGGGGTTATTCTGTAATGATCTCTGAGGTCCTCCTTCAGAACAAAGACTGTTTAATTTTATTATCCTATTCACGTAGAATACTATAAGAATATAATGGCTCTCAAAAATAAAATTTAAAAATTTTTTGCCATAAAACAGTTTTAGTAACAGAGAATCTTATATATACTTTATAACGTATGTTTCTTCTTCCTGTATAGGAACTGTCTGTATCAACACATTAGGAAGTCAAAAGGGAACATCTCTCAAAGTAGCATATTAGACTTTTGGGAAATAAATGTTAAAATATAGAAAAGTATAAAGAATAATACACCAATCACATTCTACACTAAAAAATAAAATATTACACATAAAGCTAAAGTCCTCATAACCACCATTCTTCTGTCCAGTTCTCCTCTTTTCAGTCCCGTGAGGCAACTTCTAGAATTTGTTTTTGGGGGGTTTTTTTGTTTTTGTTTTTGTTTTTGAGACGGAGTTTTGCTCTTGTCATCCAGGCTGGAGTGTGATGACGTCTCAGCTCACCGCAACCTCTGCCTTCCGAGTTCAAGCAATTCTCCTGCCTCAGCCTCCCAAGTAGCAGGGATTACAGGCGCCCACCACCACGCCTGGCTAATTTTTGTATTTTTTTAGTAGAGACAGGGTTTCGCCATGTTGACCAGGCTGGTCTCAAACTCCTGACCTCAGGTGATCCACCTGCCTTGGCCTCCCAAAGTGCTGGGATTACAGGCATAAGCCACCATGCCTGGCCTTAGAATTGTTTTAATCTATGCTTCAAATTCATTTTTCGTATCTTAACATACATTTATAGATACATCCATAAGCAATACATAGAATATATTAAAATATTACGTATCCTCTATTATTTTGCTTCTTGCTTTTAATGTTTAATACAATTTTTTTGGACCTACCCATCCGACAGTTTATTCTTTTTCATCGCAGTATAAAATTCATCATAATTTTCCATTTTTGTAGATTTTTGGATTATTTTCAAATGTCTGATATTGCAATCAAGGCTACAATAAACACACACATGCACATCTTGTGCACTCATATGTACTTTCTCTGGGACATATATCTGAAATGGAATAGCCCATTATAGGGATATGTGTTTCCAAAGTTAATTAGATACTGACATATTCTTATCAAAGTGGTTGTACCAATTGACACTCCCCTCAGAGGTGCATGAAATTCTCACCTTCTTACAGATATTTGATACTACCTGACACTTAAACTTCTGACAGTCTGGGTTTAAAAATGGTATCCCATTATTATTTTTCTAGTGAAAATATTTTTTGGAATGTGCTTATTGGCTAAGCAGATTTACTTTTCTGTGAGCTGCTGCCTCGTTTCCTTTGCCAACACTTATGTTGTTGTATGTTTTAATTTTCAATTTTGTGGTTTGATCTTATTTAAGAAAGCCTCCTTTACCTTGAAGCAACTTTAATAGTTTGAGCTTGTTTTTCGCTTTAGGTCATCAATCCAATATCTGAAAAATATTTTATGTGGGCACTAAGGTAAAGAGTCTATTTTTATTTTTTTCTGTATGAACAGGCAGTTGTCCAAAACCACTTGTTGAATAATCTGTTCTTTCACTCAAAAATTTGTGAAGTAACTTCCTTCAAATACCAAGTTCCCACACATGCTTGAGTCTGTCTCTGGGCTCTTCATACTGATCTGTTGATCTAGCTGACTCTTCGTTATATTGTTTTGGTTCCTTGAGGGATTGGCTATATTTAATAAAAGGAAACTAGTTCAATGAGTGTGTTCATTTCTAATATCTCAGCCCAAAGATTTTCCTCCACTGCCCTCTGGGTAGCCACAGCCTCCTGGGAGCTACTGTGGGGAGATGTCCTCATGGAGTAGGCAAATGGTGGCAGAGCAAAGTGCAGCACAGGCAGGTCGGCCACTCCCAAGGTGGCAAGGTGACCAGTCGGCAAGTTCAAGTTGAAGACTGGACAATTTGGAGGCAAGATTCTGATTTAAGGGAGTTCTGGGCATTTTACTTGCCACTTCAGGATTGGATCCTTCTTTGGCCTTTCCCTGGCAGCTCCTGGCCAGTGGCCCACACTCAGACCACTCTGCTATTTCAGGACATTTGGAATGGCCTCTCTTTCTCCCTTCCTTTTTAGTCTTCACTGCCTCCCTACCATGTCCCTTTTTACTCCTTTCTTCAAAAGTTCTCTTCTTTCACAATAGTCTTTGATGGATGGTTAGAAAGACAGACAGAAATAGAGACTTAGATAACCAAATCTTAACAACAGTAAAACTAGTTTCTCCAGGGCAAGAAAGAACTTTCCAGGAATATAACTGCCTGAACACCATTCCTTGGAAGTCAGGGAAAATATTTTAGCTCTTGCCTTCATCCTGGTCATAGTAACTTCCAATTCAGAAAAGAAAAAAAAACAAAACAAAACTTAAATCCAACAACAAACTAATTTTCATATAAAAAGTAGGTTGAAATCCATTTTCTGCTCCATGCAATTTAGAAAAATTCAAGATGTAGGACGTGTTCGTTCCATTAGACATTTCTAACCTACAATGCTAATATAGAAAAAAAATCACTTTTTCCTTTCTGAAGGAATTCCCTCTCCATATAAACCATTTATCCAAGTCCTTTCTAACTCTTAGAACTCACTTTTCTGGAAGAGAAAGTAACTTAATTGTCTCCTTTTGCATGCAACAATGCACTTCCTGGTGTCACTTTCAAGAGATTCCTAATTGTACTACGAGATGGAACAAGGAAGTTAAAGTTGGGAAACCTAATAACAGTTGCCAGATGATTGTGAAGGTTGCATCCCTGAACAGATACTACATAGATCCAACCCCATGGCAACATCAAGAGTATAGATGGAAGGGTTCATGCCTGGTCCCATGATGGTAAAGAGCTGGGCTTCAGGGTTGTAACATATTTTGGACTTCTTGAAAGACAATCACAATTTAAAATTCAAGTACTATTATTAATTTCCCAGTTACAATTATTTGATATACTTCATTAAAATGTATTCATTAATTTTGTTTCTGTGTATTATTGATTTTATACTACATGAAGATGTTGATTTACCAGCCTTGGATCTTTTTTCACTAATTACAAGATTACAAAATTATATTTTTCCTTTCTTAAATTGAGAATTGGGAAGAGGATACTCTGAATAGTTTTTCAAAATAAACTTTTGATAGCTGGGCACCAAATTTGCCTTTCTCAGATATTTTTTGTTATTTTTAAAAACAGGTATAAATAAATGATTGTAAATATTTGTGCTTACTGGTTCGAGTCCATCTACGCTCAACAGTTTTTTTTTTTAATCACAAATCATGAAATCAAAGATATTTGAGTAAAAATAACATTCCCACCTCCTTATTTCAGAGGTATTCTCTGACTCAGCCCAGGGGGCAATATCTGCCTTTCTCTGTGAGTTTTCCTGGGATCTCCTTTAAAAGAACTGTGGCAGAAGACATACAGTAGCCATCTTGTCTGATGGAAATTTTTATGATAAATGTGCTCCTATTGTTCTAGAATTAGAGCAGCATTATAATTTTATTTTACTCACCATTTTTTAGATCATTCTTGAATCTACCCTACTTTGTATATTCTTTTTCTTATTATTTATCTTTTTTTTGTTATTATACTTTAAGTTCTAGGGTACATGTGCACAACGTGCAGGTTTGTTACATATGTATACATGGGCCATGTTGGTGTGCTGCACCCATTAACTTGTCATTTATATTAGGTATATCTCCTAATGCTATCCCTCCCCCTCCCCCCACCCCATGACAGGCCCCAGTGTGTGATGTTCCCCTTCCTGTGTCTAAGTGTTGTCACTGTTCAATTCCCACCTATGAGTGAGAGCATGCGGTGTTTGGTTTTTGGTCCTTGCAATAGTTTGCTGAGAATGATGGTTTCCAGCTTCATCCATGTCCCTACAAAGGACATTAACTCATCCTTTTTTCTGGCTGCGTAGTATTCCATGGTGTGTATGTGCCACATTTTCTTAATCCAGTCTATCATTGGTGGACATTTGGGTTGTTTCCACGTCTTTGCTATTGTGAATAGTGCCGCAATAAACATACGTGTGCATGTGTCTTTATAGCAGGATGATTTATAATCCTTTGGGTATATAGCCAGTAATGGGATGTCTGGGTCAAATGGTATTTCTAGTTCCAGATCCTTGAGGAATCACCACACTGTCTTCCACAATGGTTGAACTAGTTTACAGTCCCACCAACAGTGTAATAGCGTTCCTATTTCTCCACATCCTCTCCAGCACCTGTTGTTTCCTGACTTTTTGATGATCACCATTCTAACTGGTGAGAGATGGTATCTCATTGTGGTTTTGATTTGCATTTCTCTGATGGCCAGTGATGATGAGCATTTTTTTCATGTGTCTGTTGGCCGCATAAATGTTTTCTTTTGAGAAGTGTCTGTTCATATCCTTTGCCCACTTTTTGATGGGGTTGTTTGTTTTTTTCTTGTAAATTTGTTTGAGTTCATTGTAGATTCTGGATATTAGTCCTTTGTCAGATGAGTAGATTGCAAAAATTTTCTCCCATTCTGTAGGTTGCCTGTTCACTCTGATGGTAGTTTCTTTTGTTGTGCAGAAGCTCTTTAGTTTAATTAGATCCCATTTGTCAATTTTGGCTTCTGTTGCCATTGCTTTTGGTGTTTTAGACATGAAGTCCTTGCCCATGCCTATGTCCTGAATGGTATTGCCTAGGTTTTCTTCTAGGGTTTTTATGGTTTTAGGTCTAACCTTTAAGTCTTTAATCCATCTTGAATTAATTTTTGTGTAAGGTGTATGGAAGGGATCCAGTTTCAGCTTTCTACATATGGCTAGCCAGTTTTCCCAGCACCATTTATTAAATAGGGAATCCTTTCCCCATTTCTTGTTTTTGTCAGGTTTGTCGAAGATCAGATGGTTGTAGATGTGTGGTAGTATTTCTGAGGGCTCTGTTCTGTTCCATTTGTCTATATTTCTGTTATTATTTATCTTAATTGACTTTCTCTAAAACTTATGGAGAAATAACTTGGGCCAGGCTCGGTAGCTCACAGCTGTAATCCCAGCACTTTGGGAGGCTGAGGTGGGTGGATCACCTGAGATCGGGGTTTGAGACCACCCTAACCAACTTGGAGAAACCCCATCTCTACTAAAAATACAATAGTAGGCGGGCGTGGTAGCGCATGCCTGTAATCCCAGCTACTTGGGAGGTTGAGGCAGGAGAATCACCTGAACCCGGGAGGCAGAGGTTGCAGTGAGCCGAGATCACGCCATTGCACTCCAGCCTGGGCAACAAGAGCAAAACTCCGTCTCAAAAAAAAAAAAAAAAAGTAACTTGAACTCAACAGGATGTACATACAACATAAAAAGTCATTTTAAAGGATTAGGGAAAAGACATTTTGAGACCTCTGTATATACTTTTTGTTTTGATTTCATTTTGCCCAAAACCATGTTTGATTTCTAACCTAAACCTAAATTTGTTTGTTCATTCAGTAAACATCTATTGGATTCTTGTTCAAGACACTGCTAAGCACTATGAGTAACATTAAATGAACAAGTCATTGTCCCTATCTTTGTAAAACTTACCACCTATTGGGGAAGTAAAACATTATGTTCTGGCTTCCATTATTTGTGTATCAGTTATATAAAAGAAGCATAAACTAAGGAAGTTTCAAAAAATCAATAAAAAATTTCTAACTGGGAAAACAAGGAAAAGTGGAATTTAAATTGGGAATTGGGGTACTTCTAAAAGCAGAAATGATGAGCAAGAAATGGGATGAAAAAAGATAGTGGCAAAATAGAAATGAGGGTGTTTGAAAAAAAGAGAATACAGTAATTTAGAGGTTGAGTTCTGAGAGCAATAAATGTTTAGACCATTGGATGGACGGTCTTGAGCCCTTGTATTTAATTTGGAGCCAAGTGTAAATCCATAGAAGATTTTAACAGGGATGGCAGGTTGGAACTCTGTTTCAGGAAGATTGATTGGCAGTGATGCATAAGGTGGTATGGATGTGGTTTGGAGAACTTTTTGGGAGGCTTTACAATATTCTGTGTTTGAAGTAATGAAGATTAGGCAAAAGGTAGCAGAACAGGGAAGACAGAGGTGATAAGGCCAAATGGGGACCAGTGCCAAGGTGGCAGAAGTAATAACGTATAATCCAGTTTGATGGTGGTTCAAATCCTGGATTTTAGTCCCAATTTAGTTAAAATCTTGAGGTTACAAGTTTTCCTGGGATCCACTTTTAACAAAGTGTGGTAGAACAAAGTGTGGCCATAGAATGGCTGTTTTGTTGTCTGACAAAAATTTTTCTTCTTGATGAGAGTGAGGGGTGTTAAAGTATCTTCAAGGAAATGGAGCATGTTAGAGTATCTGATTGAAAGAGAAGCTTGGAGTAAGAACTGCTTTGAATCTTAATCTACAACAAGATACATAACTTCTCTGAGTCTTTGTTTTTTTTTTTTCTGTCAAACAGAGATAATAATATCTACTTCAGGCCAGGCACTGTGGCTCACACCTGTAATACCAGCCCTTTGGAAGGCCAAGGCGGATGGATCGCTTGAGCTCAGGAGTTCAAGACCAGCCTGGGCAACATGGCAAAACCTCCATGAAAAATACAAAAAAGTAGACGGGTGTGGTGACATGCACCTGTAGTCCCAGCTACTTGGGAAGCTGAGGCACGAGAATCTCTTGAACCTGGGAGGCAGAGGTTGCAGTGAGCCAAGATCACCCCACTGCACTCTAGCCTGGGGAACAGAGCAAGACTCTGTCTCAAAAAAAAAAAAAAAAAAAAAACCTACTTCATAAGTTCTTTGCAAGGATTCAAAAGTGTGTGGGCATGCACAAAATGTAGGGGAAGCATAAGATAACTAAATCCTAATCCACTCTTAAGAAGTCAGGATGTTGTGCCTAAAATAGAAAAAAATCAAGACGTTGTAAGGCCCGCATGTTCTTCAGAAATACAGAGACAGATACTAGAAGAAACAGCTAAATTATTTGACAGTGGTTGACTTTAGATAGTAGAAGTTGAACAAAGGACTACTATTTTCTGTTACAATTTATAGGATATTTTGACTTTCAAAAAATCTACTTAAAAGTATTGATAAAAATGAAAATTAAATAAATAAATCATCAAAATTGCATTGAGGCTAGGCTCACACATGTGATCCCAGCACTTTGGGAGGCCAAGGCAGGAGGATCGCTTGAGGCCAAGAGTTCAAGGCAATTCTGGGCAACAGAACAAGATCCTGCCTGTACAAAAAAATGAAAAAAATATTAGGTGTGGTGGCACATGCCTGTAGTGCTAGCTGCTCAGGAGGCTAAAGTGGGAGGATCGCTTTAACCCGGGAAGTTAAGGCTGCCATGAGCTGTGATTGATCCACTGCACTCCAGCCCAGGCAACAAATCGAGACTTTGTCTCAAAAAGAAAAAAAAAACAAAACATGCATTGAAACTGAAAAGGCAATTGACTACTGTTACCTAATCATCATGAAAAATGATGTGTAATCAAATTACCTGAAGATTAAGTTGTGGAAAGGACTCAACATACAAACATGTAGCAAGGAGATACTGAGTCATGAAATAGCAAGCTTCATATTTTTTAAACATTTTCTTTCTTCACCAACAGTTTATATAATTTGTCAGTGAAATGCTATGTTGTTTTGGTGAAATGCTATAATGTGTTTCAGTTGTCATTTTAACTCCTCTAAGTCTTAGTTTATTATAAAGTGGGAGTAATGATTTTGCCTTTCTCATTAGGTTGTTGTGAGCATTAAATAAGATGATACATATGCAGTCTTTGACTGTGCCACACAAAAAGGGCTTGGTGAATGTTAGCTATTATTAATGTTTAAAAGTAATATAACATTAATATTATCAGACTGTTTTCAATATAAAATACATTTTTATGTTTTCAACAAACAAAAATAACTTTTTGAATTTATAACCCGTTGCTGTGGACAATGTCTGTGATTGTTAATTGAATTCATTTGCAGTTATTAACATTGACTGGTAGAATTCAATCATTATGGATAATGGTGACACCAAAGTAGTAATTTCATGTGGTTTCAATGTAAAGTATTGATCTAATCATGTGACCAACAGTGATAGTAACCTATCATTACAAGTACTGAATGGATATTTTAACCTCTATCTAATTGTGAACCAATAATTTCTCCTTCCCTTTCATGTATGGGGCCTCTTTTCTGTGTTTTCCAGGTTCTACAGAGAAGGCAAAGATTTTGAAGGCACAGGAGACTATCATAGATATTCACAACGGCATCTCCCTAAAGGATTTGAAAGCTTTGCATCAACCAAAGGAAAAGCACCAGTGAGAGTCAAGATACAGTTCCAGACAGGTGCTACTTCTTATTCAAAAGGTATCAAGGTCTTGTTCTTATATGTTCAGATCAGTGCTGGAAATGATGAAGACAGAGAGACTGGAAGGAAGAACACAACAGTTGAGTGAGTATTAAGTATTCTCAGTTAGATCAGGGGTCCCCAACCCTCAGGCCAAGGACAGGTACTGGTCTGTGGCCTGTTAGGAACTGGGCCGCACAGCAGGAGGCGAGCAGCAGGCGAGTGAGCATTACCACCTGAGCTCCACATCCTGTCAGATCAGCAGCAACATTAGATTCTCACAGGAGCACGAACTCTATTGCAAACTTTGCATACAAGGGATCTAGATTGTGCAGTCCTTATGAGAATCTAATGCCTGATGATCTAAGGTAGAAGTTTCATCCCAAAATCACATTCCCCCCAACCCCTGGCATCCGTGGAAAAATTGTCTTCCACAAACCTGGTCCCTGGTGCCAAAAAGGTTAGGTACTGCTGAGTTAGATCATAACATTTAATCCTGATAATAACTCTGTGAGGCAAGGTTTGTTCGGCCCAATAAACAGCAGAAATATGGGTCAAATCTAGGTTCACAGTTGATGCTCATTCTACCATACATACTGCCTCTTGTAACAGGTATCCTAACAAGTACCTTCCTGGAGAGTTTTGTTGCCATATGACTTTTGTGTAGTTATTTATTTATTTATTTATTTATTTATTTATTTATTTATTTATTTTGAGAGGGAGTCTTGCTCTGTCGCCCAGGCTGGAGTGCAGTGGCACAATCTCAGCTCACTGCAACCTCCGCCTCCTGGTTCAAGCAATTCTCCTGTCTCAGCCTCCTGAGTAGCTGGGATTACAGGCACGTGCCACCACGCCTGGCTAATTTGGGTATTTTTATTAGAGACTGGGTTTCACCATATTGACCAGGCTGGTCTCGAACTCCTGACCTCATGCTATCTGCCTGCCTCAGCCTCCCAAAGTGCTGGGAGTACAGGCGTGAGCCACTGCACCTAGCCTTTGTAGTTATTTTATTAGGCCTGTCAGACAATCATCTGCATGCATGTTATTTCCCAGCAAAGAACTAAGCTTAGGTGATTTTGCTCAGTTATTCTGTATCAGGGGTAAGCAACTCTTTTTTTAAAGGGAGAGATGGTCGTTATTTTAAGCTTTGGGGGCCATACAGTCTGTTGCAACCACTCACTTATGACAGCCATAGACAATTTGTAAATGAATAGGTGAACAAGGCTATGTTCCAGTACAACTTTATTTACAGAAACAGACAGTAGCCATATGTGGCCCATGAGCTAATAGTTTGGCCAATCCTTGTGATATACCAATGATAGTCATTTTTTACGTATTTTAGTCTACGTAGTTTCAGAGTGCTTTGTCTCCTGTAATTCTTGGAACTCCCTAGTTCTGTATCCTGCAATGATTCCCCAGTGTCCTTCACCATGGAAGCCTCCATGTTTTATTATAACAGAGCCTTGGAAACAAGGGTGTGAGGCAAGGACTCGAGCCAGTGCTCATCGTGGTGAAATTTGCATCATTAGAAGAATGTTTATAAAGGACTTTAGAGAAGTTAGAGTCAGTACCCCACTGCCTGCATCAGAGCTAGCCCTGTGGTAGGAAATCTCATACAGAGGGTGGGCTCTAATTTCAGAGGATAAGAACCTGGCCTCCCACAGAGGTCTCAGTTGGAGCTATGGATTATATGGTAGAAAAAGATGAGATTGACAGCACTTGAGCTACCAGTATCTAAATTCTCTTCAGGGAATTTTATGCCAGTCAGCTGCACCAATATACCCTGCCATGCTGGCAAGTGTCTTGGTTTAAAACCCTCCCCTGCTCTGCAACTCTACCAAATTATTCATGTTGGCCTGATTTTCTTACTCTTCCATCTTTTCTGGCATTTTTTGTTTTGTGTGTGTGTCTGTGTGTGTGTGTGTGTGTGTGTGTGTGTGTGTGTGTAGCTGCTTTAGAGACATTCTGCCACCTTTCTGGATTTAGCTAGATCAGGGATAGTAGGCAGGTTGTGATTGGAATCTTAATAACCTGTCAAAACAGAGCATTTAAATCCTGTTCATGTTATTTTATATCCTTCCCATGGAACACAGATAGCCAAGAAGACAAATAAGAGAGGACCCTTGGTATTTTTTCCTTGTTTGTATGATCCTGAGGGTTTTGATGAACTGGCTTTTGCAAGTTACATTGTCGTTGTTCAAGCCAGCTTCAGCTGATTGATTTGGCAAGGATCCAAGGCATCGAAAATCAAAACAAAACAAAACGAAAAAGAAAATAAAAACTCAGATCAGATCAGAATACATCATAACAATGTAATCATTCAGCATCTCATCTGGTTACTTATAATAAGTTGTGCAGTGATGAAATGGAAATAATTTACTCTGGCCACTCTGTGTTACTGTTAAATCATTTATGTGCTGTGAAAAGAACTGCAAACTGTTGAGACTCAAAGATCCCCTAACTGCATTCTCCCAAGGAATTCTCCACCACGATCCCCAGTTCTATTTCATATTTTAAACATTTTCTTAGAGTGTGAGCTTTATTATCCACATTCAAATTCAGCAAGGCTTACTCGTCCAGATAGATCACCATCAAGAAATACAGTAATGTGAAATTGAGCTACTTCTGACATTTTTATGGTTTGTGATATACGATACAATGTGATGTATGAAGCTCTTTGTAATAATTTTTAATTTTGAAATAGCTGATTCTTTGGGGATCATTTAATACATAATTCCATAAATTTTAGTGATACCAGGTATCTTTCAAGTATCATTTTAATTGAGCTCTGGTGCTTCTGTCCTATCAACTGTGAATCGAACAGGAGCCTATCAAATCCTATTGGGTGACAAATCATAGAACAAGAAAAAATTGATTCATAAATTATGTCCAAAGACAAATAAGATTTTTTTTTATGTATTTTTTTTTATTATACTTTAAGTTTTAGGGTACATGTGCACATTGTGCAGGTTAGTTACATACGTATACATGTGCCGTGCTGGTGTGCTGCACCCACTAACTCGTCATCTAGCATTACGTATATCTCCCAATGCTATCCCTCCCCCCTCCCCCACCCCACAACAGCCCCCAGAGTGTGATGTTCCCCTTCCTGTGTCCATGTGATCTCATTGTTCAATTCCCACCTATGAGTGAGAATATGCGGTGTTTGGTTTTTTGTTCTTGCGATAGTTTACTGAGAATGTTGATTTCCAATTTCATCCATGTCCCTACAAAGGACATGAACTCATCATTTTTTATGGCTGCATAGTATTCCATGGTGTATATGCACCACATTTTCTTAATCCAGTCTATCATTGTTGGACATTTGGGTTGGTTCCAAGTCTTTGCTATTGTGAATAATGCCGGAATAAACATACGTGTGCATGTGTCTTTATAGCAGCATGATTTATAGTCCTTTGGGTATACACCGAGTAATGGGATGGCTGGGTCAAATGGTATTTCTAGTTCTAGATCCCTGAGGAATCGCCACACTGACTTCCACAATGGTTGAACTAGTTTACAGTCCCACCAACAGTGTAAAAGTGTTCCTATTTCTCCACATCCTCTCCAGCACCTGTTGTTTCCTGACTTTTTAATGATCGCCATTCTAACTGGTGTGAGATGGTATCTCATTGTGGTTTTGATTTGCATTTCTCTGATGGCCAGTGATGGTGAGCATTTTTTCATGTGTTTTTTGGCTGTATAAATGTCTTCTTTTGAGAAGTGTCTCTTCATGTCCTTCGCCCACTTTTTGATGGGGTTGTTTGTTTTTTTCTTGTAAATTTGTTTGAGTTCATTGTAGATTCTGGATATTAGCCCTTTGTCAGATGGGTAGGTTGCGAAAACTTTCTCCCATTTTCTAGGTTGCCTGTTCACTCTGATGGTAGTTTCTTTTGCTGTGCAGAAGCTCTTTAGTTTAATTAGATCCCATTTGTCAATTTTGGCTTCTGTTGCCATTGCTTTTGGTGTTTTAGACATGAAGTCCTTGCCCATGCCTATGTCCTGAATGGTAATGCCTAGGTTTTCTTCTAGGGTTTTTATGGTTTTAGGTCTAACGTTTAAGTCTTTAATCCATCTTGAATTGATTTTTGTATAAGGTGTAAGGAAGGGATCCAGTTTCAGCTTTCTGCATATGGCTAGCCAGTTTTCCCAGCACCATTTATTAAATAGGGAATCCTTTCCCCATTGCTTGTTTTTCTCAGGTTTGTCAAAGATCAGATAGTTGTAGATATGCGGCGTTATTTCTGAGGGCTCTGTTCTGTTCCATTGATCTATATCTCTGTTTTGGTACCAGTACCATGCTGTTTTGGTTACTGTAGCCTTGTAGTATAGTTGGAAGTCAGGTAGTGTGATGCCTCCAGCTTTGTTCTTTTGGCTTAGGACTGACTTGGCGATGCAGGTTCTTTTTTGGTTCCATATGAACTTTAAAGTAGTTTTTTCCAATTCTGTGAAGAAAGGCATTGGTAGCTTGATGGGGATGGCATTGAATCTGTAAATTACCTTGGGCAGTATGGCCATTTTCACGATATTGATTCTTCCTACCCATGAGCATGGAATGTTCTTCCATTTGTTTGTATCCTCTTTTATTTCCTTGAGCAGCGGTTTGTAGTTCTCCTTGAAGAGGTCCTTCACATCCTTTGTAAGTTGGATTCCTAGGTATTTTATTCTCTTTGAAGCAATTGTGAATGGGAGTTCACTCATGATTTGGCTCTCTGTTTGTCTGTTGTTGGTGTATAGGAATGCTTGTGATTTTTGCACATTGATTTTGTATCCTGAGACTTTGCTGAAGTTGCTTATCAGCTTAAGGAGATTTTGGGCTGAGACGATGGGGTTTTCGAGATATACAATCATGTCATCTGCAAACAGGGACAATTTGACTTCCTCTTTTCCTAATTGAATGCCCTTTATTTCCTTCTCCTGCCTAATTGCCCTGGCCAGAACTTCCAACACTACATTGAATAGGAGTGGTGAGAGAGGGCATCCCTGTCTTGTGCCAGTTTTCAAAGGGAATGCTTCTAGTTTTTGCCCATTCAGTATGATATTGGCTGTGGGTTTGTCATAGATAGCTCTTATTATTTTGAAATATGTCCCATCAATACCTAATTTATTGAGAGTTTTTAGCATGAAGGGTTGTTGAGTTTTGTCAAAGGCCTTTTCTGCATCTATTGAGATAATCATGTGGTTTTTGTCTTTGGCTCTGTTTATATGCTGGATTACATTTATTGATTTGCGTATATTGAACCAGCCTTGCATCCCAGGGATGAAGCCCACTTGATCATGGTGGATAAGCTTTTTGATGTGCTGCTGGATTCGGTTTGCCCGTATTTTATTGAGGATTTTGGCATCAATGTTCATCAAGGATATTGGTCTAAAATTCTCTTTTTTGGTTGTATCTCTGCCTGGCTTTGGTATCAGAATGATGCTGGCCTCATAAAATGAGTTAGGGAGGATTCCCTCTTTTTCTATTGGTTGGAATACTTTCAGAATGAATGGTACCAGTTCCTCCTTGTACCTCTGGTAGAATTCGGCTGTGAATCCATCTGGTCCTGGACTCTTTTTGATTGGTAAGCTATTGATTATTGCCACAATTTCAGATCCTGTTATTGGTCTATTCAGAGATTTAACTTCTTCCTGGTTTAGTCTTGGGAGAGTGTATGTGTCAAGGAATTTATCCATTTCTTCTAGATTTTCTAGTTTATTTGTGTAGAGGTGTTTGTAGTATTCTCTGATGGTAGTTTGTATTTCTGTGGGATCGGTGGTGATATCCCCTTTATCATTTTTCATTGCGTCTATTTGATTCTTCTCTCTTTTTTTCTTTATTAGTCTTGCTAGCGGTCTATCAATTTTGTTGATCCTTTCAAAAAACCAGCTCCTGGATTCATTAATTTTTTGAAGGGTTTTTTATGTCTCTATTTCCTTCAGTTCTGCTCTGATTTTAGTTATTTCTTGCCTTCTGCTAGCTTTTGAATGTGTTTGCTCTTGCTTTTCTAGTTCTTTTAATTGTGATGTTAGGGTGTCAATTTTGGATCTTTCCTGCTTTCTCTTGTGGGCATTTAGTGCTATAAATTTCCCTCTACACACTGCTTTGAATGCGTCCCAGAGATTCTGGTATGTTGTGTCTTTGTTCTCGTTGGTTTCAAAGAACATCTTTATTTCTGCCTTCATTTCGTTATGTACCCAGTAGTCATTCAGGAGCAGGTTGTTCAGTTTCCATGTAGTTGAGCGGCTTTGAGTGAGATTCTTAATCCTGAGTTCTAGTTTGATTGCACTGTGGTCTGAGAGATAGTTTCTTATAATGTCTGTTCTTTTACATTTGCTGAGGAGAGCTTTACTTCCAAGTATGTGGTCAGTTCTGGAATAGGTGTGGTGTGGTGCTGAAAAAAATGTATATTCTGTTGATTTGGGGTGGAGAGTTCTGTAGATGTCTATTAGGTCCGCTTGGTGCAGAGCTGAGTTCAATTCCTGGGTATCCTTGTTGACTTTCTGTCTCGTTGATCTGTCTAATGTTGACAGTGGGGTGTTAAAGTCTCCCATTATTAATGTGTGGGAGTCTAAGTCTCTTTGTAGGTCACTCAGGACTTGCTTTATGAATCTGGGTGCTCCTGTATTGGGTGCATATATATTTAGGATAGTTAGCTCTTCTTGTTGAATTGATCCCTTTACCATTATGTAATGGCCTTCTTTGTCTCTTTTCTTCTTTGTTGGTTTAAAGTCTGTTTTATCAGAGACTAGGATTGCAACCCCTGCCTTTTTTTGTTTTCCATTTGCTTGGTAGATCTTCCTCCATCCCTTTATTTTGAGCCTATGTGTGTCTCTGCATGTGAGATGGGTTTCCTGGATACAGCACACTGATGGGTCTTGACTCTTTATCCAATTTGCCAGTCTGTGTCTTTTAATTGGAGCATTTAGTCCATTTACATTTAAAGTTAATAGTGTTATGTGTGAATTTGATCCTGTCATTATGATGTTAGCTGGTTATTTTGCTCGTTAGTTGATGCAGTTTCTTCCTAGTCTCAATGGTCTTTACATTTTGGCATGATTTTGCAGCGGCTGGTACTGGTTGTTGACATGATGAAAATGCATCACAGTACTGAAAGATTGGATCCCCAGCAATTAAATCAGGGAGTCTGGTTAATGGGATATTAAAACAGTCCATAGCAGATTGAGAGAGAATGAACAAGAACAGTGGCAATGTAAATAGGGAGGAATGGAGGATAGTGGAGGGTGGGATTTCTATGAGATTTTTGGAAGAAAGAATCAAACTGGAACTTGGTAGCTAATCTGATAATATGGGATATAGGAAGAGTGAACTGAAGATGATTGTAGTGTTTTGAGCTCCAATAAGTAGAATGAGGAAGTAGGGAGGGGAGTCTTAGGGGATTAGCCAGTGTCTCTGGGCACTTGGAGCGCACTGTGTACATTTCTCTGTTCCCAGCCCTTATGACACCATATCTGTAACTATTTGTTTATGAATCTCTCTTCATCATTAATTCTGAGCTTCTTACACCTCATGATTTATATAAGCCCAGTACCCAGGACAGTATTCCAGGCATAGTTAAGGCTTCCATAAACACCCCTTTGGAATAAACTTTAAGCATATTAATATAGAAAGTGCTCACTGATTAGCCAAAATATGGCTGTTTATGCAATCGGAAATATGCAGTAGACATTTTTGAATGTTATTAGGTTGTAGAAGTAGATTTTGATTATCAGAAACAAAATTTGAAATCCTGAGAACAGATTAATATTTTGAAACAGGATTGAAAAATTGACATATTTATTTAAAGGAATGGCTGATCAATAATGTCAGATACTCAAGACTGAGGGAGTTTGTAATGGTCTGCAAGAATACAGAGGATGTTTGTGTTTTTTTAATTACTCAGTTTCTTTTTTTTTAAGATGTGGTCTTTCTATGTTGGCCAGGTTAATTTTGAACTCCTAGCTTCAAGCAATCCTCCCACCTCAGCCCCAAAAGTGCTGGGATTATAGGCATGAGCCACCATGCCCAGCCCCTAGTTATCCATTTCTAACTGCTATTGTAAATTATATTTTAAAAGTATAAATGCTATATTAATTAGAAGGTTTACTAGGCATTATATTAATTAGAATGTTTACTAGGGATTAGCTTTTGTTTCTTTTAATAAATGTATGTATACTCCCCAGGGGAAAGGAAAACATTTCCATAAGCTAATCAGTTCAGATGACAATAATTAATACATTAAAATGAGCTAATCATAAACTCATTTCAAACCACTCTCATTTAATCACCCAATGTGGACTAAAAATTAAATTTACTTAAAATTTACTATTGTAACTTTCATACCAACCACTATATTGTAATGCCAGATATTCTCCATTAAAGATCCCTATTTCTAATCTCTTAGCATTTCCTGTACATAATTCTTTTTAGACAAAAGCATTACATGTTTTGGATACGTTCTGAAATCATTTGGGAGAAATTCGACAGAATGCCTGTTTAGCTGTCTTTTATTTGCATTTGAAATATTTAAAATGTACTCATTACCCAGTCTTCCTTAATGTATTGAATTAAGAAAACTGGGCCGGGCACGGTGGCTCATGCCTGTAATTCCAGCACTTTCGGAGGCTGAGATGGACGGATCACAAAGTCAGAAGATCGAGACCATAGGGGTCAACATAGTGAAACCCCGTCTGTACTAAAATACAAAAAAGTAGCCAGGCGTGGTGGCGCACACCTGTAATCCCAGCTACTCAGGAGGCTGAGGCAGGGGAATCACTTGAACCCAGGAGGCAGAGGTTTCAGTGAGCCGAGATGGCACCACTGCACTCCAGCCTGGCGACAGAGCAAGACTCTGTCTCAAAAAAAAAAAAAAAAAAAAAAAAAAAAAAAAGACGGTTACAGTGGCTCACACCTGTAATCCCAGCACTTTGGGAGGCCAAGGCGGGTGGATCACGAAGTCAGGAGTTCAAGACCAGCCTGGCCAACTTGATGAAACCCCGTCTCTACTAAAAATACAAAAATTAGCCTGGTGTGGTGGCAGGCACCTGTACTCCCAGCTACTTGGGAGGCTGAGACAGGAGAATTGCTTTAACCCGGGAGACGGAGGTTGCAGTAAGCCGAGATCGCGCCACTGCACTCCAGCCTGAGCAACAGGACAAGACTACGTCTCAAAAAAGAAAAAAAACTGACTCCAAACATCCTTGCATATATTATTTTGAAAATACAATTGTTTTGTTGCTTTTCTTTTTAAACAATCACAAAAAGTCTCCTCTCCTTAAAGAGCTTTCAACTCAGACCATTGAAGAAAAAGAATAATCAAAGTTACTAACATTATCCAAATATTATTCTTATAATGTATCATAGGAATAAACAAAAGTGGGTTTTATAAGGCAATATAAGCTATATCTACTTAGTTATGAAATAACACAATTGGCACACTATAAGAAATTGTCTCTTTCCATGTATTCTGGGGTACACACTTCTCAAATTCAGAACAGTAACCCTAGGGTGATTATCTTTTAAAAATCTATTCTGCATTCAAACTAGAATAGTATCTTAATATCTATAGGTGGCAAATTTAAACTCAATAGATGTAATAAAATCTAGGTTATACACAGGCAAAGAAATAATTAATGACATATAAGGCAGTATTAAGAAATTCACACAGAACGACAAAGAAGTAAAGTAAAAATCGTTAAGATAAAGAGGATATATTGTGAGGCCCCAAGCCACATCTAAAAGTTGATCTTCAAGAAACAAATAGAAGGAATGGTATATGAAATAGAAGGAATATTTAAAAACATGACATCTTGGAAATTTCCAGAATTCAAAAGTTAGCAGTCTTCATGTTTAAATTGTGTCTTGAATAATGAGCAGGATAAATAAATAAATATAAAATCACATCACATCACATTATAAGGAATACCCATAAATACCATCATATAATGGTGTTTGGGAGAAAAAATTGTCAATTCAAAATTTTATACTCAACTATACTAACATTCAAGAAGGAAGGCAAAAGTACAGATCCTTACTGTGCAACCAGAAAGGATTCAAGCATATAAGAAACAAAGTCAGCCAGGCACAGTGGCTTACACCTGTGATCCTAGCACTTTGGGAAGCCAAGCTGGGAGAATCACTTGAGATCAGACATTCAAGGCCAGCCTAGGCAACATAGTGATACCCCATCCCTATAAAAAATTAAATTAACAGGGTGTGGTGGTACATGCCTATGGTCCTAGCTACTCAGGAGGCTGAGATAGTAGGATTGCTTGAGCCTCAGAAGTTGGGGATGCAGTGAGTTATGATTATTCCACTGCACTCCTGCCTGGGTGACAGAGCAAGACCCTGTCTCAAAAGAAACAGGAAGGAAGAAGGGAGGGAAGGAGAAGGGAAGGGAATGAGAAGGAGAGAAAGAAAGAAATGTTAACCCAGAGGGAGGCATGGGACATAAGAAAGTACAACAAGCATAAAAATGATAAATATGTTGTTAATTGCCAATTGTAGAAAGGTTTAGTGATTTTTTTTTTGTTTTAAAAAAGGTTAATCCAAAAGTAAGAGAAAAATAGAATGGTAGAGGGTGTTATTTAATGTTTAATGGGCAATTAACATGCACAAATATCCATGTGATATGCAAGAGGAAGAGTTATGTATGTAATAACTTAATGTTTTAGACTTTAGAAAAATTTATTTATAAATGAATATAGTTTTCAAACTTGAAATGGAAAAGAATATGAAAATTTTTATCAATATAATATGCAGATTAAAAAGGAAATAAAAACAAAATAAATAGAAAATGCAAAATAACAATTTAGAAATGAGTCCAGATATATCAGTAATTACAATACGTGTTCATTGAACATGTTGGATTCAGTAGGTTTCAATCAAGAAATAGTCTTGTATCCTTCCAACTAATCCCTTCCACACTCCTGTCTGATCTACTTCCTCTGACACGGACCCCAGGGGTTTTTTTTGTTTTGTTTTTTGTTTTTTTTGTCACTTTCAGGTATTAATAAACAATCTTCATTTTCAGGTAGTAAAAAATCTAGTCCCTTGTAAATCCAATTTAAAGCTCCTACCCTTTTCTACTCTCCTGCAGCTCAGTTCTGACCCAGACCTGGGAACTTCCAGTGGGAAAGGAGTCTCCTGGTTTGTCTTTTTGTGACTCCTCCCTGCTCTTGCTCCACTTCCCTGTTCTCTGGGCTGCCTTTAAAAGAAAATCTACAAAGCAAATGTGAAAAGATTTAGATAGAAATGAAAATTAAAGTTCTATATATTAAAATTCATGCACTGTAACCACATGGTACTGAAGCATAAATGTATACCTTTAAATATATTTGTGAAGCATAAAAAAGATTGTAAAAAAGTAACTTAAGTGTTTGACTCATGAAGCTAGAACAGAATAAATAAAAAAAAAAGTAGAAGGAAAGAAATAATGGAGAAAAAAGCATAAACTAATAAAATTAAAAACAAAGAAATAATACAGAGGATCAACAAGTCAAAAACCAGTCTTTGAAAAGAGTAAAAAAAAAAAAAAAGCATGTAGCCAGACAAATTAAGAACAGATATAAAAAACACAGATTAATAAAAATTAGGATTAAAAAATAGAACAGAGGTATAAATCTGTAGAGAATTTTTCAATCACTTATGAATATTATGAATAATTGTATGCCAATATATTCAAAAACATTTAAAATGGACTTTTTAATTTTTTTGAGACAGCGTCTCACTCTGTTGCCCAGGCTGGAGCACAATGGCGCAATCTTGGCTCACTGCAACCTCTGCCTCCCAGATTCAAGTGATTCTCCTGCCTCAGCCTGCTGAGTAGCTGGGATTACAGTCATGCACCACCATGCCCAGCTAATTTTTGTATTTTTTTTTTTTTTTCAGTAGAGACGGGATTTCACCATGTTGGTCAGGCTGGTCTCGAACTCCTGACCTCATGATCCACCTGGCTTGGCCTCCCAAAGTGCTGGCTCCCAGGCGTGAGCCACCGCGCCCAGCCTAAAATGGACTTTTCTTAAATTATAAAAATTATCCAGAAAGAAATAAAAATCTGAATAAATGAATAATCATTAAGAAAATTGAATTAGTAATCAAAGAATCCATGTAAAAAGGACCAGAAATGACGATTTTACCACACATTTAAGGAAAATTAATTACTGTTTTATACAAACTTGATTAGAAAATAGTAAAAAGATAAAGCAGGCATACCAAATTTTTCTTATGAAGCAAGAGTAGTTTTGGTACTGATGGAAATAACTGTGGAAGGAAAGAAACTATTAGACCAATTGCATTTTGAATATAGATTCAAATCCCAAGTAAAACACAAATCAGATTCAGATAGGCAAAGTAAGGTTTATGTTAGGAATACAAGCATTGTTTAATATGTTAGTGTTATTTATTATGTAAACAATAAAGAATAAAAGTTATACAAGCATCAAAATGATACAAAGCATTAAATAAAAATAAAATCTATTCAGAAAATTTTAAATTTAGAAACTAGGAATTGAAGAAAATGTCCTTAACCTGATAAACAGTATCTGTCAAAAATGGCAAGAATCACCAATTAAAACAGTCTCCTTCCCTTCAAAAATATTAATCTCAGTAGTTGCAGAAAAAGTATTTAACAAAACCCAACATTTGCTCATGATTTTTTTAAAAAGGTATGCTCAGCAAGTTAGGAATAGGAGGGAATGTCCTGAAATTAATAAAGGATATCAACTAAAACCTACAGCTAACATCATACTTAAGGGTGAGAAATTGAAGGCTTTCCTCTTAAGATCACTAACAAAGCAGCCCTTTAACATTGTACTGAGGGCCTGGCATGGTGGCTTACGCCTGTAATCCCAGCACTTTGGGAAGCCGAGGCGGGCAGATCACCTGGGTTCGGGAGTTTAAGACCAACCTGACCAACATGGGGAAACCCCGTCTCTACTAAAAATACAAAATTAGCTGGGCACGATGGCACTTGCCTGTAATCCCAGCTACTGGGTAGGCTGAGGCAGGGGAATTGCTTGAACCTGGGAGGCGGAGGTTGTGGTGAGCCGCAATTGTGCCATTGCACTCCAGCCTGGGCAACAGGAGTGAAACTCCATCTCGAAAAACAAAACAAAACAAACAAACAAAAAAACATTGTACTCAAGGTACTAACCGGTGCAATAAGGCATGAATAAGAAATAACAGGCATGCAGAATGGAAACGATGAAGTAAAATTTGTCTTTATTCACAGATGGCATAATATTGTTTATTGGAAATTCCAAATAATCTACAAAAAATGGCTCCTAGAACTAATATGTGAGTTTAGCAAATCTTATGATATAAGGCCAATGTTATAAAAATCAATTGCATTTCTATATAGCAGCAGTAAACGATTAGAAAATGAAATTTAAAAACAATAGCATCAGAAATCCTGAAATACTCTGAGGCAGTTCTAACAAAATATGTGCAAAGTGTGTAGCCTGAAAATGTAAAACATTGTTAAGAAAAATTTAAATATCTACAGATAAATAGAGAAATAATACCATATTTATGGACGGGAAGACTCAATGTGGAAAAAATATGTCAGTTTTCTAATTGGTCCAGAGACTCAATGCAACTCTGACCTTCTAAATCTCAGTAGCTTTTTTCCCCACTATAAATTGATAGGTTGTTTCTAAAATTTCTCTAGAAAAGCAAAGGACCAAAGGGGAAATACTTTTGAGAAACAGAACACAATTAGAGAACTCATACCATCTAATTTCTAGACTTAATATAAAGCTACAGTAGTCAAGTCGTTCAAACCGGTATAAGAAAAGATCTATAGATCAATGGAACAGGATAGAGAGTCCAAAAATAGATCCACACATATATGGTCAATTTGACTTTTGACAAAGGTGCCAAGGCCATTCAATGGAGAAAGGATAGTTTTTCAACAAATGGAGCTGGAATTATTATACATACGTCTGCAAAGAAAAATAATCTCAGCCCTTAGTGCATTTGTATACAAAATTTCTTGGATTAGAAAAAGATTTTTAGGTAGAACACAGCACAAACCATAAAAGAAGAAACTGATACATTGACTTTTATAAAAAACCTTGAAATGTTGCTCTTTAAAAGACATTGTTGAAAAACGAAATTATATGACACAGAATATAAGAAATATTTGGAAAATGTATTTCTGATAAAGGACTTATATCCAGACTATATTTAAAAACCTTCAAAAATCAACAATTAAAAAAAATCTTAAAATGGACAAGAATTGGAAGGACACTTTACCAAAAAAGATATAGTTGGTAAGTAAGTACATGAAAATATGCTCAGCAGCATTAGTTGTTAGAGAGGTGTTAAGTTAAAACCACAATGAAATACCACTATACGCCTATTAAAATATCTAAAATTAAAAATATTGATCATAACAAGTGCTGACAAGAATGCAGAACAACTGAAACTCAAAGAAGGGATATTAGAAATCAGTGGGAAAATGACAGACAGTTAAATTAATTTGATGTACCAATTGGTAATCCATATGAAAATAAAATTAGTTTTCTAACTCATATAACCAAAAAAAAAAAAAAAATCCACAGGTTAAAGACCCAGATATGAGGGGTGGAGTAAGCAAAAGCATTAAACTCCATAAAGAAAATATACGAGAGTATGGTAAGAAGGAGCATATTGACCAAAATGCCAAAAGCACAAACCAGAAAAGAAAATATTAATAAACTTGTCTACATTAAAACTTTTAAAATTTCCTATTCTACAAAAGACACCACAAACAAAATTCAAAGGTAAGAGATAGGTGAGGCAAGATATCTATAACATATACTATTGATGTATAGTTACAATATACACAAAGAATTTGTAGCCACAATATATCCAAGATGCATTCAACTCTTTTTTTTTTTAATTATCTACATGTGCACATTGTGCAGGTTAGATACATATGTATACATGTGTCATGCTGGTGCACTGCATTCAACTCTTATAAACCAATAAGGGAAAGATAAATACGCAATAAAAAATAAACAAAGGATAAGAATAGACATTTCACAGACTAGACTGAACAGAAGACTAGACTCCAGTGGCTGCATGAAAACATGTTCCGCTTCAACTAGTATCCCTAGAAATGAAAATTAAGAAAATAATGAAACACCATTTAATTTTTATTAAATGTGCAAAAAATTATAAAATTTAATAGTCACAAGTGTTAGCAAGGATGTGGCCTTAATAAGAACTGGTGGAGTTATAAATTGGTAAAACTAGATTGAAAAGCCATCTTTCAATATAAAATAAAGTTGAGGAGGATTTACATACTCTGATACAGTTTTGTCACTTACAGAGATATATTTAGAATAGTGTTTCTAGTGGTGGACTTATTTGCATTCGGAGTGGGATAGTTCTTTATGTGTTACCATCCAACGCATTGAAGGACATTGAGCATCTCTGGTTCCCAGTACTAAAGCTGGTAGTACTACTGCCAGTAATTTGATAACCCAGACAGTTTTTATACATTTCCAAGCACTTTCGACTTTGGGAGGGGTCCAATACCCCACCTTACTTGAGAATCACTACTCTATAATAACTTGTTCGTATGCAAAAGGGAATGTTTACAAGACTGTTTGTATCAACATTGCTTATAAAGGTAAAAACTGGGGAACAAATTAACAACTAAATGGCAGTAGAAGAATGGATAAAAAGCATGATTTACTCATATACTTAAAAACTTTAGCTGCCATCACCAACACAAAAATGTTCACAGGTGCTGGCAATACTGCCCCTCCTGCACCACCACCACCACCAATGCGAATGTGCTCATGGACACCAGCAGCTTCGCCTTCCACCTGACACCACTACTCAGGTGAACATGCACACAGACACCAGCATGCCTGTGCCTGCCAGCATCTCACACCCACCAACATCCTGTGCCCACCAGCATCCTGCCCCCTGCTGCCACTGCCACTGTGAGTGCAAGCATGGACACCAGCAACCCCACCCCTGCCAGTGCCCTGCCCCTGCCTTCTGCCACCACTACTGGCACAAGTCTGTTCAGGAGTGCTTCAGCCCTGCTCCCACCAGTACCCCACCCCAGCTGATGCACACACATCCCACTGTGTTGCCATGGCTGCTGGCATCCAAGTGAGCATGAATCCTGCTGCCACCATCTTGATAAAGTGCTTTGGCCAGCACCACCCATTAAAGTGTAATGACCAGCAGATTGGGAACACCTCAGTCCCTCCAGCACAGCAGGTTCCTAACCTCAAGGGGCCAGAGAGCAAAGCCAGGGTCCTGGTACCAGCCCCCCAGGAGTTACAGGACACAGTCCATGAGTGATGAGCTGAGCCTTGTTCCCCTGAAATCTTCCAGAAATGAAACCAGTTGACTGAACCCACCCTATACTACAATCAAACCCCCAAGGACATCAAAGAGGATAAGAGAAAAAAAAAAATCCAAAGGACAGCAACTTCAAAGATTGAAGGAATATCAGCCCACAAAGAATAAGTGAACCAGTACAAGAACTCTGGTAACTCAAAAAGCGAGAGTATCTTCTTACCTCCAAATAACCACACTAGTTCCCCAGTAATGGTTCTTAACCAGGATAAAATTATTGAAATGACAGAAACAGAATTCAGAATATGAATAGGAACAAAGATCATCAAGATTCAGGAGAAAGTCAAGACCAAATCCAAGAAATCTAAGGAATACAATAAAACAATACAGGAGATGAAAGACAAAATGGCTATTTTAGGAAAGAACCAAACTGATCTGATACAACTGAAAAACTCACTTCAAGAATTTCATAAAACAATTACAAGTATTGACAGCAGATCAACAAACCTGAGGAAAGAATCTCAGAGCTTGAAGACCAGTTCTCTGAAATAACTTAGACAAAAATAAAGAATAAAGAAGAATAAACAAAACCTCCAAGAAATATGGGATTGTCTAAAGAGACCAAATCTGTGACTCACTGGTTTTCCTGAAAGAGAGGGAGAGAAAGCAAACAACTTGGAAAACATATTTGAGGATACCATCCATGAAAATTTCCCCAACTTCACTGGAGAGGCCAACATTCAAATTCAGGAAATGCAGAGAACCCCTGCATACTATACAAGACAACCATCCCCAAGACACATAGTCATCATATTCTCCAAGGTCAAAGTGAAAGACAAAATGTTAAAGGCAGCTAGAGAGAAAGGGCAGGTCACCTACAAGGGAACCCCATCAGGCTAACAGCAAATCTTTCAGCAGAAACCTTACAAGCCAGAAGAGATTGGGGGATTGGGGGCCTATATTCAGTGTTCTTAAAGAAAAGAAATTGCAACCATGAATTTTATATCCAGCCAAATTAAGCTTCATAAG
Organism: Homo sapiens; assembly: GCF_000001405.40. NCBI lineage: Eukaryota > Metazoa > Chordata > Mammalia > Primates > Hominidae > Homo > Homo sapiens. Next base: position 72,331,751 of record NC_000016.10, on the reverse strand, counting down.
TAAAGGAGAAATAAGATCCTTTTCAGATAAGCAAATGCTAAAGAAGTTTGTTGCCACCAGATCTGTCTTAGAAGGGGCCTTTAAGGGATTGCTAAATACAGAAAGGAACGACCATTACCAGTCATCACAAAAGCACACTAAGTACATAGACCATTGACACTATAATGTGACCACACAATCAAATCTGCATAATAACCAGCTAACACCACGATGACAGGATTAAATCTGCACATATCACTATTAACCTTGAATGTAAACAGGCTAAAAGCCCCAATTAAAAGGCACAGAATGGCAAATTGGATAAAGAAACAAGACCCAACTGCATGCTGTCTTCAAGAGACCCATCTAACATACAATGACATCCATCATCCATAGGCTCAAAATGAAGGGATGGAGAAAAATCTAGCTAGAAAACAGAAAAAAAGTGAGGGTTGCTATTCTAATTTTAGATAAAACATAATTTAAGAAAACAGTGATCAGAAAAGACAAAGAAGGAAATTACATAACAGTAAAGGGTTCAACAAGAAGAGCTAACTATCCTAACTACATGGGCTCAACAAGGGAGTACCCAGATTCATAATCAAGTTCTTAGAGACCTATGAAGAGACTTAGATAACCACACAATAATAGTGGGAGATTTTAACACCCACCTCACAGACAGATTATTGAGGTAGAAAACTATCAAAGATTTTTGACACCTGATCTTGACACTTAACCAAATAGACCTAAAAGACATCTACAGAATTCTTCACCCCAAAACAACAGAATATATATTATTCTCATCTTTACATGGCACATACTCTAAAATTGACCACACAATCATTCTTAGCAAACTCAAAAAAATTTTTTAGCAAACTCAAAAAAAAATCATACCAACCACACTCTCAGAGCATAGCACAATAAAAATAGAAATCGATATTTAAAAATCACTCAAAACTGTACAATTACACGGAAATTAAACAAACTGCTCCTGAATGACTTTTGGGTAAACAATAAAATTCAGGCACAATTCCATAAATTCTTTGAAACTAATGTGAACAAAGATACCACATGCCAGAATCTCTCTCTCTTTTTTTTTTTAATTATACTTTAAGTTCTAGGGTACATGTGCACAACGTGCAGGTTTGATACATAGGTATAGATGTGCCATGTTGCTTTGCTGCACCCATCAACTCATCATTTACATTAGGTATTTCTCCTGATGCTACCCCTCCCCCAGCCCACCACCCCCCAACAAGGCCCCGGTATGTGATGTTCCCCGTCCTGTGTCCAAGTGATCTCATTGTTCAGTTCCCACCTATGAGTAAGAACATGCAGTGTTTGGTTTTCTGTCCTTGTGATAGTTTGCTGAGAATGATGGTTTCCAGCTTCATTCATCTCCCCGCAAAGGACATGAACTCATCCTTTTTTATGGCTCTATAGTATTCCATGGTGTATATGTGCCACATTTTCTCAATCCAGTCTATCATTGATGGACATTTGGGTTGGTTCCAAGTCTTTGCAATTGTGAATAGTGCCTCCATAAACGTACATATGCATGTGTCTTTATAGTAGCATGATTTATAATCCTTTGGGTATATACCCAGTAATGGATGGCTGGGTCAAATGATATTTCTAGTTCTAGATCCTTGAGGAATCGCCACACTGTCTTCCACAGTGGTTGAACTGATTTACACTCCCACCAACAGTGTAAAAGCATTCCTATTTCTCCACATCCTCTCCAGCATCTGTTGTTTCCTGACATTTTAATGATTGCCATTCTAACTGGCATGAGACGGTATCTCATTGTGGTTTTAATTTGCATTTCTCTAATGACAAGTGATGATGAGCATTTTTTCACGTGTCTGTTGGCTGCATAGATGTCTTCTTTTCAGAAGCGTCTGTTCATATCCTTCGCCCACTTTTTGATGGAGTTGTTTTTTTCTCTCATTGTGGTTTTAATTTGCATTTCTCTAATGACAAGTGATGATGAGCATTTTTTCACGTGTCTGTTGGCTGCATAGATGTCTTCTTTTCAGAAGCGTCTGTTCATATCCTTTGCCCACTTTTTGATGGAGTTGTTTTTTTCTTGTAAATTTGTTTGAGTTCTTTGTAGATTCTGGATATTAGCCCTTTTTCAGATGAGTAGATTGCAAAAATTTTCTCCCATTCTGTAGGTTGCCTGTTCACTCTGATGGTAGTTTCTTTTGCTGTGCAGAAGCTCTTTAATTAGATCCCATTTGTCTATTTTGGCTTTAGTGGCCATTGCTTTTGGTGTTTTAGTCATGAAGTCCTTGCCCATGCCTATGTCCTGAATGGTGTTGCCTAGGTTTTCTTCTAGGGTTTTTATGGTTTTAGGTCTAACATTTAAGTCTTTAATCCATCTTGAATTAATTTTTGTATAAGGTGTAAGGAAGGGATCCAGTTTCAGCTTTCTGCATATGGCTAGCCAGTTTTCCAAGCACCATTTATTAAACAGGGAATCCTTTCCCCATTTCTTGTTTTTGTCAGGTTTGTCAAAGATCAGAGGGTTGTAGATGTGTGGTGTTATTTCTGAGGGCTTTGTTCTGTTTCATTGGTCCATATATCTGTTTTGGTAACAGTACCATGCTGTTTTGGTTACTGTAGCCTTGTAATATAGTTTGAAGTCAGGTAGCATGATGCCTCCAGCTTTGTTCTTTTGGCTTAGGATTGTCTTGGCAATGCAGGCTCTTTTTTGGTTCCATTTGAACTTTAAAGTAGTTTTTTCCAACTCTGTGAAGAAAGTCATTGGTAGCTTGATGGGGATGGCATTGAATCTATAATTTACTTTGGGCAGTATGGCCATTTTCATGATATTGATTCTTCCTATCCATGAGTGTGGAATATTCTTCCATTTGTTTGTGTCCTCTTTTATTTCGTTGAGCAGTGGTTTGTAGTTCTCCTGGAAGAGGTCCTTCACATCCTTGTAAGTTGGATTCCTAGGTATTTTATTCTCTTTGTAGCAATTGTGAATGGGAGTTCACTCATGATTTGGCTCTCTGTTTGTCTGTTAATGGTGTATAGGAATGCTTGTGATTTTTGCACATTGATTTTGTATCCTGAGACTTTGCTGAAGTTGTTTAGCAGCTCAAGGAGATTTTGGGCTGAGACAATGGGGTTTTCTAAATATACAATCATGTCATCTGCAAACAGGAACAATTTGACTTCCTCTTTTCCTAATTGAATACGCTTTATTTCTTTCTCTTGCCTGATTGCGCTGGCCAGAGCTTCCAACACTGTGTTGAATAGGAGTGGTGAGAGAGGGCATTCTTGTCTTGTGCTAGTTTTCAAAGGGAATGCTTCCAGCTTTTGCCCATTCAGTATGATACTGGCTGTGGGTTTGTCATAAATAGCTCTTATTATTTTGAGGTATGTTCCATCAATACCTAGTTTATTGAGAGTTTTTAGCATGAAAGGCTGTTGGATTTTGTGGAAGGCCTTTTTTGCATCTATTGAGATAATCATGTGGCTTTTGTCATTGGTTCTGTTTATGTGATGGATTACATTTATTGATTTGCATGTGTTGAACCACCCTTGCATCCCAGGGATGAAGCCGACTTGATCATGGTGGATAACCTTTTTGATGTGCTGCTGGATTCAGTTTGCCAGTAATTTATTGAGGATTTTTGCATCAATGTTCATCAGGGATATTGGTCTAAAATTCTCTTTTTTTGTTGTGTCTCTGCCAGGCTTTGGTATCGGATGATGTTGGCCTCATAAAATGAGTTAAGGAGGATTCCCTCTTTTTCTATTGATTGGCATAGTTTCAGAAGGAATGGTACCAGCTCCTCTTTGTACCTCTGGTAGAATTCGGCTGTGAATCCATCTGGTCCTGGACTTTTTTTGGTTAGTAGGCTATTAATTATTGCCTCAGTTTCAGAGTCTGTTATTGGTCTATTCAGAGATTCAGTTTCTTCCTGGTTTAGTCTTGGGAGGGTATATGTGTCCAGGAATTTATCCATTTCTTCTAGATTTTCTTGTTTATTTGTGTAGAGGTGTTTATAGTATTCTCTGATGGTAGTTTGTATGTCTGTGGGATTGGTGGTGATATCCCCTTAATCATTTTTTATTGCATCTATTTGATTCTTCTCTCTTTTCTTCTTTATTTGTCTTGCTAGTGGTATATCAATTTTGTTGATCTTTTCAAAAAACCATCCCCCAGATTCATTTATTTTTTGAAGGGTTTTTTGTGTCTCTATCTCTTTTAGTTCTGCTCTGATCTTAGTTATTTCTTGCCTTCTGCTAACTTTTGAATTTGTTTGTTCTTGCTTCTCTAGTTCTTTTAATTGTGATGTTAGGGTGTAGATTTTAGATCTTTCCTGCTTTCTCTCATGGGCATTTAGTGCTATAAATTTCCCTCTACACAGTGCTTTAAATGTGTCCCAGAGATTCTGTACATTATGTCTTTGTTCTCATTGGTTTCAAAGAACATCTTTATTTCTGCCTTCATTTCATTATTTACCCAGTAGTCATTCAGGAGCAAGTTGTTCAGTTGCCATGTAATTGTGCAGTTTTTGAGTGAGTTTCTTAATCCTGAGTTCTAATTTGATTTCACTGTGGTCTGAGAGACAGTTTGTTGTAATTTCTGTTATTTTACATTTGCTGAGGAGTGCTTTACTTCCAATTATGAGGTCAATTTTAGAATAAGTGTAATGTGGTGCTGAGAAGAATGTATATTCTGTTGATTTGGGGTGGAGAGTTCTGTAGATGTGTATTAGGTCTGCTTGTTGCAGAGCTGAGTTCAGGTCCTGGATATCCTTGTTAACCTTCTGTCTCATTGATCTGTCTAATATTGACAGTGGAGTGTTAAAGTCTCCCACTATTATTCATTGGGAGTCTAGGTCTCTTTATAGGTCTCTAAGGACTTGCTTTGTGAATCTGGGTGCTCTTGTATTGGGTGCATATATATTTAGGATAGTTAGCTCTTCTTGTTGAATTGATCCCGTTACCATTATGTAATGGCCTTCTTTGTCTCTTTTGGTCTTTGTTGGTTTAAAGTCTGTCTTATCAGAGACTAGGATTGCAACCCCTGCATTTTTTTGCTTTCCATTTGCTTGGTAGATCTTCCTCCATCCCTTTATTTTGAGGCTATGTGTGTCTCTGCAAGTGAGATGGGTCTCCTGAATACAGCACACTGATGGGTCTTGACTCTTTATCCAACTTCCCAGTCTGTGTCTTTTAATTGGGACATTTAGCCCATTTACATTTAAGGTTAATATTGTTATGTGTGAATTTGATCCTGTCATTATGATGTTCGCTGGTTATTTTGCCTGTTAATTGATGCAGTTTCTTCATAGCGTCAAGGGTCTTTACAATTTGGCATGTTTTTGCAGCGGCTGGTACTGGTTGTTTCTTTCCGTGTTTAGTGCTTCCTTCAGGAGCTCTTGTGAGGCAGGCTTGGTGGTGACAAAATCTCCCAGCATTTGCTTGTCTGTAAAGGATTTTATTTCTCCTTCACTTGTGAAGCTTAGTTTGGCTGGATATGAAATTCTGGGTTGAATATTCTTTTCTTTAAGAATGTTGAATATTGGCCCCCACTCTCTTCTGGCTTGCAGGGTTTCTGCCAAGAGATCTGCTGTTACTCTGATTGGCTTCCCTTTGTGGGTAACTCGACCCTTCTCTCTGGCTGCCCTTAACACTTTTTCCTTCATTTCAACCTTGGTGAATCGGACAATTATGTGTCTTGGGGTTGCTCTTCTTGAGGAGTATGTTTGTGGTGTTCTCTGTATTTCCTGAATTTGAATGTTGGCCTGCCTTGCTAGGTTGGGGAAGTTCTCCTGGATAATATACTGAAGAGTGTTTTCCAACGTGGTTCCATTCTCCCCATCACTTTCAGGTACACCAATCAAACATAGATTTGGTGTTCTCACATAGTCCCATATTTCTTGGAGGCTTTGTTCATTTCTTTTTACTCTTTTTTCTCTAACCTTGTCTTCTGGCTTTATTTCATTAATTTGATCTTCAATCACTGATACCCTTTCTGCCACTTGATCGAATCAGCTATTGAAGCTTGTACATGATTCACAAAGTTCTTGTGCCATGGTTTTCAGCTCCATCAGGTCATTTAAGGTCTTCTCTACACTGTTTATTCCAGTTAGTCATTCATCGAATCTTTTTTCAAGGTTTTTAGCTTCCTTGTGATGGGCTCGAACATCCTCCTTTAACTCTGAGAAGTTTGTTATTACTGACCTTCTGAATCCTACTTCTGTCAATCATCAAAGTTATTCCCCATCCAGCTTTGTTCCATTGCTGGCGAGGAGCTGCGATCCTTTGGAAGAGAAGAGGTGCTCTGATTTTTAGAATTTTCAGCTTTTCTGCTCTGTTTTCTCCCCATCTTTGTGTTTTTATCTACCTTTGGTCTTTGATGTTAGTGACCTACAAATGGGGTTTTGGTGTAGATGACCTTTTTGTTGATGTTGATGCTATTCCTTTTTGTTTGTTAGTTTTCCTTCTAACAGTCAGGTCCCTCAGCTGCAGATCTGTTGGAGTTTGCTGGAGTTCCACTCTAGACCCTGTTTCACTGGGTATCACCAGCGGAGGCTGCAGAACAGCAATTATTGCAGAACAGCAAATATTGCTGCCTGATCCTTCCTCTGGAAGCTTTGTCCCAGAGGGGCAGCCGCCTATATGAGGTGTCTGTTGGCCCCTACTGGGAGATGTCTCCCAGTTAGGCTACATGGGGGTCAGGGACCCACTTGTGGAGGCAGTCTGTCCGTTCTCAGAGCTTAAACGCCATGCTGGGAGAACCACTGCTCTCTTCAGAGCTTTCAGACGGAGACGTTTAAGTCTGCAGAAGTTATCTGCTGCCTTTTGTTCAGCTATGCCCTGCACAGAGAGGTGGAGTCTAGAGGCAGTAGGCCTTATTGGGCTGCAGTGGGCTCCGCCCAGTTTGAGCTTCCTGGCCGCTTTGTTTACCTACTCAAACCTCAGCAATGGCAGACGCCCCTGCCTCAGCCAGGCTGCCACCTCGCGGATCAATCTCAGACTGTTGCACTAGCAGTGAGCAAGGCTTCATGGGCATGGGACCCGCCAAGCCAGGCACAAGAGAGAATCACCTTGTCTGCTAGTTGATAAGACCTTTAGGAAAAGCTCAGTATTTGGGTGAGAGTGCCCCATTTTTTCAGGTAGTCTGTCATGGCTTCCCTTGGCTAGGAAAGGGAAATCCCCTGACCCCTTGCATTCCCAGGTGAGGCAACACCCGGCCCTGCTTCAGCTCGCCCTCTGTGGGCTGCACCCACTGTCCAACCAGTCCCAGTGGGATGAACCAGGTACCTCAGTTGGAAATGAAGAAGTCACCTGTCTTCTGCATTGATCACGATGGGAGCTGCAGACCAGAGCTGTTCCTATTCGGCCATCTTGCCAGAATCTCTTACAGCACTAAATGCCCACATCAAAAAGTTAGAAAGATCTCAAATTAACAACATAGCATCATGTCTAGAAGAACTAGAAAAACAAGAGCAAACCAACACTAAAGCTAGCAGAAGACGAAAAATAACAAAAATCAGAGCTGAACTGAGGGAAATTGGGATGTGAAAAACCACACAAAAGATAAAGAAACCCAGGAATTTGTTTTTTGAAAGATCAAATACAATTGATAGACCACTGTCTAGACTAGTAAAGAGATAAAATCCAAATAAACACAATCAGAAGTGACAAAGGGGCCATTAACACCCTACGAAAATTCAAAGAACCCTCAGTGACTATGAGGATACTATGAACACCTCTGTGTGCACAAACTAGAAAACATAGAAGAAATTGATAAATTCCATTTCTTCTATGGAAGGAATTCTATAAAACATAAAACCTCCCAAGACTGAGCCAAGAAAAAATTGAATCCCTGAACAGACAATAACGATTTCTGAAGTTGAATCAGTAATAAAAATCTTTTTTTTTTTTTTTTTTTTTTGAGACGGAGTCTCGCTCTGTCGCCCAGGCTGGACTGCGGACTGCAGTGGCACAATCTCGGCTCACTGCAAGCTCCGCTTCCCGGGTTCACGCCATTCTCCTGCCTCAGCCTCCCGAGTAACTGGGACTACAGGCACCCGCCACCGCGCCCGGCTAATTTTTTGTATTTTTAGTAGAGACGGGGTTTCACCTTGTTAGCCAGGATGGTCTCGATCTCCTGACCTCATGATCCACCCGCCTCGGCCTCCCAAAGTGCTGGGATTACAGGCGTGAGCCACCGCACCCGGCCATAAAAATCTTACCAACCAGAAAAAGCCCAGGACCAGATGAATTCACAGCTAAATTCTACCAGATGTTTAAAGAAAAGCTGGTACCAGTTCTACTTAAACTATTCCCAAAAATTGAGGAAGTACTCGATTGGGAGGTGACTCGATAGGAAGGTACCCCTCCCTAACTCATTCTATGAAGTATCATCATTTTGATACCAAAAACTGACAGAGACACACCAAAAAAAGATTACTTTAGGCCAATATCCCTGATGAACATAGATGCAAAAATCCTAAACAAAATACTAGCAAACTGAATTCAGCAGCACATCAAAAAGCTAATCCACCATGATCGAGCAGGCTGTATCCCTGGGATGCAAACTTGGTTCAATATACACAAATCAATAAGTGTGATTCATCACATAGAACTAAAAACAAAAACCACATGATCATGTCAGTAGACACATAAAAGGCTTTTTTAAAAATTCAACATCCCTTCATTTTAAAAACCTTTAACAAACTAGACATTGAAGCAGCATACCTCAAAATAATAAGAGCCATCTATGACAGACCCACAGCCAGCATTATACTGAATGATCAAACGCTTTCTAGCTTCTGCATTTCCTTTGAGAACCAGAACAAGACAAGGATACCCACTCTCTCACCATTCCTATTTGACATAGTACCAGAAGTCCTAGCCAGAGAAATCAGGCAAGAGAAAGAAAAAAAAAGAATCTAAATAGGAAGAGAAGAAGTCAAACTATTTCTGTTTGCAAACAATATAATTCTATACCTAGAAAACCTCATACTCTTTGCCCAAAAGCCCCTAGATGTAATCAACAACTTCAGCAAAGTTTTAGGGTACAAAATCAATGTACAGAAATCAGTAGCATTTCTATACACCAACAAAATCCAACCTGAGAGCCAAATCCCAAAGAATGCAACCCCATTCATAATAGTCACAAAAAGAATAAAACACCTTCCAGTACAACTAATCAGAGAGATAAAAGGTCTCTACTATGAAAATTACAAAACACTGCTGGAATCAATAGCAAAGACATGGAATCAACCTAGATTCCCATCAACGATAGACTGGATAAAGAAAATGTGGTACACAGACACCATAGAATACTATGCAGCCATAAAATAGAATGAGATCATGGTCTTTGCAGCAACGTGTATAGAGCTAGAGGCCAGTATCCTAAGTGAACTAATGCAGGAACAGAAAACCAAATACTGCATGTTCTCACTTGTAAGTGGAAGCTAAACATTGAGTTCACATGGACACAGAGTAGGGAACAACAGACACTGGGATGTACTTGAGAGAGTGGGAGGAGGATGAGGATTAAAAAACCATCTGCCACATACTATGCTTATTACCTGGGTGACAAAATAATCTGTACACAAAACCCCTGTGACATGCAATTTACCTATATGACAAACCTGTACATGTACCCCTGAACCTAAAATAAAAGTTAAAATAACAACCCAGGAACCGCAACAAAATGTTGCTACAAGTATCTGTATGGATAAATCTCAAAAACATGTTGCATGAAAAAGCAAGTTGCAAAATCATATACTTATTGTATCCACTGTTAGTCAACTAATTTAAAACTTATGAAATGCATAACAGCCCTGTATATTATTTATGTATATGTACACATGTGTGAGATAAATGTATGTGTAAAAGCATAAAAACAGAACCTGAATAGTAGTGGTCACCAGTAGAGAGGGAGGGAGAGATAAATAGGATCATGGAATGATACCAGAGGGCTTCAACAGTACCTGTAATGTGTTATTCATGTAAAAGAAAGGAATTAATGAAATAAGCCAAAACATTAAGATTTTGTTAAAGCTGGGTGGGCTGCAGTTTCCTTCCACTCCTCTGGTTGCCTTGCAGGAGTACTTTTCCATACACATGCCTCATTTTTCACCACACCCCTTTGTTCTCCCTCTGAAGTAGAGAAAGTACCCCAGTTAATGCGTTTGGAGAGGAACTGAGCATTCCCATCTTAGCCCCATTCTCCTACTTTCTGGTGTCTTCCCTTCTGCAAATGGCTTGTGCTCTGGTCTGCTGTTGGCTACAAGGTGAGTGTAGTGTTGGAAACCCAGGAAAACTGTCCAGGTAGCTATGGTTGCTTAATTCTGGGATAAAGGGTTGTGAAGCTAATTGTCAATCCACACCCAAACCATGTTTTCCACACTTACCAGAAATAAGTGGCTATTTAGATCTGCCTGTCTTTATGTCCCTTATTTGGTTTTTAGAACTTGGAAAGGAAGGTATGTTATGTGTTGCTATGCACACTTAAGCCATATCCTCCAACACAGACTTTATTGGTTGATACAGTTTTGCTCTGTGTTCCCACCCAAATCTTACGTTGAATTATAATCCCCATAATTCCCACATGTCAAGGGTGGGACCAGGTGGAGGTAATTGAATCATGGAAGTGGTTAACCCATGCTGTTCTCATGATAATGACGAGTCTCACAGGATTTGATGGTTTTATAACTGTCTAGCATTTCCTCTGCTTGCACTTCTCCTTCCTCCTGCCTTGTGAAGAAGGTGCCTCACTTCCCCTTCACTTTCTGCCATGATTATAAATTTCCTGAGGCCTACCCTGCCATGCTGAACTGTAAGTCAATTAAACCACTTTTTTTAAAATAAATTATCCAGTCTCAGGTATGTCTTTATTAGCAACATGAGAATGGACTAATACAGTGAATTGGTACCAAGGTAGTGAGGCACTGCTGTAAAGATACCTGAAAATGTGGAGTGACCTTGGGACTGGGTAATAGGCAGAGGTTGGAACAGTTTGGAGGGCTCTGAAGAAGACAGGAAAATGTGGGAAAGTTTGGAGTTTCCTAGAGACTTGGAGGGCTCAGAAGACAGAAAGATTTGGGAAAGTTTGGAACTTCCTAGAGACTTGTTGAATGGCTTTGACCAAAATGCTGATAGTGATATGGACAATGAAGTCCAGGCTGAGGTGGTCTTAGATGGAAATGAGGAACTTACTGGGAATTGGAGTAAAGGTCATTCTTGCTATGCTTTAACAAAGAGACTGGTGGCATTTTGTCCCTGCCCTAGAGATCCGTGGAACTTTGAACTTGAGAGAGATGATTTAGGGTATCTGGCAGAAAAAATGTTGAAGAGGCAAGGCATTCAAGATGAAGCAGATCATAAAAGTTTGGAAAATTTGTGGCCTGGCAATGTGATAGAAAATAAAAACCCATTTTCTGAGGAGAAATTCAAGCTGACTACCGCTGCAGAAGTTTGCATAAGTAATGAGGATCTGAATGTTAGTCACTAAGACAATGGGGAAAATGTCTCCAGGGCACGTCAGAGACCTTCATGGCAGTCTCTCCCATCACAGGCCTGAGATCTAAGAGGGAAAAATGGTTTCATGGGCTGGGCCCACAGCCTGCCTGCTCTGTGCAGCCTCAGGACATGGTGCCCTGCATCCCAGCTGCTTCTGCTCCAGGCTGTGGCTGAAAGGGGCCAAGGTATTGCTCAGCCTTTGCTTCACAGGGTGCAAGCTGCAAGCCTTCCATGTGGTGTTGAGCCTGCAGGTGCAAAGAAGTCAAGAATGGAGGTTTGGGAACCTCCACCTAGATTTCAGAGGATGTATGGAAATGCCTGGATATCCAGACAGAAGTTTACTGCAGGAGTGGAGCCCTCATAGAGAACCTCTGCTAGGGCAGTGTGGAATGGAAATGTGGTGTCAGAGTCCCCCCCCAAACACACACACACAGAGTCCCCACTGGGCCACTGCCTAGTGGAGCTGTGAGAAAAGGGCCACCATCATCCAGACCCCAGAATGGTAGATCCACCAACAGCTTGCACCATGCACCTGGAAAAGCCACAGACACTCAATGCCAGCATGTGAAAGCAGCCATGAGGTGGACTGTACCCTGCAAAGCCACAGAGATGGAGTTGCCCAAAGCCATGGGAGGCCACCTTTTGCATCAGTGTGACCTGGATGTGAGACATGGAGTCAAAAGAGATCATTTTGGAACTTTAAGGTTTAATGACTGCCCTATTGGATTTTGGACTTGCATGGGGCCTGTAGCCCCTTTGTTTTGGCTGATTTCTCCTATTTGGAATGGGTATATATACCCCTTGCCTGTACCCCAATTGTATCTAGAAAGTAACTAACTTGCTTTTGATTTTACAGGCTCATAGGAGGAAGGGACTTGCCTTGTCTCAGCTGAGACTTTGGACTTGGACTTTTGGGTTAATACTGGAATGAGTTAAGATTTTGGGGGACTGTTGGAAAGGCATGGTTGTGTTTTTGAATGTGAGGACATGAGATCTGGGAGGGGCCAAGGGTAGAATGATATGGTTTGGCTCTGTGTCCCCACCTAAATCTCACCTTGAATTGTAATCCCCATGATCCCCACATGTCAAAGGCTGGGACCAGGTGGAGGTAATTGAATCATGGGGGTGGTTTCCCCCATGCTGTTCTCATGATAATGAATGAGTTCTCACGAGATCCGATGCTTTTGTAAGTGTCTGGCATTTCCCCTGCTTGCATTTCTCCTTCTTGCCACCTTGTGAAGGTGTCTCTCTTCCCCTTTACCTTCCTCCATGATTGCAAATTTCCTGAGGCCTCCCCAGCCATGCTGAACTGTAAGTCAATTAAACCTCTTTCCCTTATAAATGACCCAGTCTTGGGTATGTCTTTATTAGCAGCCTGAGAACAAACTAATACATTTGTTCTACAGTAGATTTTATTTCCATCTGCCTGACTTCTTTGTCTTTCTCAATTGAATCAGAACTTGGGTTAGGAGGATTTATTGGCCCCCTCAAACTTCAACAGTAAATACAAAGATGTTTGTTATGTTATCCTCTATATGTTTTTTGTAATGAAAAATATTTTTTAAAACATATATATAAAGATTATATATAATTTTGGATACATATGGATACATATATGTATGTGTATGTATGTATTATATAGGTAAAATATATTATTTATGTATATATACATGTATACTATTATGTGTAAATTTTATATATATGCTGCGGATATATGTGTTTCTGTGTGTGCATATACACACCTCTAAATAGTTGACTTTTTGTGAGAATAGTTTCTCACAATTACTTAAAAATCAAGTAGTAATAGTTACTGGAGTAGAAGGACCTGGCTGAACAAGTGCCACGTTTAAAGCAAAGTCAGAAATTCCATGATAAGGAAATAAGCAACTTTGTTTTTTCTGCTCACATCAATAAAATAAAAAGAGCACTCTGGAAGCAAAAATACCCATGTTTTGAGCCAACACGGAATAACTTTGTATCATCTCCATTGGAAAATATAAATGAAATGGAAAATGGGTTTTATAGGTAAAGATTTTAGTTTTTTAATATATATCAGAATCATGAAGTGTAAGAATTAGTAAAACAGGTATAAGAAGAGATGCCTGGTTAAAATAACACTATCCTGGTTAAACCTACTGAACTTGTAATTCCTTCAAGTTTTCTAACTCCTTCCCTTCAATTCTCCTACTTTGTTCTTTTCCTTTTAAACACATTTCTATACTTTCAGGACAAGGGCTTGCCCTGCAGAAAAGAAGAAGCTGAGGTGAAATTAGAAGGTTTAATCAAAGCTTTTCTAGACAGCATGAACAATCAGCAAACATTGAATTGGACAAAATGAAATGCCATTTAAATGGAAACAGCCAGAGCTTGCAGTTTTCCCCAACAAAGAGCATGATTCCAAAACTTACTGCTCTTTGTCTCTTGACCACATACATTTTCCAGCATTAAATGTGAGGGAAATTTGGGTTGCTGGCAGAAGGGAGGTTGTGAGGGTTGGGGGCTGAGTAGGGAAGAGTCACACAACATTGCTTCCTGGTTGCTGCACAGAATGCAAGTCATTATTTTTCAGTGACAGTACCCAGAGACTATTTGAATTTGTAGAGGTACTGCTCTCTGAGTCTTTTTTTTTTTTGGCACTGGTTTTCCGTTCTTAGAAATTGGCTCATACTTCACTCTGTAGACACATCCCAATGTGTCATTTTTAACCGCTATGGGAGAAACAAAATGTGCTTCTGACTTTGGAAAGGAGGTCAGAGAAGAAAGAGCATGTGTCAGAAGGACTTCTATGTCTAGATGAAAAAATAAGCATAAACTGGTTTCTTTCCCAGCAGTCTGGCATGTTACGTTATATTCTCGGCACTGTAGCTTTATTAATTATGACTCATGGATAAGCATTTGTCAATTAAAAATGCTGAAATGTGATCGGTTAAGCTGGCCCAATTATATTGCTTCTACAATTGATTATTTTCAAATAACTCCCCAAATTTTATAGCCACTAATTGGAAATGCAATAAGAATATACGAAATGTCAGATTATTTCAATAAGTCCACAACTTCTTTTTACGGAGCTGAATTTAAAGTAATACATTAATATCCTTCCTTTTAGACTGTAATTCATTAAAATAGATAGTAATCTTTACTCCTGAAAAGATAGGATATTGTGGTTTTAAGGGTTTTTTTGTTTTTAGTTTTGTTTTTGCTTAAATGAACTTAAACTCGCATTTGCTCATTTCTCATTTAAATGTATTTTATACTTATCACCTTTATCAGAGTAGAGCAGGAAACAGGGACTTATCTAAAAATAACATAATAAATGGACTAGATATAGCTGTGTGGGCAGGGTTAAAGGAAGCAAGAAGAAATAGTGAGGTACCCAGAGACTAGCAACAGTGAAAGCCATCACCACCCATGCCTGAGCCTGAAGGGACAAAGGGTGGAATGGTGTTTACCACGGCCTCTTGAAAGCTGAGCCATAGAAGAAAGGCTGTTAGATGAGAGCTTCAGCCATGGACAACCTGTCCCCTGTCACAGCAGCAGAACAAGGGCAAAACAGGGATGAAGTAGGAAGAATAAACACCCAGATTTCCTCCTACCCTCCCATCTCTTGCTGGTGCCTCCAGTGCATAAGGAAGTCCAGATGATGCAGTCAATAGAGGTCAGCCTCCCAGATGTGGAGCTAGAGAAGAGCAAAAAGTGGCCTGGGAATATACAGAATAACGAGCACACCATCCTTAGACAGTCACATCCATCCACACATCCATTCACATTTCAGTTCATACCAGAGATCATTGCTAATGTTATATAGAACATAATAAACATAAATCCCATTTCTCACTCATTCTAAACATTACATTTCAGGTACACAGTACATCCCATCATCATACATTCTGGCCACAACCTACCCTTCCCACATCACTCCTACTAACAATTTTGAACTTTATTCTCTAGGTAGTAGACAGTAGAAGTCTTTAAAGAGATTTAGGGTTGCATTGTTGCTTGTTTGTTTGGTTAAGAAAATAAATCTGAAAGATGAAGTCAAGTGCGAAGACACTGGTGGCACGGAGAGTGTTGCTGGCACTCAGGCTGGAGAGATGATGAATGTTTGGACAAAAGTGGGGTCAGAGAGGAGAGAGCAGCACAGCCAGATTCAAGAGTTGCTGCTGGGATAGAGTCTACAGGACTCTATCTTTGGTGACATATTTAAGATGATGAGAGAGGGAAAGCAAAGAATTGAGAATGAAGTGGATGTTTCTGATTTTGGAGGCCAGACCCCTTGTGCCATTCATCAAGATAAAGTAAATAGAGAGGAGCTGCTTTTGGTGAGAGAAGATAATGAATTTAGTCATAGAAATGTTCAGTTTGAGATGTCTGAAGGAAATCTCTGAAGGTAAGTTCAATGGGGAGAATTCTGGTCAAGATGGCTCTCTGTAAGGTTCATCTTTTGAGTACCCCCTCCCATACACACACAAACATAAAAAAGCAACAATTCGATATAAAAAGAAAATGTAAGAGCTACATTTTTGTTTATAAATGATATAAATACCCAAGAGGACAAAAAATGAAAGAAAAACTCAAATCAGTGAGTGGTGAGAGGGATTGAATGCACAAATCTGGAGAGTTGTAGGTATGGAAAGAATGATGACTGGGAGGCCAGCCCCTAAGGATAATGGGGACTGGGGACTAAAATAGTTGTTCCTTGTGAGGATGGGAATGGGAAATAAGAGCCAAACTCTATTTCTGAAACCAGGGAACAAGGTGGGACTCCTCACAGCCCAAAAGGTGGCTGTACAAAGATCTGCTGCTAATTCTTGTCTGGGGCTTCAGGAGAGAGCAGACAGTCTCAGTACCAGAAAATAAACTAAATTTTCCACTGACTCAGTGATTAATATGGGGATGTCCCCAGTGTAGGTACAAATTTAAGTCTTAGTTTTGGATTTGGATCCCTGAGGGGTTGTCTGAAGTCAACTACAAACCATCAGGAAGGAAGCTGAGGTTAGAAACGATAAATAAACCTTTTGTTTTGTTTTGTTTTGTTTTGTTTTATCTCCTCCTCAAAAGACCCTGAAAACACAAATTCTGAAACAGAAATCTATGCTAAGAAAAACAGATGTAAGAGTAGAATGAGAACGTGAATTGATTCTGAATGCTACTGATTTAATAATCTGGATCAGTAAAGACTTTGAAATACCAACACATGCCCACTAAAATGACAAAGACAACACTAAGAGTTGACAAAGGTCAAGTAACTGATGAAAGGGTGTAAACTAGTTGACCACTTTGGAAAACTTTTTGGAAATATATACAAATGCTGAATATATGCATACCCTATAGCCTAGTAATTTCAATCGTATACCTACCAGAAATGGAGTACTGTACATATATATACCAACGGCATTTATAAGAATGGTCACAGCATCACTATTCATAAGAGTTGAAAACTGGAAGCAGTATAAATGTCCAACAACTGTAGAATGGATTTTTAAAATGTGATATATGTACTGTACAACATGGAATATTGCACAGTAATGAGAAAAAATGAACTGCAACTATATGCAACAACATGAATAAATCTCACAAACATAATATCGAGTAAAAGGCACATACTTGCAGTCAACATGAAAAGAAAAACATTATCTATTACATGAGTTACAATCTTCAAAAGATAAGGGCAGGGGCAGCAGAGAGCAAATTTTCCAGAAATGTAATTGTTCTTGCTACTTCAAGATAATTTTCTTTTCCAAATTTTCTTACAGAGAAGCCCGTGCAATATAGTAAATGATGTATAAATAACCATGAGCTATATGAGAGACATATGATAAGGCAATATTGTAGCATCTCATAGTCCACTGATGACCTGCCAAAAAAGCCCATTTCAGAAAAAGAATGGCTTTTATGGACTCTCAAAACAAGAATGTGAGATCATAGTAATGACAAAAGTCTACAGAATTTTCTTAGAAAATCTAAAGTTTTTTTTAGCATTTCCATCTTACTTCAAACACAACACTACAACTATTAAGCATGATAACATAATTTTCTGTGTATATCCAAAAAGTATGTTCAACAGATAGTTAAAGGTCGTGGGGGAATGTCAGTAGATGTCCCTCTTCTACAGCTTGTTTCAAGTTTTACTTTTAAAACATACACAAGAGCACTAAGTGGCCAAGGGTTAATTATATTTACATTTTATCCATTCTTGTGCCCAGCCTGTTTCTTGTGCTCCCTGCTGTCTCTCTGGGTTCACTATGCTAGATTGTCACAAATCATTCCTTAGAAGCAGAGTGCAGGCTTTAAAGTCAGTCCTGGGTTCAAATCTCCTCATCCTTTTATTGGCTGCGTGGCCTTGGACAAGTTACTTAATCTTTCTCATGAGATAGTTTTCTTCACTCTGCAATGGGAATAGTATTACTTAACAAGGCTTTTGCCCACTGGCACACAGTAGGTTTTTCATTAGTGCCTGTGTCACATTTTAAAATCTCATTAGCCTGCATCTCATTTTAATATCTCATTGATTTTTTTTCCTTTGAGGAAAGATTTGATACTTTTTAAATTGATAAAATCCATTCACGGAGAAGTCTTGTAACATGGTGAGTGATTAAACTGAGTAATACTGTCTAGGATTTTTTAAAATGAGGTGTTAAGAGGCTTGTTTTCTCATATACCTTGTGTACTGATGCTGAGAGCAATTTCATAAGAAATTTCAAAAATGCTTTAGCAGTGATTAGTGCTTGTGGTGTTATTGTATAATCTCCTGAGGTGGCTTCACCATGTGGTGTGTAAATTCTGATTTATTACTCTACATCATGTATTTCCTACCATTTGCCTATACCTTATAAGCACATAAGCATATTTATATATATCTTATAAGCATCCCACTTCTTTCTTTCTCTTGCCAAATATTTTTCCTAGTGGATTTCTGTTTGACATTGTACTTTTTTCCCCTAGCCCGGAAAAGCCACTATACTACTAAACCCAAGAGACAGAGATAGAGCAGCTTTGTGCTCCTAGACTCAGAGTCGAAAAGTGTGGGTGGAGGAAAGGGAGGTCAGAAAATAGGTTGTTATTTCCATTGCTGGCAATTTAGATTCAGAGGCATTTCATCTGCAGTTCCCTGAAGTGTTGAATTGAATAAAAGTAGTAGCAGAAACAGTGAAAAGGGTGGTTGGGGGAGGGGCTGTGAACACTTGCAGCTAAAAGCAAAGAGACAGGCAGCTTGTAAGCGTTCATCCTCAGCTTGGAATAAAAACCGCAAGAAGCCTGAGAGCCAGCCTTTATTGAAACAAGATGGTGCCATAGTGAAACAAAACACAGACTGAAATCCATCTACACTAGCAGAATAGTGTGATTACTGTGTGTGTGTGCTCCAACGACCAGGGTGGGCTGTGTCGATGACTATGTGAATGAGAGGAAGAATAAAACACTACTACATTTGCATCCTACCTAACGTGAATGATTTTATAATAGACATGTTTCACATGCACCTTTACTAGGAATCAATGTGTCCGCAGAGATTTACTCTGTACATTACATTTGATTTAACCAGCATTCACATTTGCATTGAGCTAAGCACTACAGAATACAGATTGTGTACAGGAAGTTCGTTGTTTACAAAGACATGATATCCCAAATTTCCTGTTTAGCCATTTTAAGCCAGTTTTCCTTAGAAATATTGTTACACATTATGGTAAGCACCATAAACTAGCCTTCAATATTCTTTTAAATAAGTAATATTCCTAAAGGGTAAGACAAATACAGGGAAAATGAATAGAAAATAATGCTAAAGGAAAACTAGCAATTTAGGAAAAAAAATCGGATACTGATTTATTTATCCTGTTTGCCTGCAATACTGAGAGAAATTAATGGCTTAATTAGGAAAATGAGGAAAAAGACAAAGATGTAAACGTATAAAGGACATTTTGATGTGTTTCAAGGATTGTAGAAGCTTGTAATACTGATCCTTTATTGTACCTAATTTACCTAAAAAAATAAGACTTTTCATTGGTATAGATTTCAGAGTTATATAATAGATATTGACTAAGCTCATTCTACACAAAAGGCACTGCATTATGTGCTATAAGAGATACAAGAACTGTTAAAGACGAGAAACCCTTCCTCAAGGTGCTGACAGTTTAGTTGTGGAGATAAAATATACGTGGTACAAATGTGTATATAATCAATACCATGTACAGAAATATAGACTAAGATAGAGATGTAACATGGATAAGTGGGAGAAGCATGAACCTCGAAGTCATACAGCCTTCGTTTTTATTATAGACTCCACTGCCTAACTTGCTAAATAGCCATGACAAGATTTCTTAATTTCTTGGAGCTTTGGTTTTCTTACCTGTGAAATGAGGATAGCAGTATGTACCTTATGAAATTATTGTGAAGATTAAATAAAATAATATTAAATAGTTGACATGAGGGGTAAAAATAATTGCTCTATGCTTATTTTATTTTATGTTTTTGTTTTTTAACCAGCACCTACGCACTGTCTCTCTCTTTCTCTCTCTCTCTCTCTCTCTCATAGATAGAAATCTGAGAGAGATAGATAAGGTCTCACCACATTGCCCAGGCTGGTCTCGAATTACTGGGCTCAAGAGAGCTTCCTGCCTTGGCCTCCCAAAGTGCTGGAATTACAGGCATGAGCAACCATGCCCAGCCCTAATCCCTTCTGATAACTGGGGAATTCTTTTCCTCATAAGTCTTGTAGGAAACACCACTCATTTTCCAAGTCTGTTTCCAGCTTGACATGACCAATCAGCCCTTTTAACTATCAGCAATATTCTTATACTTCTGTCTTGATGTTTCAACTCTAGCTGGTACCAAATAGATTCCATAATAATAAAGGCTGAGGTTCTTTGTACACTTAACATTAATTTCTGTCTTCTTATGCACATCTCCTTCCCTACCCTCAATATTCATTAGCTATGTATTTTAAATTCATGTAGTGGTTGCCTTCATGATTTTAAATGACATATTTTTAAAAAACCTATTACTTGATTTCTTATCCTTTGAAAACATTTTTTAAATATTATAGAAATAGTGCCCCACCTTTCACTTCTCTCCATCTGCCACCAAATTTTTGGTAGTTACATTATTTTTATTTTTTCAATATTTACAACATTTATAATATTTTCTATATAAATCTTACATGCACTGTCCATAGGATGATTCTAAACACTCAAGATAAAATGCAGCTTTTTAAAAAACGTTTAAGTTGAGGGGTACATGTGCAGGCTGTGGTATTTGGTTTTCTGTTCCTGCACTAGTTTGCTAAGGATAATGGCCTCCAGCTTCATCCATGTTCCTGCAAATGACATGATCTCATTCTTCTTTGTGGCTGCATAGTATTCCATGGTGTATATGTACTACATTTTCTTTATCCGATCTATCACTGATGGGAATTTAGGTTGGTTCCATGTCTTTGCTATTGTGAATAATGCTGCAGTGAACATACTCATGCATGTGTCTTTCTAATAGAATGATTTATAACCCTTTGGGTATATACCAGTAATGGAATTACTGGAGCAAATGGTATTTATGTCTTTAGGTCTTTGAGGAACTGCCACACTGTCTTCCACTATGGTTGAACTAATTTACACTCCCAGCAACTGTGTAAAAGCATTCCTTTTTCTCCACAATCTTGCCAACATCTGTTATTTTTTGACTTTTTAATAATAGGCATTCTGACTGGTGTGAAATGGTATCTCATTGTGGTTGTGATTTGCATTTCTCTAGTGAT
Organism: Homo sapiens; assembly: GCF_000001405.40. Lineage (NCBI taxonomy): Eukaryota > Metazoa > Chordata > Mammalia > Primates > Hominidae > Homo > Homo sapiens. Next base: position 72,310,522 of record NC_000016.10, on the reverse strand, counting down.
CAGTGATGCTGAGGTTTTTTTTCATCTGATTGTTGGCCGCATGTATGTCATCTTTTGAAAAATGTCTGTTCATGTCCTTTGCCCACTTTTTAATGGGGTTATTTGTTGTTTTTCTTGTACATTTGTTTCAGTTCCTGATAGACACTGGATATTATACCTTTGTCAGCTGCATAGTTCACAAAAATTTTCTCCCATTCTGTAGGTTGTCTGTTTACTCTGTTGGTAGTTTCCTTTGCAGTACAGAGGCTCTTTAGTTTAATCATTTTCCATTTGTCAATTTTTGCTTTTGTGGCAATTGCTTTTGGCATCTTCATCGTGAAATCTTTGCCCATGCCTATGTCCTGAATGGTATTGCCTAGGTTGTCTTCCAGGGTTTTTATCGTTTTGGGTTTTATATTTAAGTCTTTAATCCATCTTGAGTTAATTTTTGTATGTGGTGTAAGGAAGGAGTCCAGTTTCAATATTCTTAAAATGCAGCTTTTACATTACGATTGTATAGTCACAATAGAACCATATCAGAACGATTGAACCCATACAGAAACAAATGTAATCCTAGATCATTAAAAGGTTGCCATTTGAAGGAAAGTACCCCCCAAGCCCCAGGATCTCCACTCAGTTCTCATTAAATATATTTCTAGCTTCCTTTACTTCTTTTACTTGGCCACCACTATTTTTATATTCTATATAATCTTCTTTGGGTTATTTGTCATTTATTCAAAATAATCTACTTAAGTACTTTTTTATATGAATATGTGGATGATAAACTTTCTGATCACTTACACATGCAAAATTTGGTTAATTCTTCACTCATATTTAATTGATAGTTTAACTAAATATGTTACTGGCTAGGTCCAGGTCCATTTTGCCCAAGTGCAGTAAATCAATCACTGTGACATGGGTTTTGCAAAAGAGAAGAGATTTATTCATAAGGCCACCAAGTGAGGAGGCAGGAGAACAGCTCTCAAATCTGCCTCTCTGGAGATAAGGCTTAGAGATATTTATGGGTTAGGGAGGTGAGGTGGTGTAAGGCATGGCGAAAGGTGATTGGTGATGGGGAAAATGAAGTAACAGGTTAATTCTTTGCAAGTGCAGCTGGGTTCATAGCATTTTATAGGACATATGTACGGAAAATGGCAGCATTAGCATGATCTGAGGGTGAAATACCTGATGTCAGAAGGCCACTTCTCAGGCACTTGCACAGGCCTAGTGAAAGAATTCATGGTCTCAGCTGGTTTGAACTAGACAGGAGCGGGGCCAAATTCCTTAAAAACAACTGAAGCAACCATTACCATGGTGACCTGTGAATGTTATCTATAAAGTAGCCAGTGAAGGCTAAGTTTCAGGGTTCAGCGGTGAGGTCTTCAGCCACTACCACACTCAAGTTCATGGAAACAAGAAAAAAAGATAACAAAAAGCAAACAACCGAAAGCAAACAGGGCAGACAGACCTATTCAAATTCACCCCTTGGTTTCAAATATTGTACAGATTTTTCTTTTCTTCCTAAGAACTTTGAAGGCATTGCCTCAAGGTCTACTAACATCCTGTATTGCCAGTGAAAAATTTGGCATCAGTCTGCTTTCTTCTCTATTATAAATAACCTTTCCTCCTTCACTGAAAGCCATTAGGATTTTCTATTAACTCTGGAAGTTCTGAAATTTCATAAGGTTATATCTAGGTGTGAGCCATTTTTCACTTGTTCTCTTTGGTATTCAGTAGTCCCATCCAATCCAAAGGTACATGTCTTTTTAATCATTCAGGGAAAGTGTATTATTATAGCCCATTATATTTGTGATTGTCTACTTTTCTCCATTATATTTATTTCCTCCTTTTGAGACTTCTGTTAAACACATGATAGATTTCCTGATTCTATCCTCCATGTATTTTGACTTTTATTTTAAATGTTCTTTCTGTTCTACATTCTGGGAGATTTCCTTGACTTTATCTTCCAGTTCACCAATGCAGTATTCAGCTATGTCTATTTCATGAGTCAACTCAACCACTGAGTTCTTTATTTTTGAAATTGTATTTTTAGTTTTCTGGAATTCCTTTTTGTTCTTTTACTGTTCCTTTCTTATAGTTTCTTGTCTTATTTAATAAGTACAGTAGCTTCTCAGATTTATATGAAGGTATGATTTAAAATTTATATAAATTTCATTCTTGTTTTCTCAAATAGCTCCGTTTCTCCCATGGTAAGGTCTTCTGTTTATACATTTGGGGATTTGTCCTTCACTTTGTTGATTAACTTCAAATAGCTACTGTTCCTTTAATGTCTATGCATCATATGAATCAGGATCATGGTTTCCTCTGTGGTTAATATATTTGTTTCCTTGGTAGGCCTCATCAGTGAAAAGAAGGACTGACTTCCAGTTCCAGACAAGTGACTGAGTAGATTTTGACAGACAGGCATGGAGCAGGCAGGCTGGCTGGAAACTTCAGTGATTATAAAAGTTAAGGAGCCTTTCTGAAGGTAAAACACTTCTGCATGTACCATTCTTGGGTAGGATTGTCCTTTCTTTTTGTTTCTTCCCTCAAGGTCTTCCATGGAGGAAGGTCAGTCTTGCTCTTCTTCTCTTTTAGACCCCAGCAGCTTCCAAGAAGCCATCCCTAAGCAGATCAACCACTTTCTTTAGAGAGCAGATCTCAGGCTTTGACCAGAAAGCAAAAGCACCTACTAACAAATGCTTGGTTTACTTAGGGAAAAGAGAGAAATCTCCCCAAGCTCAGATGCTGTTTTTTCATAAATCATTCAACTCCTGCTATCTGTAATTGTTCAAAAGATTCTCCACTTATCTCTGAGGCCATGCGGCTATTGTTTACTCATTTTTTGCCAATGTGAGCCTATCCACTGCCTGCCTGCCTGCCTGTCTGTCTATCTATCTATCTATCTATCTATCTATCTATCTATCTATCTATCTACCTATTTTACCTACTTACCTAGCTATTTTTATCTATCTAATTATATATATGGGCATGTATATGTATATACTATAGCTATTAGCTTTGTGTACCTTTTTATTATAAAATATTAGTAAAACGCATACAGAAAACTACATGGAACAAATGTATAGCTTAGTGAATTATTTAAGGCAAACAACCTTATAACCACCACCTCAATCAAGAAGTAGTACTCTACTAGCCACCTAGATGTCCCTCCATGTTTCCCACCACAATTATAGCCCCCTTCCTCCCTCCTGACTCATAGTAGACATTTACATTTCTTTATGTTTTATCACCCAACTACATCTTTAGATTCTACAGTTTAGTCTTCTCCACTTTTTAAACTTGTTGTGTCATTGAAGTCTTTACAGTTTTCCTCTCCATTCCTTTTCTTTTCTTATAATTTATCTGTTAAAGAACCCAGGCTGCCTGACTTGTAGGATTCTCATAGTTTAAATATTGACAATTGCAGACTCGTGATGCAGTTCAACATGTTCCTCTGTCCTCTGTATTTCTGCAACTTGGCAGCTAAATCCAGAGACTTGACCTCTGAAGGTTCAAACCCTTTGACAAGACCATAGGTGAATTGTGTTCTTTCATCAGTAGGCACATAATAACTGTTTTTTTTTTCTTTTCAAATGTTATAACAATTATTAATGCTCAATTCCTAGATCTGTTAATACAGTGGGTATCGCAAAATGGTGATATTATCGATCTATTTCAGTTTCGTATTTTAACTGAACAATTCTATAAAGAGGTGCTTCTCCTTGTCTATTATTTGGCTATCTAGTAGAACAATTTATATAAAAAGAGCAAAATAAATGCTTGATACTTTCTATATTTTTACTCTCTTGTCAAGATAGTTATAATTAGTTCCCTATTGACCAGTTGGTTGTTTTTAACATATATGTAATTATTAGTTTATGGATTTAAACAGTTGATAGATTTCAAATCATTGCAATTCTTGAAGCTCAAAATATCTCATCTTTGCCTGCGAGACAAAATCTCTTCATGTTTGTTCCTTAGTGTTTTGAAATGACCCTAGTAGTCTCTGATAAGCTTCCATGCTGTCTTGTATGTTAAGAAATTCAGACTCATCTTGTGTGTTTCCTGCCTCAAATTTAGAATCAGCTGCAGAAGAATGAAACCAGAACCCCACCTCTCACACTATACAAAAGTCAACTCAAAATAGAAAAAATACCTATATGTAAGACCCCAAACAATAAACTATTAGAAAAAAAATAGGAAAAATGTTTAAGGACACTGGTCTGGGAAAAGATTTTATGAATAAAATTTCAAAAGCACGGGTATCGAAAGCAGAAACAAGGAATGAGATTATGTCAAATTAAAAAGCTCTGCATAGCAAAGGAAACAACAGAGTGAAAAGACAACTACAGACTAGGAGGAAATATTTGCAAACTACTCATCTGACAGGAGATTAATATCCAGAATACATAAGAAACCCAAACATCTCAACAGCAAAAAAACAAGCAATTCAATCAAAAAATGGGCAAATGATCTAAACAGACATTTCTCAAGAGACATAAAAATAGCCAAAAAATATATGAAAAAATGCTCAACATCACTAATCATCAGAGAATTGCAAATCAAAACTACAGTGAGGTATCATCTCACCCCAGTTAGGATTGTTATTATCAAAAGTCAAAAAATAACAAATGCTGGCAAGGATGCAGGGAAAAGGGAGCCCTTACACACTGTTGGTGGGAATGTAAACTGCTACAGCCACTATGGAGAACAGTATAAAAGTTCCTTAAGAAACTACAAATAGAACTACCATGTGATCCCATGGAATCCCACTACTGGGCATTTATTTAGAGGAAAGAAAGTCATTGTACTGAAGGTATATATTGTCCTCCGATGTATAAAGCTGTTTATTGCAGCATTATTCACAATAGCCAAGATGTGAAGTAAACCTAGGTATCCAACAAGAAATAAATGGTTAAAGAAAATGTGGTATATATGCTAATTTATATATATATATATATATATATATGTTGTATATACTATTTTGCCATAAAAAATTGAAATCTCATCATTTGTAGCAACCTAGATGGAACTGGAGGGTATTATGTTAAGTGAAATAAGCCAGGAACAGAAAGTTAAACACCACATGTTCTCACTCATATGTTGAAGCTAAAAAAAGTTGCTCTTATAAAGGTGAAAAGTAGAACAGATGATACTAGAGGCTAGAAAGTGTAGGAAGAAGGGAGAGATGTATTAAAAGATACAAAATTACAACTAAATAAGAGGAATAAGTTCTAGTGTTCTATACTACTGTAGGAAGACTATAATTAACAATAGTATGTGATTTAGATAGCTAGAAGAAAGATATTGAACATTCCCAACACAAAGAAATGATAAATTTTTGAAGCAATAGATACACGAATTACCCTGATCTGATCACTATACATTATATGCATCAAAACATTACTGTGTACCTCATGCATATGTGAAATTATTTGTCGATTAAAAATAATATTTTAAATGGGAAAAAGAATGAAAAGCAAAAAAAAAAAAAAAAAAAAAAAAAGGATGTTTGATATGGTTTGCCTGTGTCCCCACCTAAATCTCATCTTGAATTCCCACGTATTGTGGGAGGGACCCTGTGGGAAGTAATTGAATTATAGGGGCAGGTCTTTCCTGTGTTGTTCTCATGATAGTGAATAAGTCTCACAAGATATGATAGTTTTAAAAGGGGGAGTTTCCCTGCACAAGCTCTCTCTTTGCCTGCTGCCACACATGTAAGATGTGACTTGCTCCTCCTTGCCTTCCACCATGATTGTGAGGCCTCCCCAGCCACACAGAACTGTAAGTCCATTAAATCTCTTTCTTTTGTAATTTTCCCAGTCTCAGATATGTCTTTATCAGCAGCATGAAAACAGACTAGTACAATATTCCAACTTAGGCTGTATGTTTCCCTGCAATAGACCTGGAATCAACCATTTCTCTAAGAAGGCTTGATTTCTGTTAATAGAAAATAGTATTTCAATACCACAGTCTGGGCACTAAAGATTCTTAATGCTACTGGATTAGTCATTATTTCAAGGCTTTTAAAATGGATTGAACTATGAAAATATATATATTATATATATGGATATTTTAAAATATAGCATTTATTTCCTATATTTATGTTTATAAATATTTAATTACATATACTTATATTTATTATATATATGTATCCTATATTTCCTATGTAGCAAGATAAATACATCATAAGTTCATATTGATATCTCCAATTCAAATTCAGGACTACAGGATTAATTTAAATGTTCTGTGTTGCACCTACATCTCTTTTCTTCCACACCAAGAGTTCTGGTTCTCAAGGACATATGGGACGATAGAATTAGAATATCCCATAATTACTCATTTACTTTATACCATATTACATATACAAGTTTGAAATTATCCTTATTCTACCATCAAAAACCATTTTTGATTACTAAAAACAGTTAAATATTTGTGGCATATGTTATCCTTATTTTTCTCTGCCCCTCCCCTATTTTTTAATGATTATACCATCTTTAGATTTTCAGATCACATAGCTGTTATATACTATGAACTCTTTTTTTAATCCGCAGTTAGTTCTACAAGTAACTATTTAATGTTTAATGCCTCTCTAGTAATTTTAGTCTAAAGTTTGTCCTCTAGTAGATCCCTTAGGTAGAGCTTATGGGTACAGTTTCTCTTCCCATCACCTCCACTGTTACTACCCTAGTTCAAGCCACCCATCATTTCTCTCTTGGTGCTGTAATACCCTCCTAACTGATGTCTCTGTTTCCACTTTTGCCTCCCTGTGCTTTTTCCCCACACAGTGGCCAGAATTAGTCCTTTACATTGTCGACCAGAGAATATCATTCTCTACTCAATATCTTCCAATGATTCCTCATCACTATTAGAATAAAATATAAAGTCTTACATGGCCTGCATGGCCCAATACAATATAGCCCCTGGCTACCTCTCTGAATTCATTTTCTGCTACTCTTCTTACTGCATTTCAGCCATGCCACCCTCTTTGCTGTTCCTTAAATATGCCAAGCAGATTCCCATCTTTCAATTTTGGACTTGCTTTTTTTTTAGCCAAGTATATTCCCCTGCCCCACAGATGTTCCCATGGCTCACTCCACTTCAAACAGGTCTGTGCTCAAACGTCACTTCCTCAGAGAAGCCTTCCTTGATTGCCCTGTCTTAAAAAAAACTCCATCAGTCTCTCTCTTCTGATCTTGTTTTATTTTTCTTCATAGCACTCAATTGTTACTTGACATTATAATGTATGTCAATTTATTTATTTGCTCAAGTCTTTCTCTTCTACTGGAATATAAACTCTGGAAGGCAAGGACTTTGTCTCTCTTGCTCACTGCCTTCTAAAGCACTGGGGACCCTAAAGAGAGAACATCCTCAAGGCCAAGAACAGTCCTTAGGACAAAACAAACAAAAACATTACAGACGTTAAGGGTTTCAAGGCAACACTTTGACATATTTGTGGGGCTCTTCCACATAACCACATTTACCTCCAAACCCCTAAAATAAGGGAATAAAATTTGTGATTTTGTTGTTGTTGTTGTTTATACTTGGTCCCATTTTCTGAAATTTTTAGAAAAAAATTTCAAAATTTCAGAAATCCTAACAGTGGAAAAAAAGGTCTGAATTCCTTTCCGAAAATCTGTATTTATTCTTAACTTTCCTAGGTAGTATGGGCATGTATTCCACTCCCACAGCCTTAACTATTTAATCCACAAAAAGAAAAACTTTCAGTGGTCCTAACACAAAGCCAAGTGTCTGTGGTGTGTCTTTGTGTTGATCACAGGATTTGTGAGGGGTTTTTCCCCCCATCTTTACTCTCTTGCCATCAAAGGAGGAACCAATTAAGCTAAATAATAATATTTAAAACCTGACAGCACTCAGGAGGCTGAAATGAAAACCTATATTTGCCATGTGGATGCTTTAGAGCCCATGCTCTTTGTGTGACCATAGATTCACCCCAGGTTGATGCCATGTGCATTACCGGTGCCTGGACACAGCAGAACTAATTATAGACAGAGCTCAAATTTTCTGTGTCTAAATGTCACTCCTTATATTTGTTGATGCAACTTAGAATCCCTCTTCCTGACCCATGCCATATGAGAACAAAAACAGAATAGCCTAGAACACAGTGAATAGTGTGGAATACTCAACTTGTCCTTGTAACTGCCTACACAAAGCTAAAACGGTCTGACATGTGAAGTGTTTGTGCAGAGACCTAGGACTTCTGGGATTTGTACAGAAGAATTAAACAACAAAAGCAGTTTAAAGAATTTATGTATTTTGTTGCTGTGACTTCTCCCTATATTTTCTTCCTTTTTTGACTTTATCTATTTTAGTGTAAGAATAAAAATTTTCAGTCTTTTATAAAGGAAGAAAAAAATATAGCTTTTAATGTGGACCAGATACTGTGCATTGCTTTTATTAAATTAGTCAGAGAGCACAGTATTTTTTCCGTGTATCAAGCAGGAAAATGTACATGCATAGGACTTAGGGTTACATGAATATGTACGTGAATATGTACACGCATAGGACTTAGGAGTACATGAATATTTTCCTGCACACCCTATCATGTGCGTTTATGCCCTAGCACAACCATTTTTGTGAAAGTTTGTGTGTGTGTGAATGTGGCTGTGTGCAAAGGAAAAGGACTTCTGCTCCAGTATTCCAAGCAATTAAACTCCAACAGCACAGGGATGAAGAGGGGGCCCTGATTTTCTTTTCCTTTGCAGTAATTGCCTCAGCATTCATCTTTGATCAGGGAAGAGCAGAGGAGGAGAGTCCTGCAAGTTGAAATCCCCGGTATAAATATATACATTTACATACACAGGGGCAGCGCAACTCTGGAGCTTTTTACTGACGTCTCTGACCTGAAACCGTTGTAGCTCCATTGACACCTCATTTAATTGAATCCTTCCCTAGCAGTGCTGAAGCCAGAGACTTGAAAGGGGGAGGGAAGAGGAAGGATGGGTAATCAAGGCAGACTCTTCTGCCTGAATGTCTAGAAATGACAGGGAAGTAATTGCTTTTGAAAAGCAAAAAACCAGAAATAGCACAATTTGTTCTATTTAGCAAGATGCTAAAACAGGATAAAGATATGGGGATTTTGCCCCCAAATATAGCAAAATCCCTACACTGAGAATGAGACTGATTTGGATTTCTGTGCAAATAGGAATGAAATAGGTTTTTTAAAAGAGGAAGAAAGAAAGAAAATACAATCCTAAAAAAATAAAAATCCAGAGGTTTTCCTGGTTCAAAATGGCCAGAGAAAATAGTAAGATAATTCTGAGCCCAGAGCCACAGCACAGCCCCTTTTGTCAGCTTCAAATCAGTGAGCCAGAGGGTCGAATCAGTTTAACCTGCTTGTGTGACACATCACCCACCCGCCTGACCCAAGAGTGGCCTCATTTTTATGGATGCAGAAGCTCACGGTGTAATTCATTCCCCGGCACACCCCACTCGTTCAATCTGCTGCCTTTGCCACAAAGGTACACTGCATATTCTCTGCCCGCTGAAGGGATGAGTTATCAGTCAGCTTCCTGCTGAATGCAGGAGTTACCCTGCCTTACAGCTGGAGAATAATGTCCCTCACACAGCATCAATCTGGGGTCCAAATCACCCATGCAAATTAGCGCATGTCCACAAACTGAGGGTCTTAAAGTAATCCTTCTGGACCTGGAGGAATCAGCAAGTTTAGGAAAAATAAAACCTAAAGGATGTTCATTTAATAATCTTTGCCTCCTTGTCATCAGCTCTTCATTCTTGATTTTTGGTTATATGTTAATGAGGACACTAGAGCAGGTGCACAGCAGACAGGTGCTTTACCCTTCCATTAGTGCGTGGTAAAATGGCAAACAAAAAAAAATGGCATAGTAACAATACATTACTGGTATATAGAATCTTTACAGAGTACTCACATATGCTGTTACATTTATATGGATCTCTCAACAACCATGTGTAGTAGCAGAAGCAGCAGATTTAAGACCCCTCATACAGATTAGGAAACTGAGGCTCATATAGGTAAATGCTGGCATAAGTCCCCACTGCTGACAAGCAGCAGAGTGGAGAGTCTAACGTACAGCAAGATGGGCCCCAGTTCTGTGCCTCATATTAGAGAGCTCTACTCTGGCCCCACTCTGACTCCATCTCATCCCTTCCCATTGTGTGGGGAGTCCATGGGATCAGGGGGGCAGGGAGCAGGGTGCCCACTCATCACTTACCAACTTCCCTTCCTCTAGACCACATTCCGCTCCTCAGGAATCTAGAAATTCAAGCGTGCCTGCAAGACCTGTACAGGACTCTTCCCTGGGTCCATCCTTTTGGTCTACAACACTAGGCCTGAGGGGTATCCAAGGGGTAACAGTTTGCAGGACTGGGAAATGAATGAATTTTGTATGTGTAGGCAGAGTATCCCCACACATCTGCATGAAATAATTCATAGTGAGAGACAAAGACAGAGGTAGAAAGAGAAGGGGGATGGGTTGGAGTCTGGGACCTGTGAACTAAATACCTACGCTGTCATGGTCTAAAGTCCAAGGGTTCCTAACTAGAATGTGGTTTCTCAGGGTGTAAGGAAGGTATATATTTGTCAGAGTAAGAAGATACAGCATGTTTTATGTTTTTATGTAACCATTTGATTTGTAACTTTTAAATATTTAGATATAGGGAATACAGACCTCCATTTGAGCTCCCACCTCAGGTTCCGTGAATGTTAATGGCAAGCTGGTTGAAGTGGCACTGGGGTACTGGTAGAGACAAGTGAAAATTTGGAAGAAATTGCATAACCTACACTGACATAAATTTTCTGTAGCTCTCCTTAAGGGGCCAATTTATTGGCTTTTATAATATAGAAGTTTCCCCAATAATTCACTGAAGGCTAAGAACCAATATTCCTGATAGTTAAAGGTATTGATGAATCTGATGAGAAAGTAATAACAATTTTATGTTTTCTAAGTGTATTAACACAAGCTGCTGGTTAATTACCTTGCCACGTTCCTAAATAATATTAAAGTGGCCCAAAAAAGTTAGTACCCTGGATTAAAGTGAAACATTTCTTCCAGGCAATTATGAATTCCTCTTCATCAGCAAGATCAGGCTTAAAACTCTGCTGCAGATTCATGACTAAGTTGATTAGCCATCCATTTTCAGCAGAAGAATCCGTTCTGAGAGAGGGCAGCCCAAAGCAGATGAGACAATGCTATGTATATGGCTCCCTGCAGCAGTTTACATCTGGCTTCTACAGAAATGCTCATGCTAACCTAAGGGACATGCCAACTCTCACCTCTTCCATGAAGTTCTCTCTCCTAATACTGAACTTTCATACCACTTTGTATCTCCATAGGGTGGAAATTGTGTTCTTTGATCACCAGCCATTTCACTATCTCTTATCTTTCCTGATAGACTGTAGAAGCCTGGAACCCTACAACTTTCACTTTTGAATCCCCACAGGGTGAAGTGCATATAACAGGCATTCAATGAATATGTAGTGAATGAATAGACAGACGATTTCTACTTTTGTCATTATTTTTTGTACTTAAACAATTTTTTGCCACATTTTTATATGTTCTGCAATATTCTTCATGGCACATCCATGATTTTTTACCAACCACTGAGGAATGCCATTAAAAGCATAGACAAGGCTTTTCTTTTAGCCTTGGGAATAGCCATCAGCTAAAGATATTCCTGTATGTGAACAGGGCAATTTTGTATTAGTTGGTGTAGGGACTGATTGTGTCGCCTACAAAACTCATATGATGAAGCCTTAAGCCCCAATTTAATGGTTCTTGAAAACAGGGCATTTAGGAAGTAATCAGGAGTAGATGAGGTCGTGTGATTGGGACCCTCATTATAGGATTCATGTCCTTATAAAAAAAAGACCTCGGAAAGCTTGCTCTTTCCTGATGCACAGGCATGTACTGAGGAAAGATCATGTGAGGACTCGGTGGAGAAGGCGGCCGTCTGAAAACCAGGATGCTCTCACTGGGAACCAACCCTACTGAACTTTGATCTTGGACTTCTAGCCTCCAGAACTGTGAGAAAATTTCTGTTGTTTAAGCCACCCGGTTTATGATATTTTGCTTATGGTATTTTGCATGAGCAGACTCAGACAGTTGAGAATGCTTTTTGCAGAAAATAACAGAAAACTTAACATCTATTAGTTGAGTATGTAATAAAGACATTTAATCTCAGATAGTAAGATGTTAGAAGGTTGGTAGTTCCAGAGACACAACAATATTATCAGAAACTCAAAACCTTTTCCTCCTTCTGTCGTGTCATCTTCAGTATATTGGCTTTTTGTCCCTGTGCTTTTGCTTTTGGTAATGCTGATGAAGTCTCTAATCAGGAAGGGAAACAAGACATACACAAGCCCAGCCTCGTTTTTAGAAAGCAAACTATTTCCCAGTAAGTCAATAGACTTACACATAAATATCATTGGCAGGGACTCTGTCACATGGTTACCTTAGTTTCAAGGAGCTAGAAAGGTAAGTATCAAACAAAGAGGCATAGATTGCCAAATGGTCCCAGGCCAATTGTGATCCATCCCCTGAGGCTGGACACATTACCATTTGAACAAAGTCTGAGTTTTGTTAGCAAAGAAGAAGAGCTGTAATGGTTGTTGAATGACAAACAAATAGTGTCTGCCACCTCTTCTGTATGTTTAGTTTCAATATTATCAGTGGATATTTCATTCTCTGTCTTAGTCTATTTGGGCTGTTATAACGAGATACCATAAACAGAGTAGCTTATAAACAACAGCAATTTATTTCTCATAATTCTGGAGGCTGGGAAGTCCAAGATCAAAATGTCAGCAGATTCAGTGTCTGGTAAAGGCATGTTTCCTGGTTCATAGGTGGTACCTTCTCACTGTGTCTTCACATAGTGGAAGGGGCAAGGCAGCTCTCTGGGGCCTCTTTTATTAGGTCAATAATCCCATCTGTGAGCGTTCTGCCCTCATGACCTAATCACCTCTCCAAGCCCCCAGCTCCCCACACCATAGCGCTGCTAAGTTTTAACACATGAATTTTAGAGTGACACAAATATTCAGACCATAGAACTGTTTTCCCCGAACACTTCATCTTGAGGTTGTTCTAAACTGAAAGTTCACATTTCATTAGTACCCCTGCTTTACTGTGACAGACATATAGTTTGTCATACATAAAACCCACAAACTCAAGAAAAAAAGAAAGCACCCATGGAAATATATAATTAACATTTTATAAATCATGATGGATTCTGGAAAAAAACTCCAGAGCTCCAAACAAAACCAGCTAAATTAGAATCTCCAGGAATAGGGCCCTACCATTGGTAAAGATTTCCTCGTGATTCTAACATGGAGTCAGGATTGAGAACTACTGCAAGAAGGATTTATAGAAAGCAAAGATACAAGTCATCTCTACTTTTAGCCTCTCTGGAAATCTTTTCCTCACCCATGATTAATTTTCTCATTGTTTCTCAATATTCATATTTGTTTACTCATTAAGATACTGCCTATGTGTGTACTGTGTGCATATAGCTCGGTGTGAGAGGCTGTGGATATTATTAAGGAGATTTTAAACAGCCTATATTTCAAGAATTTTCTGTTCTTTGGAGTAAATGAGTGAAGTATTTGTATTTAAACAAGGTCATGTTTATTAAATACCAAAATGAAAGGCACAGATATTATGGGCTTTAGGAGGTCCCATGAAGGCCAAATAAATGTGGACTGGAACAGTTAGCTAAGGCCCCATATAGGTGTTAGAAAACTTTGGATAGGCAATAGCAAAGGAAAGGCCATACTTGGAAATCACAACATGCTATTTCTAGTGTGTTTGGGATCTGGCTAACTCTATTGGTTCTCTTGGGTAATGGAAGATAAGACTAGAAGTATTGAAGGAACTGATGGTTTTGGAGTTTTGTTGTTTTTCTAGTTTTAATTTTTTTTTAATTTTTGTGGGTATGTAGTAGGTGTGTGTATGTATGGGATATATGGGCTGTTTTGATACAGACATGCAATATGAAATAAGCATGTCATGGGGAATGGGGTATCCATCCCCTAAAGTATTTATCCTTTGTGTTACAAACAATTCAATCATACTCTTTAAGTTATTTTGGAACTGGTGTTTTGATGGTTTGATGTCACAGCTAAAGAAAATGTCAAAGCAGGCCATCAGATCCTAAGTTTGCAGGAAAAAATTCAGTTTGTTGGGGCTAGGGAATGATAATTTGGAGATGTCCAGTAAGTAGTCAGAAATATAGGAGTATGCATGGGACAGAGGTGTGTTTGGGGCATAGAGATAATTGGAGAAGCTTTGAAGGTGGACACAGAGGTAGAAAACTGGAAGCTCAGTTCCCAGGATTCCTCCTGGCTCACCCCCTCCTTGGAGCCAACACTGGGCTTTGTACATACCATAATGTAAGCATCTGACACCACTGTAGTGCAATTATTCATCAGTCAGCAAATATTTATTAATCACCTAATATGTGCCAGGTATAGGTGATGTGGCAGCAAATGATATAAACAGGAGCTAAATTTGGAGAGAGAGTAAGAAATAAGCATGTTCAGGAATGGATAAGTTCAGTGAAAAAAATAAGATGGGATAATGTTTAAGTGCATGAAGTTGGATGTGTCTCTGAGCTAAGGTGGTCAGGGGGCCCTGAATGATGAGAAGGAAACAGCCATGTGAAGATCTGGGGACCAGCATTCCAAGTAGAAGGACTAACGTGTGCAAAGGCCCTGAGAAAGGAATGAGTTGGCACATTCAAGGCACAGAACAAAGGCTAGAGCTTAGAGGCCAAGGGGGAGAACAGAGGGGCATTCACCTATTTCTGTATTGATTTATGTTTTACAAATATTCATGAAGGGGCTACTCTTCTAGGTTCTAAGGTACAGCAGTGAGCAAGCAGAGTTTTTCCCACATGAAGACTGCATAAGGTCACCTGCATAGACAGAGCCTTGGAGACTCTAGTAAGGAATTTAGGTTTTCTTATGGTTGCCATGGTAAGTCTCTGGAGGGTTTTTGTTGTTGGAAACACATGACCCAGTTTGTGTTTTATTTTTTCCCCATCTACTTCTTTTTGCCAGACCCTGAGGCCCTTCAATGAAGAGACTATCTTGCTCACCTTTGAATCCCCCAACTTCTGAGCAAAGGGCCTGTCCCTTGGTAGACACTTAATAAATATTTGTTGATTGAAAGAGCCTGTCATGAATGTCTGCACCCTGAGCCTGAGAAAACTGCTTCAAAAAGAGACACAAAAAGTTTTCAAAAAGTTAAACATAGGATTACCATGTGACCCAGAAATCCCCTTCCTTAGGTATATACCCCAAATAATTGAAAACAGATTTACCAAATATGTGTACACAAATGTTCATAGCAGCACTATTTGCAATGGCCAAAAGGTGGAAACAACCCAGATGCCCATCAATGGAATGAATGGGTAAACAAAATGTAGTACATCTGTTCAATGAACTATTCGGCTATGAAAAAGAAAGAAGTCCCCACAAGCTTGTCCAATATGCAACCTGAAGACCGCATGTGGCCCAGGTTGGCTTTGAATGTGGTCCAACACAAATTCATGAACTTCTTAAAACATTATGAGTTTTTTTGCAATTTTTTTTTAGCTTATCGGCTATCGTTAGGGTTAGTGTATTTTGTGTGTAGCCCAAGACAATTCTTCTTCCAGTGTGGCCCAGGAAAGCCAAAAGATTGGACACCCCTGTTATAATATGGATGAACCTCAAAAGAATCCAGACACCAAGGGTTGCATAGGTATGATTCCATTTACATGAAATATACAGAATAGGCAAATCCATAAAGACAGAAAGTAGATTAGTGGTTGCCAGTGTCTGGGGGGAGGAGGGGGAACAGAGAATAACTGCTTAATAGGTGCAAGGCCTCCTTTGAAGGATGATGAAATGTTTTGGAACTAGATAGAGGTGATAACTGGACAACATTGTGAATGTACTAATGCCCCTAAATTGTACATTAAAATGGTTAATTGTATCTTATGCGAATTTTACCCCAATAAGGGAGAGAGACAGATAGAAGTATCAGTCAATTTAAATCATGGGAGAAGCAAGTATAATTTCCCATACTTGAGAAATTTGACAGAGAAAAGGAAGAGCGATATAGAAGGATAGCAAAGTGGACCATTGGCTCAAGCGAAGGTTTTTTGGGGTAACAGGAAGACTTGTGTCTATTTGAAGGCAAAGAGGAAAGGTGTCAGACTGAGATCCTAGGGAACACACTGAGGTCTTTCCAGGTCTAAGAAGCTGAAGACCTAGACATAACCCTATATGAAGAGATTGGTCATTCACTCTTGTAAAGAATGCTGCAATTAGGATACTTCAAGGAGAAATGTAATTGGGGGGAGCATTAGAAATGATCTAGTCCAGGCTCCCTATTTACTAGTAATGCAGTGAACAGACAGCCCAGTGTTGGAAGTCAAGTCTCCAGACTTATTGGGCATAACAACTATGATTATTTTTACTTTACTAATAGTTTGGGATTATCCACAAAGGCCATTTGCTGTTAAAACTGTATTTTATCCTTCATTTTTTTTGTTTTTGAATTCAACAAATGTGCCTGGCATGTGCTAGGAACTCAGAAGACGAGTATGTTTGACTGGTGAGTTCCACTTACCCTAATTATAGCGCAGGTGTCAATATGTCAGTAACTCCCAAAGCCCAGTAGCCTGATAATGTTGCCGAGAACCTCATGTGCCAAGGATTTATTCATCTTTCTGAGTCTGAGGTCTGATTAGCAAATGAAGTTTGATCTGGATGTATGTGTGGTTATGGGTATGTCTATGTGTAAGAGCTATTTTTAAAATATGTTTATTTATTAAATAGAGAATATATCCTTAGAGTTCAAAAAGCAAAGTACAAAAGGATCACAGTGAAAATCCTGTTTCTACCCACCTTATTCCCTTTCCCAAAGGCAAGGCATGTTGTCAGTTTTTGTGTACTCTTTTAGATATTCCATACATATACGAACAAATACTAATACATGTGTATGCTCCTCTGTCCAATTTTACACAAACAGCACCCTACGCAACCTGTTCTCCACCTTTTTTTTTTTTTCATTTTACAATGTATTCTGTTCATAGATATTAAGACCTTTCTGGACCCCTCCTGTCATTATTTTATTTTCCTGCAATGGTTACAAAGAAAGAATTTCTGTTTAGGAGAATACTCAACGTTTTCATAGCTTCATGATATCCCGTTGTGTGGACAAACCATTGTTAATGTAACCAGCATCCTACTGATGGCCATTTAAGTAGTTTCTAATCTTTTTTCATTACAAAACTGCAATGAGTAGCCTTCTACATGTGCCATTTTACATGCGTGCAGGCATATCTGTAGGATAAATTCATAGAACTGGACTTGCTAGGTAAAAGGGTAGCTGCATGTAATTTTAGTGGGTCTTGGAAAATTGCATTCCATAGAGTTTGTGCCACTTTCCACTTCCACCATTAATGTATGAAATAAACCTATTTTACCACACCTTCACAAGTTCATTGTATTATCAATAGTTTGGGGGTTTTGCAAATATATTAAATACAAAACGGTATCTCAGTGTGGAGTTAATTTGTGTTTCTCTTACTGTGAGTGAGATTGTTTCCTTAATATGATTAAAAGTAATTTTATTTCTTTTCCTATAAACTATTTCCCTGTTTTCCATTAGGTTATTAGACTTTTATATATTGATTTATAGGAGCTTCTTATACATATGTTATAGAAATTAGCCCTTTGTCTGTTATATGAATTATAAATTTTTCCTGGTTTGTCATTTTTCTGTTTACTTATGATGATTTTTTTCATATAGAAATTTGTTTTAGTTTTATGATGATGAATTTATAAATCCTTATGTTTTGACTTCTGGGTTGTGTGTTATATTTAGAAAAGACTTCTATCCAACATTATTTTAAAAAATTCTCTCATTATTTCTTCTAGTAATTTTATGGGCCTATTTGTAGTATTTTTATTTATCTGAATTTATTGTGGAACATTTGATGCATTGTTGGATGTTGTCCCGGCACCATTTTGCCATCATCAAGTGAATGCCATTTGTATTTATTCGTCTAGTACAACTTAAATCAAAATATTGCTGTCAATTTCCAAATGAAATAAATATTGATTGAATTCCTACTATGTGCAAGGCATAATATCATGTTTTCTTTCTAATTTTTTTCTTCAAGAATAAATAGAGACAGGATTTTAAGGCCAGAGATCCAGGAACTTCCTCTGATAGGTTAAAAAAAATCTTTAGCGATAGTCTCTTCATATCAGTAGGAACTGAATAGAGCCATATTCAGTGAGACAATAAGCTAGTCAAAACTGCAAGCAGAGAAAAGAAAACATAAATGATTATTTATAGGTATGAGCTTTCCTTGTAACCAGGGAAGGAAAATGAAATAGATAACAGGAGAGATTGTCAAAGACCACAATATCTATGAACATATGATGCTACAATATGAAGACCATAGCTATGAACACTATGTAAACATTCACTTGAAATAGAGCTTGTGAAATGGAGCTCAAAACGGCTTAGTACTAAGAGATTCTAAAATAAGTCATTATCTTTTAAGTATACTTTCCTTTGGCATGAGAAAGACTATCATAAAGACTATAAACCTTAAATGCTTCATTGAAACAATCATAGGAACCCTATGACTCAGCTATTGATGAACTGTTCCTCCAGACTTCCTTTACCACAGCCTGTAATCACTGGCTGCTCTTCTGCCTAAGAGCTATTATGCTTCTAGCTAGAATTTAATTATCTGATTTTTGGAACATCATTGGAATCCATATCCTAGAAAAGTTTCTAATGAAAACCAAGTTGTACTGTTGCATGGATTCATAATGTGCATGTGTGTGTGATTCATCCATACAGAATGTTACAGAAATATTACTGGAAGGGGAAGAGACAGGAATAAGAGCCAGTGAGTATGAGTCACAGGCAGGGGAGAGAACAAAATGCAAGGAGAAAATATATAGGATCCCTGTTCTTTTAAAGAACACACAGAAACTGAGGATGAACAGGAAGGTGATGTTTACAGTTTCATACTGCCCATCTGTAGTGGGTTGAATAATGTCCCCCCAAAATTCTTGTCCACCCAGAATCTCAGAATGTGATCTTATTTGGTCTTTGCAGATGTAATTGGTTAAGATAAGATCATACTGGATGTGGATGGGTCCTAGATCTGACTGCTGATATCCTTATAAGAAGAAGAAAGGACACGCGGAGACTACAGTGATGTTGCCACAAGCCAAGAAATGCCAAGAATTTCGGGAGCCACCAGAAGATGGAAGAGGCAGGGAAAAATCCTCCCCTAAAGCCTTCAGAGAGAGCATAGCTCTGCCAACACCTTGATTCTGGACATCTAGCCTCTTAAACTGTAAGAAAGCACATTTCTGTTGTTTCAAGCCATCCAGTTTGTGGTAATTTGTTATGACAACCCTAGGAAACAAATACACCACCCTACAGAAACATCATATACCACCCTAAACAAAAGTCTTTCCTCTGTGTATCCTATCTGTCCTTTTCCCAGTGTGACATAAGTGAAAATATCCTCATAAGGTTAGTCTTTGGGCCTTCAGTTTTGCCAGGCCATATTGTGACCTGATACTCACTGGCTATAGTACTGTTAGCACTTTTTAAAATCGGTAAAATGCAGAGAATAATATCTGTATCCTTCATAAAGTTGTTTTTAATCAAGCGCTTTTGAAAGTAGAAAATACTATATTGATATAAACGTAATTATAAATACTGCAACTTCATAAATAGTAAGCTAAAATAGTTACTAGTCCAGACTTTTATTTGTATCAGTTGAATTTCACCCATAGTTACACATAAAAAATAGTATTTATTCTGATTTCCTTACATAAATTATCTATCTTGAGACAACAGGTCAAATACTTTCTTTCCAGGGCAGACCAATTAATAGTAAGTTTTCTTAGTCCTCAGGTGTCTCATTTCTTCTGTCTCAGAAGTCATGGATGTCAATGAAGATATGGAATTCACTTATTCATTCTTATAAATATTACTTAGTGTCCTTGTGCTTGGCACTGTGCTTGGTCATTGAGATCTACTGTTCAAAAGCAAGATAACATACAGGGTAAGGTGATGGGGACTGCCTCTGAGGTGCGTAGTCTCTGAGAAAATGGTATTTGAGCAAACACCTAAAGGACAAGAGGTGGGGTAGACCTTGCTGGGTAGACCTTGACAAAGAGGTGGGATTTTAGTCAAAGTGCAATGGGAAGCCCTTGGAGGGTTTTGAGTGAGGGAGTGGCATTATCTGATTTCAGTGTAAAAGATGGAGCTGGCTGCTGTGGGGAGGGCTGATTGTAAGGTGCAAAGTGGAGGCAGGAAGGCCCTTTAGCAGGCTTCTGGGACATGCTATGATTGATGGTGGCTTGGAACAGGATGGTCTTGGGGTGGTGGGATGTGAATAGACCAGGACACATCTGGAGGAACAACAAGCAGATTCTGTGAATAGGTGGGATGTTAGAGTGGGGAAGAAATAAGTGGGGCTCAGATAACCTGACCTTTTCATCAGCAGCCCTGATTGAAAGCAGCCCCACTGGATACACCAAATTTTGCAAATCGTTATTGTCTCAAGTATCTGTCTCCTACCTGGTAAATCTGCATTCACTGCTGGAAGACAGATGAATGTGGTTGAGCTCAGTTACCTCATTTTGGCTGCTTAGAACAACTTGCTTTGAAGCCATGCAAAGAAAGAAGTTCTGTATTAGCACCTGCTCTTCTTAGGGCTCTGAATGACTTTGTCTCTATTTAAACCTGCTAAGGAGGGCTAAGGGCATTTATCCTATCCCTGGTTTTAATATAAGATGAGAATATTTGGGTCATTTCATTTTTCTTTATCTTTCATCCAAGAAGTGGGGATATTAGTGCCCACTCTGCAGAGGTTTTCTGACAATAAGATGAAATAACATGTGGTCTGGCAGATAGTTGAACTTCAATAAAAGATAATGATGATGGTGATGGTGATAAATGTCTCAAAAGACACAAGTGAATGAAACTGACCTGATTCCAGCTGAGCTTGGAATCATCTAGTTCCATCTAAGTCTCTCCACTACCAAAAACCCTCACTACAACTTTAGCCTGGGTCTGTAAAGAAATATTCTAGCATTTGGTCCATCCAGAGTACCAGCTCAGGCTGACTGGGTAACTCTTAATGTTAGTACATTACTTATTCTCAGTTATTTTGTGAGGCCTGAGAATAATTTTTGAAACAGTAACAAGAAAAACTAGTTTCTGATAAAATAACGAGCCTTCCTTATTTTGAGCTTTCCTTTGATGCTTGCCACCTCCCTCCCATTATGGCTTTTTGCCCACCATTGAAAAGGCCAGTGTCCTCAATTTGTGCCCAGCTGGAAAGAGAACATTGAGCTGAACAGTGCAAAGAAGCAAAGAAATCACACTGAGATGATATTTTCCTTTATGAGACATTGGAACAATCATAACAGAGAGAATGTCTTATGAGCTGATCATCAGTTTTAAATATGGAAAATGTTTCTTGCTTTGGAGCCGTCATTATGCCCTTATATATTTGATGTCACTGACAGAGCAAGTGAGAGATTTGTCCCATATAAATAACATATTTAACAGAAAGAGAGAAAAGAAAAAAGTATGATTGCTTCCTAAATCCTGATATCATACCAGGAGTCCTACACATTTGGGAAGAAGTTGTATTCTTTTTGAGATGGGGGTCTCGCTCTGTTGCCCAGGCTGGAGTACAGTGGCATGATCATAGCTCACAGCAATCTCAACATCCTAGGCTCAAGCACTCCTCCCCTCTCAGCTTCCTGAGTAGATGGGACTACAGAGGTGCACCCCCAAACCCAGGTAATTTTTTTATTTTTTATTTTTTTATTTTTTTTAGAGGTAGAGTCTCACTATGTTGCCTAGGCTGGTCTCAAATTCCTAGCCTCAAGTGATCCTCCCACCTTGGCCTCCCAAAGTGCTGGAGTTACAGGTATGAGCCACCATGCCCAGCCTAAAGTTGCATTCTTGATCTGAATGCATGGTTTTTATCCTCCTCTAGTTTATTCTCTTTTTTTTTTCCACAACGCTTTGCTATTTTTGCATGACACTTTTCTTTATGTCTTTAATCATTTTAAGCATACTTATTTGCAGTTTCTACCAGATTGTTCTGTCACCTGAAGTTCTCAAAGGTATAAATCTGCTATTTGCTTTATCTACATTCACTCTTGGTCTTTAGTTTGTAATGTGTGGGTACATCCTCAACAGGGCTTTATTTACAGGAATTCTAGGTGCCCTCTGTGAAAATGTGGCTCTCCAGAGCATTTTGGGTTTGCTCCTGCCAAATGCCACAGGGATATTCCTGGCCTGAGACTAAGTTTGATTTTAATTTTTCAGCTTAGAGGTTTCTCAATTTGGTAGATAGTAACTATAAATCCCCTTACCTTGTAAAGCATAGTCACAGATTCTCAAAGGACACTTGTTTCCTTCCTATGCACCATGAAAAGACAAGCATTGTTGTGACAATAGATGGATTTTTTGCCCCTTAGGCCATCTTTTTAAGGGTCTAGTTTTATGTGAGGATTCAGTTTCCCCTTGCTAATTTTCATGGACCCTTGTCCCCATGTGAGTACTAAAACCTAATCCCTGTAGTCACTGAGCCTGAGCAGTGCTCCTCAAGGCAGATACACATCCCACAGCTTACTGATTTTGTTTCAGTTCCCTCTTTGGACCTGGCATTTGGGGAGTTTTCTACTTGCAAGCTTAGCCCTATACTTAATGTGTGTTCCATTTTATTCAAAATATCTTAACTTTCTGGTGGAAGGGTTTTTGAGTTATCTGGCATAGCCACCATATGGCTGGAGATAGAACTACCAATTCATTCTTCAGGCTTGCAGCCAAAGAGACCTGTCTAAAATATAAGATTTTGTCACCAGCCTTGCATAAAACTCTTGAATGGCTCCCCATTGATCTTAGGACAGACACTGAAATCTATAATCTATAAGGCCTTGAATGGTTGGGTCCATACCTGTTTCTCCAGTCTCACGTTGCATCATATCCTTCTCATTCTCTGTGTTCTACTCATACTGGGGTTTTTTGGTTTCTGGAATGTACCTTACTCCTCCTTACCATATCAACTTCCCACATTCTGTTCCTTCTTAGTGGAACACCCCTGTGTTCTCTCAGGACTCACCCTTCATATCTCAACATAATTGCATCATGACAGTTGTCTAGGTTGAGTTTCCTCTGGCTCATGTGTTTGTTTCCTCAGATACCTATCCTTTATTATACTTATCACAATTGTGTTTTTACTTTTATTTTTGTAGTTATTTTATTAATGTCTCTTTCACCCACTGGGCTTCAGGCTCTGTGAAGGCAGGGGCTACATCTGTTTTTGCTTTGTGTTTTTGTTAGTCAGTAAAAGTAACATTAGCTTCTACACTCACACTAACATAAACAATCCTAAAATCTCAGCTGTTTAACAACATTAAAATTGGATTCCTTTCACCATAGTCCAAAGTGGATCAGGGCACTCTTCTCCAACTGGATCCCCAAAGACCCAGGTTGCACGCCCATCTTCAGCATGTCACCGTCAAGAGTCACATTGGAAGGGAGGAGAAGGAAGGGCCATGAGGAAGGTTTCTATGAGCCAGGCCAGGCATGCATCTCTCCCACCTACATTCCATTGGCCAGAGCTCAGTCATAAGGCCCCATTGTAAAAGAGCTGGGAAATACAGATTATCTGTGAGCCTGGGAAGAAGAGGAGAAAATGATTATCAGCAGGCATTCAAGTCTCTGCCACACCATCTTATTTTTAGCAAAGAATAGTTCCTGGTAATAGGAAGTTCTTGATAAGCACAAATTGAATGTATCAATGAATAGATGGCTGGCTGGGTGGTTGGGTGGGTGGGTGGGTGGATGGATGGTTTTGCTATCAATGAATGGCTCATTATTCATTTAGTCTGTAAACTCTTTAAATACAATGGCCATAATGACCATATCTTTAAGTATAATGACCATATGTTAAGTATAATGACCATATCTTTAAGTATATTGACCATACCATATTGTTCATTATGATATCCCCACTGCTAGAGAAGTTTTTGGCACAAGTAGAAGCTCACGCAGGAATGAATAATTACCACTGCTTGGGAGATTTCATGAAGGAGATGGAGTGCTAGGGGGTCCTTAAAGAAGGGTATGAAAAGAAATTAGGAGGGCAACTTAAGAAATAAATTTGTAAAGACATGGGATGGATAGGGGAAAAAGTAGAAAAAATGATGAAAGGTTAGTGTTCCTATAGCTGAGGGTAACAAAGGAGGGAATCAATGGCGAGTGTGCCTATAGCTGAGAGTAACAAAGGTGGGAATCAATGGCAAGAATGAAGAACCTTACAGAGGTAATATTTCACCTGGCTAGTGTTATTTGAACACCATGTCTGCTAAGTTGAAAATTCCTTCATTTTCTCTTTCGATGTATGATAGCCTTACACCTAGGAATAAGGTTGTCTCTTCAGTGAAACAACGTCTTTCCCTCTCCCTTCTTGACCCTTACTGACTAAAATGAGTACTATGTGCACAGTAAGTGTGTATTTGGATTGGCCGGAAGTTGGTATTGTGAAAGTCACTTTGCCTCTGACCACGCAGAATGGAAAACCACAGTAGTTCCAGCCCCAGCTGTCAGGCCAGGATTTCGCCCTAGCCCTTTTCCAATCAATAGTTAGAAATGCCTGGTGCCATCAGGAGGGAGCCGCATTTTAAAAAAATGAATAAAGTAGGACAGCCAAAATCTTTACATTCTTTATGCTCTTCTCTGCAGCTTTCTGCCCAGGGATGGAGACTACTCTGATAGCTGCAGATGGGCAGCCTGAAGGTGCCATACTCCCCTGCCCTGAGAAGGGGATCGGGGATACAAAAAGTAGCCAGTCCTACAATACAGGCTTCCGAAATGCACTATCGGAGTTAGTGACAAGGGAGCCGCTCTACCTCTGGGGCTACAGCAGTGCAGGGAGCTTTAGGGGATCAATACTTTAGTCTTGTCATGCTAATTGCTCATTGGTTGACATTCATGATCCTTCCTTGCTCCCTCCCTATGTAAACTCTTTACAGCTGGAATAGCGAGATGCAAGAATCCCAAGCCTTCAAAGCCAGCTCCTGCAGAAGAGAGAGGGCCTGGCAGCTGAGGTATGGTGTGCCCCCATTTTCTTGCTCCCCTTTAAAGAGCTTCATGTGTGTCTGTATGTGGTGGTGTGATAGGGAGACGCACGAAGAAATGCCTCAGGAACTCTCCTGCGACACGTAAATGGTATTATCTTTTCAGAACAAAACAATATCTCTTCCTCTTCCACCCCCGCCCCCCCAAAAAAAACCCCAGAAAACAAAAATATCCACCGGTTCTATGAGTTTGGTTGCAGCCCTTCTTCTGTTTTGGTGAATGTGTCACCCTCCACCAGTTCACAATGAACATGTACCTGCACTGTCCTCTTTGCTGTCAGACTAGGGCATGTCAGACCAAGCTGCCGAGAGAGAGAGAGAGAGAGAGAGAGAGAGAGAGAGAGAGAGAGAGAGAGAGAGAATATGTGTGTGTGTGTGATCACGCCTACCATATTGGCTTCCTGTCCCTGGAACATCAGGTTTTCTAGCTGGCTGAGCCTGTCCCCACACTCATTGTTGCCACTGAGACCATCCCAATTCCTACCCTGTATGCTCCAGGCCTGTGCTATGCAGGGTTTTGTTAAGCCGGTTAGTATTAATTGATTTTTTTTTCCATTTTTTTCTTTCTTTCCCTGGGCGGGTCAATAGCTGGATGCTTCAGGAGCAGAGGATCTATCAACTGCAGACCAAGCACAGGGAGACGCAGGCAAACCTGGAACAGTAACCCAGCCAGCTCCAATTGCTCCGACAGTACTTGGTGGCCAGAGAGTCGGCAGCAGAAAGCATGCCCCGGGCCGTGAAGCAGGAAATCGACTCTGACTCAATCCTTGAGGTCTGGTAAGTTTCTTTACTTTTGGAAAGTAAGGCAAATGTTAACCAAGTCTTTATTTCTTGCTCAAGAGAGTCAGCAGTATCTGGGCCGATTTCAGTGAGTGAGCTAAAGATCAAAATTGGAATGCTCCAGCAGATCTGGAAGGATGGAGGGGTTGGAGGAAGGAGTAGGGGCTTGCGGTATAGACAAGGGCTAACCAAACTGCGATCTTAAGGTGAGCCACTGCAGCCAAGCAGATGTCCTGTGTATCGATCCCTGCATCCTGTTATTGATTTCCTCTTGGGGCCAAGAATGGGGTGGACCTATGCAGGACAAGAGGGGAACTGACACCCCCCCAGAGGGCCAAGTAGCCCTAATCGGTGATAACAGTGTTAAGTGGTCAGCCTGGAGATGAGGTTTGCTTAGATCTATTGATCTGCACTCCCCTGGGATATAAATCCTTCTGAATTTGCTTCCATGGATATAAATATTTATAATTAAAATAGCGTAGGAGCTTCTTACAGACACAGAGAGAGTGGCCCATCCCAGGGTAAGGCTTGATACCAATCTCTTTCGTCTCCGTACTTGGTACACTCTTCTCACTGTCTTGCATCTGTTTATACATCTCTGTTCTCTGTTTTGAACCCTATTTTGCTCAGCCTCTGAGTGACAGGCACAATATCTCAGACTATCAGAAGCCGGAAAAAATCCATTCTTTCTGAATGCAGCCTCCAGCTGAGGAGGGAGTGATGATCCCCCAGCCAAGGCTACACAGTTTCATGTGCATTCAGGAGCCTGGACTCAGAAAGGATTGGGCTATTTGGGGGGCAATGAGGGAAGACGTTTTTAGTTGTTGCTTTGTTTTTGCTTTGACTGGGGCATCCGTTTGGATCCAGTAACAAACAAGCTTTGTAGAACAAACATGTTAGCCAATGCTAAGATCCTGTGTTGGCTCACTTGCAGTATTACATCTGGGAGTACAACTTGAAGGGCCCCACACTCTTGTTTCTCAGCACCTCATAAATCTAAGCCCACGTGAAGTGAACAGAGCATCCCTTCTTCAAGAGAATGGAAAAAGAAAGGATGCTGAGGAGGAACTGTTGGGGGCAGAGCCCTTGAAGCCAGCTGGCAAGACTGAGACCACTGATCAATGCTTTGCCCACTGAAAGGACAACCTTATAAAGAATTGGAACCATTAAGCTTTAATTTTTAGAAATTTGGATGCTAGAGGGAATGGTCTTTAGGGACCGCTGCGGTCCCTAAACCCATCATCTGCTCTGGTGCCAGGATACAAATCTGTTCGCCCTGAATCCTTCATCTGCTTGGATGTCCAGGATACAATCTTTTCAGTTTGGGAACTTCTGACTGTTTTTCTCAGGTGTCTGCCTTGCTTCAATGCTTATATCTTGAACATTGTGTCTTTACGTGTCTGCCTTCGGCAGGTTTCATTAATTTGTAATTTATGCCTACAAAATTGTTTAAGCACTTCTGGATCTTACACTGGTCAAGGGTGTGTATTAGTGGGTGTGTGTGCACTATACAGACTGTGGGGCAGAATCTACTGGGTTTTGTTTTTCCTGATTTTAAAATGTTTAGTCATTCTGATCCATACGTGTGAGTTAATAAGTGTGTGTCTCTGTATCTTGGTGCAAGTGTCTGTACTCGGGAAGCAGTGAACACAAGCAGTTTAGAATAGTATTCCACATTTCTCTACCATTTGCATTAACTGTGTCTTTCCAAAATGCATATTCAGCTTCATTTTTTTTTTTTATTCAGAGGTGGTAGTTTTCAAACTCAAATCTAGCTCATTTGTCTCTTTTAGCACATGATTGAGGATTAGGGACTATTCTAACTGGCAGTCAAGGGTCAGTATTTTGGACTCCATTTGGCTTAGATAATTTATATAGAATAAAAGTCTAACAGGTATAATCACAATAGCCTTGGCTTAATAATTTTCCAAGCATACTTGAAGTTGAAAAACACTTCAAACTAAAATTGGAAGAATGTTCTGGTTAGTAAGTTGTATGCTTCTGTAATAATGGAGAGAATTGGAATGCAGTTCTCTTTGTTTGATTTATATGGCAACACCAAGAATGTGAGACGTGTGTTTTACTGTAGAAATAAACTTTCAACATTGACCTAGAGAACAGAAGACTCAGGTTGGTACTTAAATCCTGCTCTGCTAGGTTATAATGAAAAGCATCTTAATAAGAATAGATTTTTTAGGAAGAAAAATCTTAAGATTCATGTCTTTCTCTCATTGTTTGCAATATTTGTCAACATTTGCTTGCATGATTCCTACGAAGAACAAGCTTATTTGGAGAAAGTGATCTAAATTTTAGAATTGAATGTACTCCACTAATTAAATGTGTATGTCCTTGTGATCTTAGTGCCACTAAATCTAAATAGCACATACGTAAATTCACTGCTGTCTTATGCTACAAGTCATATTTGAAAGCTTGTTGCCAGCCCTAAGAAAGTGATTTTATTATGGAGTTATCTAATGGCTTCAGATAACACGTTTCATTGTCTACAGTCTTGTAAGAATTTAACTCTTATGTTATAGATATTTCATATGCTACATTTACATTTTATATTTTATACATATAGAGATCTTTAAAATTCTATCTGTCTAAAAGGTTTCCTCTTCAATGTATTTTATAATACAATGATAGAAAATTTCACTTTATTTCTATATTCAAAACATAAAGTGTTATAATATTGATATTTCACCTTTATTTCCATTTTAATAACATGTATTATGTTTCAAACCTTTCTAAGCATCTTGACATACTCATTTGATCTTTAGAGCAATTTACAAGATAAGTTAGAGCAGAAGTCATTATCTTCATTTTACCAATAATAAAACATGCACAAGGTGACACAGATATTAGTGTCAGACTTGAAGCTGTGGCCTGAAGCTAAGGACTCCTGGTCAAGTACTCTTTCCACAGCTACTGCTGCTTCTGTTAATGTTTGATAACTTTTTAGCATACTCTGTATTTCCAGTACCTATTATAACCATTACAATGCATGTAACGCAAATGTTGGTTGCTCTTAGACGATCCTTAGCATTCTAACCACATAAGAAAAAGTAGCAAATAAGTATTTCAGGCATCTTTCTTGGGCTTTTATCACAGCACAACCTGCTGCAGAGTCTGATGTCATGATGGACCTTTATTGTCAGCTTCAGAAATTCTGGGTGAGCTATTAATATGCTTAATGATTTTGCTCCCCAGCAACATGTTCCTATGAAAACATGGTGAGTATATATTACTCACTATGTTTCACAAAACAATTGTGTACATATTTTGTCTTCATACCTATCAACATTTGCCTTAAAGACACATTATGTATAATTTGAAACATCCATGAGGCTTTTCCTTTTCCTGGAATAACTAGCACCCCTTCTCCAACCTCTTCCCCATTCAGGGGTTCTTGACCTTCACTGTGTTATGGACCCCACTGCCAATCTGCCATAGACCTAAAGCCTATGGACCTTTCTTAGTATAATGCTTTTAAATATATAAAATAAAGAATAAAGCATGTAGAATTACAAAGAAATTCAATTTATATTGAAATTCAGCTATCAAAATATTAAAATCAATTAAATATTAACACCAATATTTGGTATGATAATATGGATAGTTTCTATTAATGCATTAATAAAGCCCAGTGGTTGGTGTACTACTATAATTTTAAAGCAGTGATGAGCATAAGGGATATTTTGAAATATCTACAGTATCTGATATGTAGCTATGGTTTCTATTGGTGACATTGTCACTAACGTTAATATTACGGTAGTTTATTTTCTACATTTATTTTTTTCACTTTTACATCCATTATATTTAATTTGATTCTTACAACAACCTTGTGCGGTAGGCAAGATGTGAAGTCAATACTTTATAGACAAAGAAGCTGAAGCGTAGCAGGAGCTTAACTGATGAGATCCATTTTCTCTTCCATCAAGCATCTTCTTGTGTATTGTCTTAATCCAAATCCTTGACAGAAATGCTGAAGAGGACCTCTGTAGGCTAGGTTGATCCTGAATTCTCAAATAGCACTGACTGGTACGCAGTTTAACCAAGTCAGTTTCACCTAAAAGTGTGATTATCCAACCCACATGTTGCCATTCTGTTAAAAAGGATGGTACAAAAGACAGTCACAGTCACCTGGCTTACTGACATAAATATTAATATTAATCCAATAAGTAAAAAGCACATGAGAATTGGCTGCCACAGAAAGAAAAATTTCGACCTGTATCTACCAAGAAACTATCTTACCAACTAAAGAAGCCAAATCTGTCTCTCTTTCAAAACCCTCATGGGGCCATGTTTTATTATAATGGTTTGTCACAGGTCCTAACCCATACTGTATTTGATTATATACATGTCTCATAATTAAGTCATTCCTCTTTATCACACCCAGCACTTAGTCCACTGCTGCCCATGTAGGAGGCACTCAAATTGGTAAAAGAGAAATCTATTCAAGCGAATATTCTTCCAATATTATCTGGCCCCCCTCCAAAAGCAAACTTGTGACTAGAAGAGGCACCAGTCATTGCCACATTCCTACTAACACGACTGATTTAAATGCCCTTGTAATTGACTTGGTCATAGTTTCCAACAGGTGCAAAGGCTTTTGCTAGTTAAACCAGTTTTCATTGGATCATTTTGTTTTATATGTGTGTTTTGACCAAAAACAAAGATACGTTCTCTAACAACAGGGAGAGGATACATGCAATAGGAATATGTCTATAAAATGATGGTCTATCAATAAGGAAAATAAGTGATTAATAAAACAAAACATCCGACTGTAAGTCTACCCAAAGAAAGGAAAAAGGACTCACAAACAAGAATATAGTGCTTTACCATTTACATATCTTTCACATACATTCTCATTTGACCCTCACAACAGCCCTGTGAGGTAGGCATCACGGATATTCTTCTCATTAACCAGATGGAGACAGTAAATCTCAGAGCAGTTCACTGATATGCCCAAGGCTCTACAGTTAGTGAGTGATTTGTATTAACATCAGTCTTTGGCCTAAAAATTCAGCACCCAACTTCCCCTCATACTTGCCCACACCTACTTCACAGGGATAATGAAGATAAAATGAATTCAGGGCTACAAAAATACTTTGAGGGAAACAAGCACTGTATAATTATACCTACAAACTATGATTTTCCACAATATATGGCTCATTCCTCTTCTTATCCCAGCTTGTGTGTGAACTCAGAGTTGTATATTGCCTCTGTTCTGTGCTCAATAAGCAAATAAGGCAGGCAGGGGGTACAGTGTGATCCTGTTTAAAGTTGCATAAATTACAATCAGGGTAACTGCTGTTATTAGGCAAATTGAAAAACAGCATAGAAAAGTCAGTGTGTAAGTAGGACCCACTAAAGCTCAGAGCAAAGCAATGCAAGATTATCAAACAAGGCATGATTGCACAGAAGGAAAATGTGGTATCAGAGTTCAAACTGGCACACACACACAATTATCTAAGGCAAAGTGGTGGCAAAGAAGAGTTATTTGTTCCATGTTACACAAACAAGAGCAGAAGATTCATGGGAACCTGTACAAAAGCATCTTGTGTCACACAGATCTCTCCAGCTGCCTATAGGGAATGTACACAACAGTATATCACCTTCAAAGAATGACTGTACCTATGTTCATATCCTGAACTACACCAAGGAATAGCTCCATGCTAAACTGCCTTGGCTAAAACACAACCAGTGCCATCATTCCTAATCAGACTAATGAACAGAATGGCTTTTAAGGTAAGGAGTTAGATGGCTATGTTTAGGGTGTTTTCAGGATTTACTTTGGATTCTCCTGCTTTAAAATCCAAAGAAAGTTATATTGAGTTTTTATTGATGATTCTATGTGTTTATAACAGAGTGTGGTAGGTGAATTAAACATATTAAAAGAGTTCTATAGCATCTGTTTGGAAAAGATTATATATTATACAAAGTATTCAAGTGATACAAAACCATTTTTCAGTGTCTTTTCAACTGAGAAGAATCCTATTCAGCATACTTCTCCTCCTGAGGTGGTTCATACTGAGCAAGCTTTGCTTTCAGTTTTTTATTTTTTTCTACAATAGCTTTATATTTCTCTTTCGTTTTCGCCAGTTCTAGGCACAGCAGCTCTATTTCTGGATTTTCTGGGGTAGCAGTTCCTAAGTGATGCTTTAAGAAATCCAAAGCACTGTTAGGTTTCTCTGGTTCTTCATACCAACACCTTGGTCAGTGTGTCCAGCACCCCTGACTTCTCCAAGTACCTCCGGAACTGCTCACGCTTCAAGTTGGCGGCTTTGTAATGGGCCATAGTGACAGCGACAGCAGCGTAGCTGGCCTGTTTTCTACATTTATAATAGAAGGAAATGCTAAACTGTAGCTCAGTATTAATGAAAATAAAGGTGGATTTTTTTTCCCATCTAACATTCATAAACACATTGAACCCTATCCTTGGCTATCAGTGGATGACAGGTTAAGAACCCCTACTCTAGCTAGTTCCTACTTACTTTCAAAACTATATCATTTCTTCTAAAGAACTTCACCAACCTCCCCCTAGATACAGTTAGCTGCCACTCTTCTGTGCCCCAAGAGCACTCCACAACCTCTCCAGCCTAACACTTACCACTGGCTCTGCTTCAATGTACTCGTTTTTCCCTCCTATAGGAGCACACATTCCTGAGGCATGGGCCGTGGCTTGTGAGACTTTATATTACCACCATGTAGCCCAGTATCTGGCATATAGCAGGGCTCACTAGATATTCAAAGGGAGGAGGAAGGAAAATTCAAAGATAAGGGAGCCATAGATCATAGACTATGATCTTTAAAACAGAAAATTAAAGTTAGTAGCTTGAAGGTTTCCTTGAGTCAAATTTCCTATCAATGGGATCTTCATATTTCAAGGAGTAGAGATGACCATGTGCACCTGTTCTACTTCTCTTTCAGCGCAGCTCTCAATTTACAGCCTCCTAAGAAATCACAATCCGGCACTACCGATCTAATAATAATAATATCCCAATTTCAGACCTCTTTATTTTAGGTTCTCATTAGTACAGATGAGGAAAAGGGGCAGCAGAGACATGAAGATAAAGGGCTTTCTTCACACCCTGAGCTTTTTTAGGGCTTTATCTTTCAAATTTTTTTATACTTTTTAAGTTCTTGGATTCATGTGCAGAACGTGCAGGTTTGTTACATAGGTATACATGTACCATGGTGGCTTGCTGCACCCATCAACCCATCATCTAGGTTATCATTCAAATGTTAAAAGCCAGGAAAAATGATTTAATTTTAAGGCACGTACAAAATGTATATGTTCTCCCTAGAACTCTATGTATTTGAAAATGATTGTTAATATTTCCTTAAAAAATAGAACACTAGTAATAAAAGCCTCCTAAGTCCTCAGCACAGATGCTTTATGTAGAATAAGCATAGATGCTTGTGCACAGCAAGGTACACTTTCAGACGTAACTCAACTTCTTCCTATTAATGTCACATAAACATTGGGACTTATTCATGCATATTCACTTAATTTTGTATGCATCCCTTCTTTCCCAATAATAAATACTTGCCATTCCTACTCAAATGAATGGACATTCACATATCAATGTGAGGCTGCATATTTCTTGGGTACAAGTTGATTTTTGATCTACAATGAACTTGTTTATTATAGGAGGAAGAAAGTAGAGATCCACATGGAGATAAAATTGGAAAAAATTTATAGCCATTTTTATTGTCTAATAGCAGTCTTCTATTCAATGTTCTAATGTATGAGTACAGGTTGAACCAAGTCTGTGATTAGCATTTCAGTGGCATTCAATAAACCCCTACAGACTATCCTATTGAAATATACTAGTCACCCTCACATATTTAAGTTACTAAATTGAATCTGATTTAATATAAAGTTCTAAGATCTTGACTTGAATAAAGTTTATTTCACCTCATCATTTAATAAGACACTGACCCATTCTCACTGCATGTATTCTGTAAGTGATATCTTATCAGGGTCCTTGGTAAGTAACCAAGGAGCAGATGCTAAAATAGCCTTGTGGGCCTTGGTTCAGCATTCACCACCCTTTACCTACTGAGCAGCAAGTTGAAAAGCAGTATTCTGAGTCCTCCTTCCCACTAACTTTCCTAAGTGGAGTGTTGGTTGTACACAGAGGAAAAGCTGGACAATGTTTATGATGACAGATGAGAAGTTACTTGCATTGGAACTGTGGGTCAAGGAATTGATCTCAAAGAAGTAGTCTATATTTGAGCCTCTACATCTTTTGAAAGGAAGCCCCACAGCACCATAACTGATATTCCTGTACTTAGGCTTCTAAAGGTACACAACTTATTGCATGCTCTTTTACCTGCTACATACCTGCATCTCTGACTTTATCATTCTTTTCTTATGTTATGTTATTCCTTTCATTCCTGCTGTCTCTCCTCTTTTGAAAACATCTTATATTTTGAATTAGCTATTACCCTAAATTTACTGATTTGGTATATAACATTTGAGCTCTTCAGAAAAAGAATCTACCCAAAACTAAAAGTTTAGAAGTGTGTTTATAAGGCAAGCAAATTGATCTAATACATATAGAGAAACATTTGCTAAGATTTTTTTGCAAATAAATGTAGTCATTCATAGTAGATATGATATTAGTATTACAGCAATAATTTTATACTTATTATCACCCTTAATTTACATAATACAGTACACATCTTTCCCAGGCAGAAAGGGAAATAGGACACTGGAAAACAATTCAAACAAGCAGAACAGGAAAGACAGTTTAAATACTGTATTATAGTTCTTAACAAAACTTATTTTAAAAGAAAATAAGGCCTGGGAAAGTGTTTTGAGAATTATCACTTGAAGTAAAGAGATTGTATTAAAGCCATTTGTTTGCAAATTTAACAGTCAGTAGACATTTTCAATAATCCACATTTTAGAGATTACTTGAAAACCTTAAATACTTTCTAAACAGAAAGAAAGGTGTTACCAGTAATTATCATCTATTAAAATATAACCCCTGTGTCTAATAGTATAATGAATCAGATGTGAAGAGGGAAAAACTGAAAGGATGGAAAGGATAATGGAGCCAAGAGCAGGAGGCAGCTTTGGGGATGGATAAAGGACAAATCATTCCAGACAAATATGATCACTGTTTTAAATCGCATTATGAGATTAATGGATGAAGGGAATGCACTAGAGGTAATATATATGGATTTTACTGAAGCATTTGATACACTACTCCATGAATTTCCACTTGCAAAATTAATTCAAATTGGGTAGAATATGTGCATGGTCACATAGATTGAAAATTGGCTTAAGGACCATAAACAAAGAGCAGTGACAAATATCGGTCCCTCACATTTAGGTGGGAGACAGTGTCCACTGCATTCGTGAGGACCCATGCCCACTTTGGCATCACACAACCACTTCACTAATGATCTGGGGCAAGGAAAATGAAAGTACAGAATTCCCAAATCTTGGCATGGGAAGTATCACAAACCAAGGCACAGTTAGAGCACAAAAAGAGTTAATAATAGTAGAGAATAAAATCAAATATAAGCAATACTTAACCTCTTCTAATGACTGAAAGAAGAACAAAGAATTACTAGAAAAAATTGTTACATACAATTTTCATTTTAATTGTTAAAACACTAATTGGGGAAAGTGCTCTGAAAGTCATGCTGTCAGCTGGGCACAGTGGCTCATGCCTGTAATCCCAGCACTTTGGAAGGCTGAGATGGGAGGATTGCTTGAGCCCGGAAGTCCAAGACCAGCCTGGGCAATATGGCAAAACCCTGTCTCTACAAAAATACAAAAATCAGATGGACATGGTTATGTGCGCCTATAGCTCAGCTGCTTGGGAGGCTGAGGCAGGAGGAAGGCTTGTGCCTAGGAAGCAGATGTTGCAGCAAGCCAAGATCGTGACATTGCACTCCAGCTTGGGTGACAGAGTGAGACTCTGTCCCCCCCAACCAAAAAAAGTCATGCTGTCATTAAATAGGGTTGTTCTTCATTTAGTTAGAATCTGAGGCCAGGCATAGTGGCTCATGCCTGTAATCCCAGCACTTTGGGAGGCCTAGGCAAGAGGATTGCTTGAACACAGGAGCTCAAGACCAGCATGGGCAACATAGCAAGACCCCTCATCTCTACAAAAAAAAAAAAGTTTTTAATTAAAAAAAAAAAAAGAGGCCAGGCATGTTGGCTCACGCCGGTAATCCCAGCACTTTGGGAGGCCGAGGCGAGTGGAACATCTGAGGTCAGGAGTTCAAGCCCAGCCTGACTAACATGGTAAAACCCTGTCTCTACTAGAAACACAAAAAATTAGCCAGATGTGGGGGCAGGCGCCTGTAATCCCAGCTACTCAGGAGGCTGAGGCAGGAGAATTGCTTGAACCTGTGAGGCGGAGGTTGCAGTGAGCCAAGATCTTGCCACTGCACTCCGGCCTGGGCAACAGAGCAAGACTCCGTCTCAAAAAAAAAAAAAAAAAAAAAAAACTGAAATGCTGTGCTCCTGTGTTGCTCCAAAATTTTAATTCATCCAAAGAAACTCAGAAATGCTGAAGGAGCAAAGAGAATTGATTTATAAAGAAAGAATTTAATGTCTACTTAAGTGAGTAACTATTGAGGTATCAGTAATTTCCCCAAATATGTGATGAAAACAGGGCAAATAATCATCTTATGTGAATCTTGGCTTATTATAGGAATCTTTCTGATGAAAAGTCTCCAAATACCATTTTGATAACTGCCAGGTCAAACTTAATATTGTTTCTGATTTTTTTGTTAGAATTATTGAAATCATATAAAATTTAATTGTTTAGAAGCAACATGAGCTCTTAAAAAGTGGATGGGTAAAATATGATTTTCCTTTTACAGAGAGCAGGATCTTATTTATGATCAAAGCTATTTCATATTCACCATCTCATCCATTCCTCATGGCCACCTTGTGAGGGAGGTATCATCATCCCTGAATTATAGATGTGGAAACTGAGGCTCAGTGGGGACAAATCCTTACCCAAGACTATACCTTTAGTAATGTCAGAGTTACTAAGCCCAAATTTTGTGGACATCTAGTCTTGGAGTCTTTCCACTAAGCAACACTGTTTCTCATGTCTATGCCATGAAAGAGACTGTCTCAGAAGCCATGTACCAGACTTTAACTGTTCATTTTGTGCTGAATTAGATAATGTAATGGAAAGGGCCTAGCGTAGAATCTGGGACAGAGAAGGCACTTAATAATGTTTAGCTCATTTGCTTTTACCCTATTTACAATTTCTTCATTCCACATTTATTTATTTATTTATTTATTTATTTATTTTTTTTTTTTTTTTTGAGACGGAGTCTCGCTCTGTCGCCCAGGCTGGAGTGCAGTGGCGCGATCTCGGCTCACTGCAAGCTCCGCCTCCCAGGTTCACGCCATTCTCCTGCCTCAGCCTCCCGAGTAGCTGGGACTACAGGCGCCCGCCACCACGCCCGGCTAATTTTTTGTATTTTTAGTAGAGACGGGGTTTCACCTTGTTAGCCAGGATGGTCTCGATCTCCTGACCTCGTGATCCGCCCGCCTCGGCCTCCCAAAGTGCTGGGATTACAGGCGTGAGCCACCGCGCCCGGCCTCATTCCACATTTATTAAGCACCTAAGTAAGAAATGCTGGGCATTGCCCAGCAGGTCAATCATCTTAGCTCTTTTTAAGTTCAGGTCTCCCAAGTGAGACCTGAGGCCCCATGGGAGAAGACCCCTGTGTCTGCCTGTTCACTGCAGTGTCCTCAACACCTAGCACATACTCAATGAAGACTTTCTGAGTTACAGAGAAAACATCTCACCTTATCCCTCCAAAGTTCTTGTGAGCTCTGGCCAGGCTAAAGCCTCATGTGCTCACTTCATACAGCATCAGATAAATGACCAGCAACTCCCTGCACCCACTAAATTCCTGGATGGGGCCATTAGGAAGCTAGTTGGCTTCACTTGTCAAGGTATTGGTTTGGTTTGGTTTTGTCTTGTTTTGTTTTGTTCTTTTCTTTCAACAAAGCATCCCTGGAACCTGATAACAAGTTAAGGGCCATGCTAAAGCGCTTGACTGCTTTGCTTAATGTAGGGGATGGGTCTTCTGCTTCCCCTGTGCCTATTCTTGAACCTCTCCCAAAAAATTCTGTAGAGGAGCAGTAAGAGCACATGACTTTATAGCTTTTGAACAGTCTTTCCTGCAAATTTGGAAGGAGACTAGAGTAGGGAAGGCCCAGATGATGGAAAAGCTTGGAGCTTCTTTAGTGACTAGGCCAAATCTAAGGACAGGTGACGGAGCATGTAGCTCAGGTAGTGATGCACAACATAGAGATTCCCCATTGCCAGAGAAAAGACCTGCCCATAACACAAAAACAAATGTGTGCATTCTGCCTGGGAATATTTTACACCACAGATATTTCCACCCACAATTGAATTAGTCATGTTATTTTCAAAAAGTACTTTTGTCATTTCCACCCCTCTTCTGCATTAGGCTTATTGCAGTTGGGTGAGTGCACCTGAAGTCTTCAGTGAAGTGTCAGGTGTAATTTAGCACTGGGAGATGAATTATGGGATTGCCCTTTAGGAAAAGGCTGGGAGCTCAGCCCTGCCTGTCAAATAGGTCCCTGCCTTATAGTGAACTCTGCAGGTGAATGAATCAGTATTTGGCATATCAGCATTTCATTGAGCCTCCATGCTAATGTCTTTTTGAAATGAAACCGAGAAAGCTGTTAACCTCAGTTAGCCGGGTGTCCCCTCTGTGACCGGGATAAATCATCAATGTAGAGGCTGAAAACTCTGTTCTTACTGCTTTGGGGAATGAGAGCCAGGGCTGTGGGGAAGCTGATGGAAGGGGACTCCAAATCTCAGAAAACTAAATCAGGATTTTTATCTTCCTTAAAAGGAGAAATAAATATTACTTCTCCTTGCCTCCTGTTTTAGCTGATCTAAAAGGATTTTGGAGAATTTTATTCAATTAGATAGCATATCCTTACTTATCCTTTTTTCCAAGCCTTTGATCTCTCATATATATATATATATATATATAGATAGATAGATAGATAGATAGATATAAATATATAGATATAGATATATATGTATGCATGAACATATATATATATATATATGTTCATATACATACATACATAAATTCCTGGGATGTCTCACAACTGAAAACCTGGTCTTAACTGCCTGAGTAGCTACAGTCAGCCAACTAGAAATTCTCCACCATTTGTTTTTGTTTTGTTTTGTTTTGTTGAGAAAGAGTCTCACTCGATCACCCAGCCTGGAGTGCAGTGCTGCAATCTCAGCTCACTGCAACCTCTACCCCCTGGGTTCAAGAGATTCTTCTGCCTCAGCCTCCCCAGTAGCTGAGATTACAGGCATGTCCCACCATGCCTGGCTAATTTTTGTATTTTTAGTAAAGACAGGGTTTCACCATATTGGTCAGGCTCGTCTCGAACTCCTGACCTCAAGTGATCTGCCCATCTCAGCCTCCCAAAGTGCTGGGATTACAGGTGTGAGCCACCATGTCCAGCCTCCATGACTTCTTGAATATTTTTCCAAAGCTCGGATTCAAACAACATCTACATGAAATCTTCACGTCAACCTTGTGAAGCAGGAGTCATTATTTCTGATCTTCCATTTGAAAACACCAGGGTGCAGAGAAGTTTCAGGAGTGGCCAAACTCAGGGTCAAACCCAGAGCTTCTGCTTCATTTGTCTGTTCCTCAGTCGGTAGCTGCTGTGCAACCACTGTGGCCAGATGCAATGCCAGGCACCAGAAATCTTTCCCCTAACAATCCAGTGCAAACAGAAGGTTTATGACCTGGGCTTGCAGGCTGTTTTTTGCCTTGAAGGCTCTGGACTACTTCCTCCTGCAGCTGTCCCAAAGGGAAGGCTGTTTGATTACTACTTACATCTTCAGCCTTTGGTATTTACAATCATTTGTACACTTGCTATTTATAGCTCCAATGTGCATGTTATTCCCTTTTTCACTTTGCCTGCCTGAGCTTTCTGAACTGGAAAAGGAGTAGATGAATGAAGTTAGGGCCCATGATTTTGAGTGTTCAAGAGGAACACGGGGCAAGATGCTAGAAGGATTCTCAATCAGCAGGAAAACAAACTAGGTTAAGTAAGCTGCAAGGTTTTTAGAACAATTATAGATTCATGATAAAATTTATTCTCTAAAACTTAAATCCCAGAAAAAAAATTGAAAAGCACAAATTATGAAAAGGGCCATAGACAGCCTATAAACATGTAAGTGTCATGCTTGGAAAAGGAGATTTCTTGCTTGCTGCTTTTATTCTTTGGTTGGAGGGAGGAGCAATCAGAGTGGGGATGAAACTGGCTGGTAAGGACAGAGTTCAAACGTTGATAGAATGCATGACACAAAGGTTTGAGGACCAGTAGGAAAGTCCAACTGCATCATTTTACAAAGGTGAAAACTGAAGCTCAAAAATGTCAGCCAGTTTCTCCAAGGCCACAAAGCTTGTTAAATTGAAGAATTAGGACGTGAGTACAGATCTTCTGGTGCCAAGTCAGTGTTCTTTATGACATCTGAGGTGGTCTAGTTGAGTTTCCTTCCTTTGTTAAAAGTCCTGAGTGGCAATCCCAAAGGAAAGAGCAGAAAATGACCATCCAGTGCTACTCCGTTTTAAAAGAATACAACCTTTATTTCCAGGCCTGTTTTCACTTTTGTTTACCCACACCCAGGTCCCGCCCACCTACTCCCACGAAATCACATCCTCTGCTAGCCTTCTCTTATCTCCCCAGAAAAATTTAACCATGTCTTCATTCACACTACATCTATAACTTTAAACATACCTCTATACTTGCATTTGTCCTTCATGTTGTAATTTATTTGTTCATGGGTCTCTTGTTCCTATAGATTGTGAATTTCATGAGAACCCATTCACCTTAGCACTTCCTCATATCTAGCATTGTAATTGGAAAATGGCAGGAACCCCATAAAAGTTGGTTGAATTGAATATCATCTGCTCTCCAGCAAACTGAAGTGGTCAGGCAATTCTATCTGAGTTTCATATAATCTGGCAATGACAAAGATCTATTGTCTTGGGCTTCATGTTGAAGTTTGAAGGCTCATTATGGCTTTTTCTCATCCCCTTAGCCTGTTTAAGGACTGATCAGGGCCAGGCACAGTGGCTCACACCTGTAATCCCAGCACTTTGGGGAAGTGAAGTGGGAAAATAATTTGGGCCCAGGAGTTTGAGTCTGCAATGAGCTATGATTGCATCACTGCACTTCAGCCTGGGTGACAAAACAAGACCCTGTCTGAAAAAAAAAAAAACAAAACACTGATCAGGATAGAGAGAAATTTGTAAGTGTTTTCTTGTACTTGTGACTAACTATACTTGTGCAAATAAGTGATCTGGAGACCCTCAAAATGTACTTTCTCCTTGTGAAGCCACTGAAATGGCATTACATTAGTTTTACTTCTTATTCTTTAATGAAAATGAATCAAAACTTTGTGGCAATTTTGCACTCTTTTTATATTTCCAGAAGCAGATCTATAGACAGAGCCAGACACCACTCCTCAAACAGCAGAGAGATGTAAGGAAGTACAGCTATTTGACTTCACCCTTAAAGGATTTACACTGATCGTGGAAGATGGTTTTCTTGTGAACCCACCCAAAGGAAAATTCTGAATCCACCTAAAGGAAATTTCTGGTTTTTCCAAATTGAACATCAAAATTAAATGCAGGGAAATTTAGTGTTTTGCATGCCCAAATATTCATTGGTTCCTCAGCATGTTAGTGGGATCAAATCAGAAGAGGTTCCCAATTAAACATTTAAAAAATGCATTCACACAAATCAAAACTACAATGAGATATCATCTCACCCCAGTTAAAATGGCTTCTATCCAAAAGACAGGCAATAACACATGCTGGCAAGAATATGGAGAAAAGAGAACCCTCATACACTGTTAGTGGGAATGTAAATTAGTACAACCACTGTGGAAAACAGTTTGAAGTTTCCTCAAAAAGCTAAAAATAGAACTACCATACAACCCAGCAATCCCACTCCTAGGTTTATACTCAAAGGAAATCAGTATATCAAAGATATCTGTACACCCATGTTTATGGCAGTACTATTCACAATAGCCAAGATTTGGAAGCAACCTGAGTGTCCATCAACAGACAAATGGAAAGAAAATGTGGTACATATACACAATGGAGTACTATTCAGCCATAAAAAAGAATGAGATCCAGTAATTTGAAACATGGATGGAACTGAAGGTCATTACATTAAGTGAAATAAACCAGGCACAAAAAGACAAACTTTGCATGTTCTCAATTGTTTGTGAGAGCTAAAAATTGAACAATTGAACTCATGGAGATAGAGAGTAAAAGGATGATGACCAGAGGCTATGAAGGGTAGTGGGGAGGGTGGGAGAGAAGTGGGGATAGCTAATGGGTACAAACAAAATTGTTAGAAAGAATGAATAAGACCTAGTATTTGCTAGCACAACAGGGTGACTATAGTAAAAAATAATTGCACCTTTTAAAATACCTAAAAGAATATAATTGGGTTGTTTGTAACACAAATGATGAATGCTTGAGGTGATAGATACCCCATTTACCCTGATGTGATTATTACACATTGCATGTCTGTATCAAAATATCTTATGTACTCCATGAATATATACACTTACTATGTACCCACAACTTAAAAAAAAATATTTTTAATGCATTCACAATACATTAAGATTTTTGAAACTGGCTTGGTCTTTCTCTGTTCCATATCAAAAAAAGAAACTGCAATTCATTCACATTTCCACCAGTGACAGGGAACTTACAAAATATTCCATGGAAATAGGAGATAGGAATAACATAATAACTTAAATCCACAAATAACTCCCAATCCAATGTTAGCTAATAATTCCAACCCCTACTCACCCTTCCTTTTATCAGAGCTGCCTTAACAAAGACAGAAGATGTGACAGATCGAGCTGCATCTCCTCGGATTTCCTTGGCATCACTTGAACATGCAAGGGCCAAAAGAAAGGAAGGAAAGGTAGGAAGGAAAATAAGAGCAAATCCACAATTCATATAGAACCAGAATCACTGAGATTTGATTATATGCACAAGACTAATAACCACCACAGGTCTCTCACCATCACCAATGGGAGAGGAAAGTGGAAGTTCTCCTTCGCTGACTCCTTTATTCTGTAAGAAGATCTATGTTGAGAGAGAAATCTCATACTATTCTCTCCACTCTCCAAACAGTATATACTGGGGAAATATTTCTCCCAGGGGAACTCTAAATTCCTTCTGATTTGGTTTTAGCTGAGGGGTTGCAATCAGTCTTCCCTAAGGATCCCTCAGGTGAAGGAGGCAAGAAGGAAAAGAAAACGGACTGACACTGTCAGATCTAGGTGGAAGCCCAGGACCTGTAGGAATTTGGAGCTATTTTCACTTTCTAAGGTGGGCTTGACTAAGATCAGGGGTTGGCAAGCTATAGCACATGGACCAACTGCCTTTCTTCATACATAAAGTTTTCCTGGAACCCAGCCACACCCACCATTTACATATTATCTGTGGCTGCTTGCACACTACAATAGCAGAGTTGAGTAATTGTGACAGAGACTGGCCCATGAAATCTAAAATATTTACTATCTGACCCTTTATAGAAAAAGTCTACTCACCTCTATTAAGATCATCAACCGGCCACCTGCGGTGGCTCACGCCTGTAATCCCAGCACTCTAGGAGGCCGAGGTGGGCAGATCACGAGGTCAGGAGATCGAGACTCTCCTGGCTAACACGGTGAAACCCCGTCTCTACTAAAAATACAAAAAATTGGCCAGGCACGGTGGCTCACGCCTGTAATCCCAGCACTTTGAGGGGCCGAGGCAGGTGGATCATGAGGTCAGGAGATCGAAACCATCCTGGCTAACACGGTGAAACCTCATCTCTACTAAAAATACAAAAAAATTAGCTGGGCATGGTGGTGGGCACCTGTAGTCCCAGCTACTCAGGAGGCTGAGGCAGGAGAATGGCTTGAACCCAGGAGGTGGAGCTTGCAGTGAGCTGAGATTGCGCCACTGCGTTCCACTCTGGGCGACAGGGAAAGACTCCGTCTCAAAAAAAAAAAAAAAAAAAGAAATACAAAAAATTATCCGGGCATGGTGGCAGGTGCCTGTAGTCCCAGTTGCTTGGGAGACTGAGGCAGGAGAATTGCTTGAACCTGGGAGGTGGAGGTTGCAGTGAGCCAAGATTGTGCCGCTGCACTCCAGCCTGCATGACAGAGCAAGACTCTGTCTCAAAAAAAAAAAAAAAAATCATCAACCTTGAGCAGAGAAGAAATGAGAAATCTGTATAAAAGCATAGACCACAATCAAGAGTTTATTATAAACTACATCTAGAGCCAGCAATTATAATAGAATGTGACACATTTGTAATAAGTATAAATTTGTC
The DNA here is from genome assembly GCF_000001405.40 of Homo sapiens. Classification (NCBI taxonomy): domain Eukaryota; kingdom Metazoa; phylum Chordata; class Mammalia; order Primates; family Hominidae; genus Homo; species Homo sapiens. The sequence continues at coordinate 72,266,150 of NC_000016.10, read as the reverse complement.
TTTTCAACTAGGTAGGACTCCATTCGGCTGCAAGGAATAGAAACAACAATAGCAGGCAACAGCTGGGGGTGGTGGTGTGTACCTGTAGTCCTATCTACTCGGGAGGCTGAGGCGGGAGGATCACTAGAACGTCAAGTGCTAATGAGCTGAATCAATGATATAGTGTCTATATCTTTCTACCTAGAAATGAGCACTTGGTCTCCTAGTGATCTTCCCTCCTCAGCCTCCCGAGTAGCTAGGACTCCAGGTATACACCACCACACCCAGCTATAGCCTAGTGAGGTGGGAGGATCACTAGGAGGTTGAGGTCACAATGAGCTATGATTGTGCCACTGCACTCCAACGTGGGTGACAGAGTGAGACCCAATCTCTCAAAAAAAAAAAAAAGGAGTAAGCTAAACAAATAGGCTCTATTTCCCTCAAATAAGTCTAGGTGGCATTGATTCAATACTCAAAAATGTCATCAAAGAACCAAGCCTTTTCCATCTATGATGTCAGAGCCAAAGATGCTGAGATTCTTGACTTTTTCTTCATATTGGTTACAAGATGAGTGCTATGGCATCAACCATGATTTGTGTGCCCAAAGAAGGAAAAAAGGTGAAGAAGTGAGAAAAATCATGCCCTCTGTGCCTATATCTTTCTACCTAGAAATGAGCAGCTTCCCCAGAAGTCCCATCCCACCCCTCTGGCAGACATCTGCTTACACCTCACAGTCAGATGAGTACCAAAGCCACCCTCACTGCCCATGCGGCTGGGAAGGCAAGTATTTACCACCCCAGCCTCTTTGTGGGAAGGCTGCAAAAGACAAGGGGTTAGGAATGGCTTTGGGCTAATCAATCAGTAGTGTCTTCCATAGATAGTTTTCCTCATTTTAGGTATGTAGGCACAGAGGGTACTATCTATGAATATTTATTAGGTGGCCAAATGTACAGGTCGTTCAGTTGATTATTATTTTATTCCATATCAAAGAAGTTATGTCCAGACAGGAACTGCAGAATCTTATCTAAAAATACTTCCAAAGATCTCTCAAGAGAACGCCATTGAAAAGAGTTGGGGACAGGGCAGGTGGATGCTCTGGGTGAATGGCAGAGCTAGGATGCCCTCAAACACAGATGATGCCTATCCTGTTTGCTCACCACATGGTTCTAATTGGATTGTCACAGGGTGGATTTATGGCTCATTTTATCTTGGAATTTATGTTGAGGCTAAAAGTGTCGACACCATTTCCTTTAGTAATGTGAACCTACCCACTTGATGTTAAATATTAAACTAGTCCCTTTAAATAAACCAATAAAATAGTAAAATAAGTTCAGAATCTGTAGGTTGACTTAGTCTCATCTACCTGTGAAAGTACAAAATAATTTCTCCATTTTCTTTTTTTTACTTACCAAGCTATTGTATTTATGGTATTATTCAATTCGTCTTTATACTGGAGAACCTCAAGAGTTGAAGATTTGTAAGTTTGAAACATGCCATGTCAGTCCTCTTAGAGGGTTAATGCCATTGTTATAGCCATGTCAGGTTCATCTCTTTATCTGTAAACTTTCTGCTTGTGGCTGGATCTCACCTCCTAGTCAGACAGCTGGAGGTCAGAAAGCGATCATAGCTTGACAGGGATTTTGTTTTAGCGGAAGTTTGTCTATGATTCTATTGGGATAATAATAACAACAACAATAATAATAAAAGGTTGCTTGTTCTTTCAGGGTTTCACAGGAAAACAGCAATTCACAAATTTACAACAGAGGGAATTTAATGCAGGGAATTACAGGGAGACCCTGAGAAGCCAATGGGAGTGGTGAGGTTAACAACAGCAGGAAACCACTACCCTCACTAGGCTGCAGAGACAAAGCGAGGAAGTGGCGTTACCAGAGCCCAGAGCCCAGGGTCATGTCATAGAAACTGGAATCATGGAAGAAGGCCTGTGTAAGAGAGCTGGAGCTACAGAGGAGACACAGCTGGGGCTGGAGCCCTATCCCGAAACAGAGTGGGAGGCAGAGATGTGCCTAATTTCTCCCTCCCACACTCCATTCTCCCTTCAGCTCCTTCCATTGCCTGAACCTATCTGGAAGCCAATTGACTTGTGAGCCTAGAAATGCAGCCTTCGGGGGATCCGATCCCAGCCACACAGAGCAGAACAGGGGAAAGTGGGGAATGGATTTGAAAGCAAACAGGCTTAGAAACAATACAGAAGTTCTATTCCTCCTCTTACCCGACTGTAGGTGAAAACATACACTTTGGCCTCTAGTCATTATTAAGTTGTGCCTCTCAGCCATGTGTGGGTTTCTTTCTAGTGTTGGTTAGAATGGTTATGTCAGCACATTAACAATCTTTATTGCATATCCAGTGGATGATAAATATTACTAGACTCTGTAGGAAATAGAAAGAAATCGAAGACAACATCACTAACTATATGTCATTTACCCTTGCACTTATAGTTAGTTGGAGGTTTTCTAAAAGAGGTAAATCCTAAAACAAGAGGTAAAAGGTTTCCTATAGAGTAGATAGGAAGAATGTTTTAGGTAGAGGAAGTACCCTAAGGAATTGTGACACACATTTTGCATGACACACAAATATCCATAACAGGAATGCGCAGTCTAGATGGGCTTGGGTGACAGAGAAGTCAGTGGAAAACTTTGGAGGTGCAACAGAGGACTTTAAATGTGATCAGTAGGGAACATGGTAAACCTTCCATGTGAAAAATGGTATTGAGCTCTGCTTGGTGCCAGATGGAGCACTAAGGAGCTATTGGGATAGTCTAGTCAGGAGGTAGAGAGCAAGTGTCTGAATGTGAGGAGGCATCATAATGTGGTGGTTAAGAGCACAGGTTCTGAAGCAAATCTGTCTGGGGTCAAATCTCAGTTCTACCACTTACTAGATCCTTCTCTGGAGGACAAAGATGATAATAGTAAGCGCCCCTGCTTGTAGGGTTCCAAGCATTAACTCCATGCCTGAGACATGATAAATGTTAGCCACTATTGAAATCATATTAGAGGACGAGCTTACCAAGGAAGGAAGAGAGAAAGAGTAAAATGCCCATCAGGCAGCTCAGATGTGTATTTGGAACTGTTTGTAATATAAATTGTAGTTGAAATCACTATGAATGCATAAACTCACTGCAAGACTGAGTTCAGAGGAAGGAAAAACAGAGGATCCAGGACAGACAGAGGAGACAATAGAAAAGCAGTCAAGGAAATAATAAGAGAATTCTGTGGACCAGCATATTAAAACCTCAGAGAATAATAAAGCCATACAAAACAGTGGTCACTTGACAGGATATTGAAGCCCTGGATGAATGTCTTCTGTTCAGTTTGCTGAGCTGATTTTCTGCTTACTCTGGCCTAGGCATTACCATCATTTTTGCACGTTGCAGCATTTAAAATAGTATCATTAGAGTAAGAGCCAAATCCCAATGTATAAGTGCCTGTCATCAGTGACCATTAGTGATACATTTTTAAAATCATCCATAGGGAGTTGAGTGTACATCTTTAAATCTTCCGAGGAAGCTGATATGGCAACAACAAGAGCACAACACTTTCTTATAGGGTACCAGAGCCACGTTGCTAGTACCAATTTCCCTGCTTCTCACTGGAGCCTAAAAACAATAAGGAGAAGGAGTTCAGGAAATGAAGACATTACCAACAGCCACAAAACAGCCAGAATTGCTGCAAAAGGTCTGGCGTTAGCCCTATAACAGCTTTGGCTGAGGCTGTACATCTATATGACATGTGGTTATTGTGCCTGACGTTTGGCATGAACAGTGGAGTGCTGGCCTGAGAGTAGAGATAAGGAAAGGAGATGAGGAAGAGAGAGATGGGTGCACAGATTTGCTGTAGGGTTTTGTGTGTTCAATTTCCAACACTGCTTAAAGAATAGGTGTGCAGAACTCCACTTGGTGGTAGCTTAGAGAATGTGCCTTTCTGTGTTTCTCCTTTCATTAAAACCAGTAAGGTTGAAGTTGAAGTATGGAGGCCACTGGGGTTGGGGAAGGGGCTGTGATCTGACCAAGGGAATCAAAGAAGCTGGCTCTTGTGGGTCTTGAGGTAGTGTGTCATAGAAAGGCAGAGCCATTTCATTTATTTTTCTTAAATGCCTTACAGTTCTTAGTCTCTATACATCACATGAGCCAACATTGAAGAATTTGAAGAAAAGCCCTGTGGTTGATCAGTTTCTCTTATAACTAAAGTAACCATGTAACTTCTCCTTCAGACTTTTTATTGAAAGAGCATACAATGAATACTTTTCCTGGGACAACAGGCATAAACTGGACCATCCCAGAATGATTAGAATATGTAATCATTGGCTGGGTGCAGTGGCTCACGCCTGTAACCCCAGTATTTCGGTAGGCCAAGGCGGGTGGATCACCTGAGGTCAGGAGTTCGAGACCAGCCTGGCCAACATTGCGAAACCCCATATCTACTAAAAATACAAAAAATTAGCCACGTGTGGTGGCATACGCCTGTAATCCCAGCTACTCAGAAGGCTGAGGCAGGAGAATCACTTGAACCCAGGAGACAGAGGTTGCAGTGAGCCCAGATCACGCCATTTCTCTCACCTGGGTGACAGAGCAAGACTCCATCTCAAAAAAAAAAAAAGAAGAATATGTAATCATCCTACTTATAACCCATTTCAAAACTTTTTAGTTCATATAGTATAGTGATTAAGAGAACAGACCCTGGAACCAGACTTACTAAAACCCCAGCTATGCTGGCAACTAGCTATGTGACCTTGACAAGTCACTTAACTTCCCTGAAGTTCAGTAATATCATTAGCAAAATAATTGTTCCTACTTTTGAAGGTTATAGTACTAAGTTAATATGGTTAATATGTGGACAGGCACTTACAGCAATTCCTGGTAGATAGTGCAAGCTGAGTGTGTACTGTTCTTGTTATTTCACACACTGAAGAGTAAGCAACCTAATCTTACAGACCTGATGCGCAGCCTTCCTTTCCCATGCCATGGCATGGAGGGGCATTTGGCAAATTATTTATATGCTGAATGAATAAATTAAAAGAAAGAAGGAAGAAAGGAACATGATTTTTATCCTTTACCTACAATTTTTTCTTTATTCTTTATTCTTTCGCTACTTTTAGGCTACTTTGAAGGACAAGGAATTGACATTCACCCAAGAAGCCTTTCAAATGCCTGTTCTAACCTAGCCTTTACTATGCCCTGGGATCCCTTGTATTATGAGCTTCCTCTGGAAGGAAGAGAGATGGATTTGGATTAAGGAGAAAATTAGGCCTAAAACCAACACTGGACTCTCTTCATCATCTGCTTTTCCACCTGCATGCTTCTCCTAAGCTGGCAGACCTTGTTGTAGAAAGTTATGTCTTGTCAATTAAAATTAAATATGTCAATTAGCACTATTGCTACCACCTCAATTAGGCCTGTTAGCAATTCTTTTATTTACTCTCAATCATATTCCCCAAAGATATCATCTTTCCCATCCCTCAAGCTTGCAGCCCACTCACCCATACATCTCTCTCCCAAGTTGACCTGCTTTCTGCTTTATTGAGATGAGACTTTCTAAGATGAACTTCAATTTCCCCCTTCCACATCCAAGTGATTTACAACCCCTCCTATTATTTCCTTGCCTGTGCCAGAAAGGAAACTGCCCCATCTGCAAACTCCAAAGCTAATTTGCTCCTTAGTCGAAATCCATCTCTTTTCCTTCCAGAGCCCTGTTCCATCAGTTATTCCATTCTGTTTTGTTTTTTACAAGTCTCCCAAATTTCTGGTTTCTTCTCTTTTACATATTAATATACTTAAATATTTTTCTACCATAAAATGACAAGAACAACAAAAAGCTCATCTTTCTCCTTCTTTTCATTACCAAACCTGCCAAAAGAATAATCCATGAATATTAGCCTCTCTCACTCTTAATCATTTCTAAACCCTTTTAAAGTGACCTCTCATACCATTAATTTGAAACTGTCCTCTCCTAAATTACTATTGACATTCTAATCCCTATATCTGATGACTTCTCCTGAGTCCTTGTCCTCCTCAATCTCTCTGCAGCATTTTCTGTCATTGATCACCCTCTCCTTCATAAAACACATCCTTGGCTTCTTTGACTTGGATTGATCTTGGCTACCCTCTTGGAACTCTAATTTATATTTGCCTCATCCTTCTATCACCCTCTAAATGGAGGTGCTCCCCCAGTGTTCAACTCTTCCATTTATGATCACTCAACTCTTGTGATGATTGCAACCATTTCCAGGCCATTGACTATGTCCTCAGTGCAGCTGGCTCCCAGATCTATATTTCTATCCCAACAAATACTGCAAGTTCACATTTCCAGCATTCTGCTGGACATAAACATTTACTAAAAACTAGACTTTTCTCCTCAACACATTCTTCCAAACCAACTCTACCCCCTGGGTTTCCTGTTTCCCATCTCCCAGACTCAAAAATTATTTTTGTGCCTTCTTCACCTAATTAGTCTCCAGGTTCTATCAACTCTACCTCCACCCCTGTCAAATCTAACACTTACTTTCCGTGAGCACTGCCACTGTCCAGCATGTCACCTCTCGTCTCAAATTTCACTGCAACCTGCTACCTGCTCCCATTTCTTCCAATCTATTCTTCCAGCATGTCCTGAATCTTCCATGACTCTCTCTCCTAATAGTGCTTTATATGCTACAGATAAAAGCCCCAAATGCCACCATCTGGGCTCCTTTTTTTCCCAGACGTAATCTCTATAATTGGTCTTTACACATACTGCTCTCCAGCCAATCCAAACTTCACCTTTCAGAATAAGTCCCACACTTCCTACCTCTAGGCCTCATCTTTTTCCCTCTCGCATTAGTTTCCTAAGGCTGCCATAACAAAGCACTACAAATTGGGTGCTTTCAAGCAACAGAAATGTAGCCTTGCCCAGTTCTGGAGGCTGGAAGTCCAAAATCAAGGTGTCAGCAGAGCCATCTTCTCTTTGAAGGCCCTAGGGGAAGAACCCTTCCTTGCCTCTTCTAACTTCTGGTGTTGCTGCAGCCCTAGGTGCTCCTTGGCTTGTGGATACATCACTCCAGTCTCTGCCTCTATCTTGTCATGGCCTTCTCTCCTGGATATTTGTGTCCAAATTTCCCTTTTTTTATAAAGACGCCAGCTCTAATCCAGATGAGTTCATCTTAACTTGATTATATCTGCAAACGCAATTCCCAAAGGAGGTCACACTCTGTATGCACTGAATGTTTGTGTCCTCATCAAAATTTTTAGATTGAAATTCTAACCCCCAGTGCAATAGTATTAGGAAGTGGAGCTTTGGGGAGGTAATTAGATCATGAGAGTAGAGCCCTCATGATGGAATTAGTGTCCTCATCAAAGACACCCCAGAGAGCTCCTTGTCCTCTTTCCGCTTGTGAGGATATGAGAAGATGGTAGTCTGCAACTCAGAAGAATGCCCTCACCAGAACTTGATTATGCTGGTATCCTGATCTTGGACTTCCAGCCTCTAGAATTGTGAGAAATAAATTTCTGATGTTTATAAGCCACTCCGGCCATGGTATCATCTTATAAGTGCACTTACAGAGTGTGACTAAGACACACTTACAGATTCTGGTGGTTAGAACTTCAACGTATCTTTCTGGGGGACACAATTCAACCCATAACACTTCTCTGCAGAGACTTCTCCCTTCATCCAGTTCCATAGGTTAAAATCCTTCCACTGCTCCAGAGTTTGGTTGATTTTGACCTCTCCCAAGAAGTTGCTTATAATCCTCTGAGATAACACAGTATTTTGCCCCTTTTATAGCATAGCTATTTCTATATATCTTCTTTGTGCTGCTAAATTCTAAACCCTTCCAGACATAGGACACATATATCACTCATCTTTGTATTCCCTCCCCCACCCCATGCCTAGCAGAGTGCCTTTTACTCATGAACTTACCTGGTTAAATCAAATTAAAATAAATTTCCTTTTAGATATGAAATTTTGAGCATTCCTATATTTTTGTCACTTAAAGTAATTTTTCACTTTCATCATTAAATCTAAATGTTGGCCAGGCCCAAATAATTTCAATCTGGACTTACTTTTCATTGAAATGTTTCAACATTAAAAACATATCTCTTTCTCCTTTTTTTGAAACTCTATAAATTGGTTTCTATAGGTCATTTTTCTATGCATCGATTTCTTCCTTGGATTATTTTGAAGTTAATATTGCAGGTGCCCTGAATTCTGTTGGAATCTAATCATCTAGCATTCAGAAGATATATCAAAGAGTGGTCCAGGGAGTCTGGCTTGGACCTTCAACTTCAGCCTTGCAGGTAGTATCCTGAGATTAAATAAGCATAGTCAAACACAGGTTCCTTCAGGCCTAATTTTTATGTTTTAAATATGTAAATAACTCCTTATTGTAGGGTCATCATAATTAATATGGTATTCCCAATCCTACATTAATTTATTTTTTATTCCTGCAGGTTTCAAGTTCGAAAAAAGATAGAATAACTAAATGCTATGCTAGCTCACAGCATTATTGCTCAAGAGGAATAATGCTCTTGTACTTTAGAGTAGGTAACTACCCTAGTTTTTCATCTAGAGTTGCTGCATATGTATATTCCTCTTTCTCTGTGTGTGTGTGTGTGTGTGTGTGTGTGTGTGTGTGTGTGTGTTCATGGAATGGCTGGAATCTGTTTAATCTCCTAAATAGATTGAGCACATACACAGCAAGAGCATTCAGACTATAGGCTTTTCGTCAAGGACACGATTCTCTTTCTAATGCATATTTGGGACTGACAGACAGAATTACTGAGGATCAGCAGTCATGGGGAGAAAAGGAAAAACAAGTGAAATGGTAGATTGAAATGGTGTTTAAGGGCCAGTTTCTCTGCATGTGCTCCCTCTACAGAAAGGGTCCTAGGGGCTGTGGGGAAATAGGCGGCCTCCGGGCTGTGAGCTAATGCGGCACCACTGCTGTTTGCATAGCTGCACAGCCCTAGGAGAGACCTGGGAAAGCTAGCTTGAATTCCAATGAATATTTACAATTACACTGCTCCGTAGCAGAATGCAATCATAGTGCTCCAGTCTACAGGTTTTATGCATCAAAAGAAAATGAGAGGAGAGCAGCAAAAATGGAGTTGCCTTTGGAGAGACTTACAAACACAGATCTCACTGCTGTGGCAGAACTAAAATGCTTTATTTCTGATAAGAGCAATTTATTCTTCAGGCATCTTCCTTGATAGTAGAAAGCACCTGACTGGGTTTTGAAGTGAGAAAGTCTTCAGTAGATGGTTTTTAATTCTGAGCAAGAGAAAGGCATGGAAGGAATTTTATTGCGTAATTATGATTTTGTTTTCTAACAGCAGACCCTAGAGAGGGGTGGGAAAATCCCCAAGCCTGTTCACAAACTCCCTCTTCTTTCAGTTTGTGTTTTCATTCTGTTCTCACAGATTGTCATTGCTTCATTGGGTAGCCCTGGGAAAAGCTGCCACCATTTTGTATCCCTAATTTAAAGCCTTTGGGTAATTGATTACCAGTAAGGCATGCAATCCCCTTGCTCATTTTTTTCTCATGAGCTGTTGATCCATACCAAAGATCCGGAGAGAGCCAGATGGGAAAAATTAGTCAGAGCCACTTGGACCCAGTGAGGCAATTCTTAACTTTTAGAGGTGCCAGAGTAGATGAAATGGAATGTTTTAAAAGGACTCCACCAGAATCTGGTTTTGGACTCAGCTGACTAATCTCTCTGACTATTAAGAGTTATACTGGATTACTATTTGCTAGCAGCCTGGGTTGCTGCACTAAGTAGAAGCCCTGTCTGCTACCCATCCGTACTTTTACCTATCATCAGCCCATTCCCTTCCATCAAGATGTCCACCTGATGCCACTGTCTACCATCCACCTCCCTGCCTGTTGACCTGTCCCACCACTAATCCATGCATCTTTTCACATATCCATAAATCAACTTGCTTGTACATATCCAAGCTTGAAGCAGAGGCAGGCAGGAGTCAAGAACCTATATTTGACCTATATATGACTAGGCATTGGCAGATCAGAGAATGCATTCTTCCTTCTCTGATTGTATCTTCTCAGATTCTCAGTGGGTTGTAGATGCAGTGGAATTATCAAACCAGGGGCTGGGAAAAGGGGAGGCTTTAGGTCTCCATGACCTCCATCAACTTTCTGCTATTCTTTGTTGTACATGAATCATGTGTTCTCAGTCATACATAATTGCTATGCAAGCACAGCTTCAGGGTGTTCCTCCTGCCAACTGGATCACTGCCTCTAAATCCCTTCTTCAAGGAAATTCTGTATCCTCTAAAGTTATTTAGTAAGTCTTATGGTATACAAAACACATATGGCCTATGAGTTTGCAGTACACGAGTAGATATTTGTTGTAAAAACCCATGGATGTGGTATTACTTAGTGCAGGACAAATAATCACCTTAAACTAATGTGATTGCTTGTTCTTTACTCTTATGGTCAAAGAAGTATTACACTTTAATACCTAGTGATGCCAGGAGGCTAGGCATTTGTTCCAATATGGCTGCTCCTGTTGAAAACATTTGGGTCTCCTCTTCTGGAAGTGCCCATTAAAAATCTAAAAGTAGGCAAAGGACTTGAACAGACATTTTTTCCAAAGACAATCTACAAATGGGGCTGGGCGCTGTGGCTCTTGCCTGTAATCACAGCACTTTAGGAGGCCAAGGTGGGTGGATTACTTGAGCCTAGGAGTTTGAGACCAGCCTGGGCAACATGGCAAAACTCCTTCTCAATTAAAATTTTATGAAATCTTTTAATAACAAAAAGGATATACAAATGGCCAACGAGCACATGAAAACATGCTTAACATCATTAATCATTAGGGAAATGCAAGTCAAAACCATGAAATACCACTTTACATCCAGTAGGATGGCCACATTTTTTAAATGAAAAATAATAGGTGTTTGTGAAGATATGGAGAAATTAGAACCCTCATACATTGCTGGTGTAATGTAAAATGGTATAGCTGCTGTGAAAAACAGTTTGGTGGTTCTTTAAAAAGGTAAATATAGAATCACCATATGCCGCAGCAATTCCACTGTTAGGTATATGCACAAAAGTATTGAAAACAGGTGCTCAAACAAGGACTTGTAAATGAATGTTCATATCAGAACTATTCACAATAACCAAAAGACATTTGGAGCAACCCGTATGCCCTTCAACAGATGAATGGATGAACAAAATGTGGTACATACATACAATGAAATGATTTTAAAAGGATTGCTACATGCTACAAAATTAATGTACCTTGAAACCATTCTGCTAAGAAGTCAGTCACAAAGTACCACCTATTATATAGTTCTGTTTATATGAAATGTCTAGAATAGGCAAATCTATAGAAAGTAGATTAGTGGTTGCTTAGGGCGGGGTTGAGGAAAGAGGAGGTTGTGAAAAGTAGGGACATAATGGCTAAAGGATGTAGGGTTTCTTTCTATGGTGATGAAAATATTTTTAAGTTGCCTGTAGTAATGGTTGCGCATATCTGTGCCTATACTAAAAACCATTGAATTGTACACTTTAAATGGGTGGATTAGATGGTATGTGAATTAATTTTCAATAAAGCTGTTTTATTTTTTAAAGCAGGTTGTAAACAATACTTGTAAATAGTATTAACTCATTAGTTTATGGTCCTAGCCAATATTTTTAAGTAACAAATAATATTATCCAGCTTGTTGACTTACTTATTTTAGAAGTTTGATCCCAAATGACATTTAGCTATTTTTAGAAATCTACTTTGAAGTGGTAAATATTTGCCACCAATGATAATATTCACAATAAAGGCAAGAGGTGATGAGAGAACTGTCCAGAGAAGAGTTCCCAAAATTTTCACTTGTATCCGTGAAATAAATGGGTCATCTCATGACTTCAGAAAGGGCAACTCTCATTTGGAGCTAAAAATTCTGGTATGTTAAAAAAAAACATAGTCACACTTCATCATATATCTATGTATACTTTGGTATACACATATAATTGGTATATACTTCTACATTTACACATATAATTTAGTATATACATATAATAAGTAAATCTATGTGTGTGTGTGGCCAATTTTTGATTTGTAACAGGGCAAGTAGAAAGAAATGGAAGCGAGACTTTTTTTCTATTCTTTCAATGAATGTTTATTGGGCATTTAATAAAGGGTATAAAAATCTTAAGACACATTTGTCAGGAAAACCCCTTATCCAATTAAACAGAGGTAGTGCAGATTTTTGGTAAACTCCAGACTAGAGTTAGAGGCCAAATAATTCATTAGTGCTTAAGAGCAGAGAATATTTTGTAAGATAGTCGAGACAGGTGTTCCCCTGGAGAAATTCCCTGGCAAATATTTTTTAAAGCTTCTAAAAGGGCATTTGACCACCAGAATATCCGAAGGTGGTATAACTAATTGTCTTGGCAAGAACTTATGTACTGTTGCTATTTACCTACGGAGAAGAATCCATCTTCGGTTCTTCCCGTAGTTTCAAGCCCTCCAACAGTAAGTACCGAATAATTTTTGTTAAAATGGTTCCTGTTGGCCCTATCAGCTGATGACAACTGCATAATCATACAACAGGAGAGGGTGTTATAGGTATTGGTGGCTTCTTTGAAATACTGTCCACTGTACTAATGAGCTCTGGGTAAAAAGAGTCACTCATGTATTTGTATAGAATTATTTTAGGTTTTTGTCATTTTTCCTTCTGCTAAAAATGTACTAAGTAAGTCATAATAACTAGCTAACTAATTGCCTCCCCCACTGATGTCCAACTTCTATAGCAACTGGGTTTGAGTGGAAACTTAGCCAGAAAATGATTTTTGTGAACTTAAGTGAAACTCTAATGATACCACCACATAAGAGAAAAACTGCTGCCATCATATAAAAAAAGTTAACGCAGAGCAGATTGATATCTAACAGAGGCCTTTTCAACCCTGCAGGCAATGGTGTTTTCAAAAGTTTGCAAGCTGACCATTCTATCTGGTATTGTTTGAATGTTCAGATGTGCCCCAGAAGGATAGATAACATTTTTTTTTCTAACCTTGAAATAGACACTCAATGGAAATGGGAAATAATGAGATTTGCCTGTACATTTCTACTAATATATCAGTCCTCACTAATGGTCGCTATATCCAAGATTTCATTCCTTAGTCAACTTGAATCCCTAACAATCCACCTTCCACAATTATTAGTTTTATTGATGATACTTCAGCATTTATTGTTTTGGGAAAAAAATTGTTATTTATTTACAGAGTTAAAAGCTACTTGGATTCCTACCTCTGGGTAGCTACTGGTCAGTCACATTACCTTTCTATGTTTATGTATGCATTTATAAAATAGGTATAAAATGCACACAACTGGACCTAGAGGAATATGGGAAACAACATTTGTTGCAAACATACCACATGTCAGACATTGTACTTGGTATTTTACAGACATGATCCCATTTTAATCCTCAAAATAATTGTGCCCAGTTAATGAGATTACCGTATTACAGACAACAAAATAGGAATTCAGAAAGTCACTCAACCTGTGACTATTGTCAAATGATGGTACAAGGATTCAAACCTAAGTGGAAAGCTAAGGTCCGTATAATGTTTAAGGTCCTTGTAATTTTTAAGGTCTTGCGTGCACGCCCACTCCATACACCTTATGTCTTGGATCTCAATTCCTATTATCTCTTCTTCACTATCCTCCAACCCTGCAAGCCTACTCCCACCTCAGGGCCTTTGCACTGGCTGTTCCTTCAGCCTGAAACCCCTTCCCCACATGTCTAAATGATGTATTCCCTCACCTTCTCAGGTCTTTGCTCCAATGTCACCTTCTTAGTGAGACTTCTGATCATCCTATTTAAAACCACAACCTACAACCCACTCCCCACTCCCAATCATTCTTACCCCAATCTGTTTTCTTTTCCTGTAGCATTTATCACCCTCTAATGCTATTTTTATTGTCTGCTCCTCTTGCTAGAATGTATGCTCCACCAAGACATCGATTTTTGTCTGTTTTGTTCTTGATGTTCCTTAGCTACTAGAACTGTGCCTAGCACATAGTATGGGGTCATTAAGTGTTGACTGAATAAGTGAAAGACTCAATTGATTCCAAAGCTGTGCTCTTTCCTCAATGGCCCCAGTAATGAGCTTCTAGAGATTTTCATTTTAAACATTATTAATCTGAATCTCTCCTTCTGCTCTCTGACTTTCTCCTTTCACCAAACAATGGGAAGAAACCCTCCCCTCAACTACCTGGCTGGTGTTTATGTTATTGAGGGTCATGGTTAAGGATCAGAGTATGCAGGATATTATTTGTCTCATATCCGTGAGGGTCTCTGTTGTGTTTGGGGCTGTGAGAAGATGACCAGGGGTCCTGTGTATACAAAGGCTAGATGTGACATGCTTCTAGTTACCTAGCAAGGGGACTGTCAGCTCTTCTAGCCATCCCACAAGCAGGGTGAGTGAAGCCCTGGTGCTGGCCAGCATGGACACTGGAGCTGCAGGGGAAGGCAAGGAGCTCATTCCTCCCCTGTCTTCTTAAAGCCTCCTAGGCCTAAAGACAAGATCCATGCTGTACGTGGCATTTGCAGTCTTGGAGGATGCAAAATAACTCTGAGCTTGGATTATATTTCTAGATGGTTACAGTTCAGAATTTCATAACAGTCATCAGGCTTACTGGATTTTGTGCTTTGCTTTCACTGTTGGATATTTGTTGAAATTCAATGTGGAACTAATTCATCTTTGAAAGCCATCTTAAACTTTCTAATAACCCATAAGCCTGTTGGAAGAAAGGCAATGATAGAAAAGAGGCTCTTGGCCGGGCGTGGTGGCTCATGCCTGTAATCCCACCACTTTGGGAGGCCAAGGCGGGTGAATCATGAGGTCAGGAGTTCGAGACCAGCCTGGCCAACATGGTGAAACCCCGTCTCTACTAAAAATACAAAAAATTAGCTGGGCGTGGTGGCAGGTGCCTGTGATCCCAGCTACTCGGGAGGCTGAGGCAGGAGAATCAGTTGAACCCGGGAGGCAGAGGTTGCAGTGAGCCGAGATAGCGCCAGTGCACTCCATCCTGGACAACAGAGTGCGACTCCATCTCAAAAAAAGATAAAGAAAAGAGGTTCTTATCATTTCCTTGGTGTCATTCTTTGTAGGCCTGAAATGAACCCACTTTTTTTTACTTTATTAAAAAATGTGTGTTTTTGGTTGACTCACTGTATAATAAAGGAAAACTGTATAATAAAGGAAACCCAATAAAGTGTTCAATACAGACATACATCAATGTGCAAGCTACCTATCTCCTTTCAGGCTTTTTTCAACGTGTACGTGTGTGCACATATATACTAGAAGAAAAGTTGTTGAGGAAGTTGTTATTTCTGAATCATAGGATTCAGGGTATTTTTATTTTCTTTTTAAAAAATGTTTCCAAAATCCACCCACCCATTTGTACACTGATACTCTATTTACATGTCTGCATATTTTTCATTTTTTACAGCAAATGTGTATTACTTTGTAACCATGCAATCAACTTTCTCAGTAATGTTTATAATTTTTATATCATTTTCTTTGAAAATCTACAGGTTTCCCCTATATTCATTATGTTGCTTTGAGTCTGTTTGCTTTTTTTGAATCCCTACCATAAAACTAAAAGCAATGAAAGTATTTTACTAATTAAAAGACACTTTTTGATTCATGCTAAAAAATACATTTAAAAAAATCATGAAACTGTTTGTTCAATGACTTGTCAGGAAAGATTGGTAGCCTTCTCTATGACAGGATAGGACAATATTTATAAACCAACAACTGAAATGCAGAATTATCTTCTGCCTTTGGTTAATACTGTCCTGCCATTCCATATTGCCATCCATGATAATATTGGGGAGCCATAGATGGAATACTCCATAGTCATTGGGAAGAATGGGGTAAATCAGCACACTTACTGACTGGAAGAGATGCTCATGAAACACCCTGAAATAGAAGAAAAAGTTACAAATCAGGATTAACTCTGCTCACATGTTCTTAAGAAATTGTTTTGTATATGTGTTTGTAAACAGACAGAAATCCAAAAGGACATACAGCAAATTGCTCATAGTGATTTTTGCTTAGGAGTAGAATTGGCAAAGATGTTGGTTTTTAAATTATCCTGCATTTTTGAAATGTTAAAAATAAAATGGTGTTCATATTTTAAATATGTCCATTTACTCCATTTTTCTAAGCATTCCTTTCTAAGATTCCAACAACTATTGATTGATGCATGATTTCTTTCTTTTTTTTTTTTTTTTTTTTTTTTGCGATGGAGTCTCGCTGTGTCACCCAGGCTGGAGTGCAGTGGTGTGATCTTGGCTCAGTGCAACCTCTGCCTCCCGGGTTCAAACGATTCTCCTGCCTGAGCCTCCTGAGCAACTGGGACTACAGGTGCCCGCCACCACGCCCAGGTATTTTTTTTTTTTGTATTTTTAGTAGAGACGGGGTTTCACCATGTCAGCCAGGATGGTCTCAATCTCCTGACCTCGTAATTCACCTGCCTAAGCCTCTCAACGTGTTGGGATTACAGGCGTGAGACACTGCACCCGGCCTGATGCATGATTTCTTTCCCCCGAACTCAGACATCAGATCAAGGTCACTGTTATCTTCCCAAGAACGTGTAAAGTGCCTGACATACAGTAGGTGCCAGTAAATAATTATTGAATGAAAGAATAAACATATCAAAATGGTATCTACTTTTTAAAGGTTAAAAAAAACTAACAAATTTTTCTTTACAATTTGAGAAAAAAATTCTTGTTTCCTGGAGAGCTAATGAAAGGAAACACACATTCACACATACAATACTTTTTTTTTTTTTCAAACTTTGGGGAATGGATCCATAGTAAATACTCCTCCCCATACATTCGCCTGCTTCACGATTTTTTATTTTTTAATATATTATCAAAAGTCCTGAGGTGACATCTCAACTTCTTCTCTACTCAACTTACAGGCAGAGAAAACAAAAGCTCAGCTGGAAGACACTGAAATGGAGGCACCTACTTTCAAGCCCAGACTTTAAGAGAGGTAAACCACATATCTAATCCTTCTTAATAGATTCCAGAAAGAACATCGATGAAACTTCTCTTGATCTTTTTTTTTTTCTTACACAAATTTAATACTTTGATCGCTTACAACCAAAAAGCAGTATTTAAAGAAACAGCACAGGTCACTTTTATTATATACAGCTCTGTTAGCAAGATACTACCTTGAGTAGCTGTTTAAAGGGATCACACTTCAAAAGGTAATTGACCTAAATTCTTCCTGCTCTGCACTCGGTGAGTCTTCCCCATGTGCAGCCCTCCCATGGATCTCACACATGGAAGAGATACAGTGAGGTCCTGGGGAGCATGAGAATCTAGGTCACTGTGATTAAAACTAATTCAAACATTATTTTAATGGCTGTGTTTAGTTTGCTGAAAATTCTCAACTTCATTGGGCGCCTAAAAGCTGACAGCCCCACTCTGGAATGAACCAGAAGTTGATTTATGGAGAAGAACACTCTAAAATGATCACACCTGTTCTGATCCCATCTGGTTGGGATATGCTGAAATGGAATTATGTGTTTCTACTTTCAAAGTATTTGTTTTGGTCTGAATCATTAACAAAATTATAAAACACACAAATCTCAAAGAAGAAACTGTGCTCTGGCCAGTTGTCCTATGAGTAGCCTAATACTACCTAATTTCTTTTGTTCATCTCAAAGAGATTTTTTTTTGGCAGATATTCACTGATTCAGTCACATTCTCTGGTAATTTTCCTATCCCAGGTCCATATCATTGCTTTGCCCCAATGATATAAAGTGTTTTAACTTGTAAGTTTAAGCGACAGCTGGTAGTCATATTCTTAGGATAATTGTTCAATTGGTTAAAGTTCTTTAGAACTTACTGGAACACTGATTTAAAGTTTTAAGTGTCCAACACACTTCCTAGTTGTAGAAATCCTGTCAGCGCCAACTAATCATTGTTCCAAACAACTTTGGAACAAAACAAAATCAACAAACATCTTTGGTACACGATCTTCCTGGAGTGTTTTTATGGCTTTCTCCCATTATTTTGGAAAATAATATTGTTGCTATCACTTTAGAACACTTCCAGAAGCCGACTTGGCCTTGAAGTTCTGACTCATTTATAAGACCATGTGTTACAAATCACAGCTTTCTGTTCGATACTTGGCAGACCGAGGCAGATGTTTGGTTGGAAAAATTGTTCTGTTACCTGAAGTAGTGTGTTAGCAAAGAAAAATCTGCAAACCAAATTTCTAACTAATATTCATGTTTCTGATATGTGTCATCATATGAGTAAGTGTCCTCCTTGTGTGTTCCCCAAACAAAAACATAGCCATTGCCCTTTAAATTCTAAAATTAAACAGGATAAAAATAAAGAGATATACATAAAATCTCTGATACATAAAAAGGGAAATGGCTGGGGAAAGGAAACAAAAATTAAGCTCTTTGTATCCCAAGATTATATGAATATGAGCAAAAACCCATATGAAGTCACTTAATAATGAGGTCAAGAATGCCGAATAATTTAACATACCCTTGGATCCTGATTTGTGATTGTCCAAAACTAATATTTCACAAGCCACATTGCACCTTGTCACTGAATCCTATTTCACCCTCAAGATAATGTCCAAGTATTAATGGACCCAATTTGGTGGAAATTACCTAATTGGCTGCAGTCACTTCAACTTGAATGTGACATTTTGGGATGTTCTGTAGTCACAAGGATAAGTTAGAAGCTTGGGCAGCAGACTTGCTCTTTGTGATAATTGTAGCTGAAGCTTGTGTTATCACTGAAGCTTATTATTTTGCAAGTTGTACACTCAGCTTTTTGTAAAAATTGTACTCTAAGGAAAAATCCCTGAGGATGCTGCTTTTCTCTCCTGGTTTTTCTAAAACCTCCAGATGAAAATGACCAAAGAAAATGCTCTGTGATTGCATTTAAGCACACTTAACTACATGCCACCTTATAAAATATCTTAGTATCATGCATTAGACAGAGATCCTTAAGTCTCTGTGTTCTTTACCTTGTGTGATTATTCAGTTAACTAAATTACTGCTAGCAAATGGCATTAATGAAGGGCATTCCTTCTATCCTGGGGAAATTGTGTACCTCTTCATCGGACAGGTAAATGGGGAGTAAGAAGTCAGCTTCCTGCTTTCATCGTCGCCTGCCCCATTTTGTGTCAGAGCATTTTGCTTGTGAAAACAGTAAGCTCATTCCTGAACAGTAGGAGGGTATCAAACAGTGGGCATCTTTCTCTTGTTAGTAAAACTTTTTATTTCTATACTGCTTTATAGTTTCAGGAGGATATTCCTTCCCTCTCTCCCTCTCTTTCTTCCTTCCTTGTATATTTAGAGTAAATAAGATGGTCCATGCCCTTTGCTAGGCACTGAAGATAAAAAGAGAAATAAATATAGTCTCTGCCCTCAATAAGCTTCCTCGTTAAGAAGGGGAGAGAGAATAATAACCAGTCAATCATTATCCTATACAGCGAGCGTTCTAACCATGTGTACTACAGGAAATACTGAGAAGACAGGAAGCCTCACAGAGAAAGTAACCTTGTGGCCAGATCTTGAAAGATGAACAGGTGTTTACAGCTGGAGAAAGAGGAGTGATGAGAGGGGACTGGGGAAGTTGTCACCTCAAGCAGAAGGGACAGCAGGTGTGAGGACATTAAGGCACGAAATACGTGACTGAAATGGCAGGTGAGGCCAGATCACAAAGGACCTATGTGCCTTGTCCAGGTGTCTGGAATTTGTCATATGGCGCTTTCATTTCAGCTGTTCCTCACAGTAGCCTGAGGAGTCTGATGTTATCCAACAGCAAACCAGTGTCCTGAGAAATAGAGGACCTAGGCTGTAGTAGGATTCTGCCACCTACTACCACTTGTCAACTTGAGGCAAGTCACCAGGCCTCTTTGAGCTTAGAACACACATCACCTATTTATCACTTCTCTATGCAACAGTAATTTAATATTAATGCTATTGTCCTTTCAGCAACTGTCTGTTACCATATACTGTTAATGTACTTTTCTTAGGCACTGGGTGCTATTAGCCGATGAGAGTGAATCTGGCAAACTGTAATCTCCTCCCTCCCCAGTGCGCATAATGCACCATTCTGCAACCACTCTTACCCAATGAGTATGCTCCCACACTATCCAGAGTAGACTGTCTTTTGCAGTGGTGGTGTTTATTCTGCCATGATCTCTCTTTCTGCCATTTATTTTTGTCCCGAGAAGCAGTTTTGATCCATAATGGCTAACAAAAGATGGTCAAGCACTGGTGCTGGAGCAAAGAAATAGAGAGTGTCATGCTGGGTGTTCAAATACAAGTGTAATATCAGCTCAAGTGAAGTTCAAGGAAATGGTTGGAGAGAGAGAGTGAAGGAGAGAGAGAGGGAGAAGCCATCAGCAGAGAGTTAAAGAGCAGTGGCAGTGTGACTTGGGAAGGGCACCGTACAGACCGGGGCATCCTGGGAGCACTGCACTACACCTGTGACAGCAGGCTGGGAGAAAATTTGGCTGGAGAGAAGCCATGAACTCGGGGAACCTGGAGGGAACAGATTAGCCATCGTCAGCCATTGCCATGATTCTGAAAACATGTCTCTGTAGGGTCTGTGTTTTCAGGACCATATGCAGCACGAATTCAGGCAGTGCACCCTTTTCTGAAAAGAGTGCAACCCCTGTGCAAACCATGGGGAATTCATGGTTTACTAAACTACAGCGTTTAAGAGCATGGGCTCTGTAGCCAGGCCATCTGGGTTTGAAGCCCAGCTTTACCATTTACCAGCTGTACCACCTTGGATATTGAACCTCACGGCATCTCAGTTCCCCCACCTGTAAAATGGAAGTAGCAGTACTATCTACCAACCAGGGTAGTTGAGATAATAGAATACTTGTAAAGTGCTTAGAATAGTGCCTAGCACATGTTAAATGCTCAAAAATATTAGTTATAATTGTTTTTATTATTATAACTGCTGTTATTGTTATTTAGTTTTCTGTCTATAAAATGAGGAGAATTGATTAAATAATCCCTGAGATCCCCCCCAGTGCTAACATTACCTGAACTCATTAATCCCTTTAGCCCTAGGAGAAAACTGCAACTCTGAGGAATTGACTGCCCCCACCAGGATTACACGGGGAGTAAGGAGTAAATGCAAAACTGGAACTGGAACCCAAGTCAGTTGCCCGACTCTCATGCCCCCCATGCTCTCTTGCGTGCCCAAAACTGACCAGAGCATCACGCAGCGGGGCCCCTTGCTCCCTAACCTCTTGCACCCTTGGAGTGGCAGAGTTTCAGGCCAGCTCTGGTTTTTGTTTTGTTTTTTAACCCCTTCCATTCTTCTGTGAATCAAGAAGGGAAGTGGCTAGCCTGGGGAGTGAAAGGGATTTGTTGCACTGGAAGAAATAAAATTTAGCCTAACTTTAATAAACTAAAGAATATTTCTCCCAGCATTTACAGCTCAAGCATCTTCTGTTGGTCCCCATACCAGTAGGAGATTTGGTCATCCTTTTGGAGAAAGTGAAAGGATTTTCCACCCAGTTTTGGAGGAAAAGAAATCTTTAGATGTGGCCCTTTGTCTTAACCACCCATTGCTCTTGTTTTATGTGGCTGGAATCTCAGTCATACTTGTTTCCTTTCTGGTGCAATTATGGCAATTCTTCAAGGACCCAGTAGAACCTGAGAAAGCAGGGAGAGGGGAGAAGAAGGAGAGGGGACGTATTTTCAACAAACTGACCTATCCTTTATCCTTTAGTGTCAATTTTGGCAATATTTGCATCTATATTCTTTTCTACACATTTACAACCCACTTACACATAACAGGGACTCTGGTCTCTAGCTACTGGGAATGAAGCTTTCCTCTTTTGTTTATTATCTCTCTTTTTTTTCTTGTCTGTGTCCATTTCAATATTAGAATAATCATTACCCTCAATAGCTAAAATATCTGTGCAGGGTTTGTTTTTTTAATAAGTATTTTTCATTTGACTGAACCGATTTCATCAAAGGAGGTTAATGTGATCACTTTAATTTGCAAAATGCCTTCCTCTTTTTATTTCTTCTGCATTTGATTTTGAGCACACGTTTAATTGTTTTTGAGGGTTTGTGTTTCAGCCTCAGCTGGACATGCAGAATAGGCTCTAGACAGTCTCAGAATTTCATTATGACCAAGGAACCACTATTCTATAAACACTGAAAATTGGAAATTATCTCTAGAGCTGTTTGTTAACGAAGTCGAAGGCTAACCTTTAGGGCTCATTAAAATTCCACTGATGAAAACTCTCGTGCAGGTCAGTCCCTCTTTCAGGAATCTATCCCTGTGTTACGAGTGCTGGTGTGCGGAAATCAGTCTGGACCCTCCCCTTTGCCCTCCCCTTTAATCTCTTGGTCTGGTTTAGGCAGAGATCTTTAAAGCTTATAGATTCTCTTTCTCCCTACTCAGAGTATGTGTTGTGAATCCAAACAAACATGAGTAGGTCTCTGAATGTGTAACTGTGACTGAGCCACTTGGACTGGCAGTCCTGCTGAATCTCCCTTCCTCCATCAATAAAGGAACAGAGTTATTGATACTGGGGATAATTAAGAGGGGCAAAAAGAGGGGTACATTTTCTGTACCTGACAGTAGAAATAAACATGGAGGCAGAGGCAAGAAATGACAAATCTCCAATTTACACCAGTATACAAGTACACTGCACAATTGGTGGAATGCAATGAGTTGTTTTAATGAATCTATTTGCAAATGACAGTTAAAATACAGCCATTCTTTTCCAGAGATCCCTGCATGGTGACAGTGGCCACTCTCCTGTCCTGCTGGCAGATGAAACCTCCCAAATCCTCCCAAAGTGCTGCAGCATCCACGTGCAGAAGGGTATTTGCATTCACTTGGTGCCTCATTGTAAGGAAGGACACCATTGACAGCACATAACATCACTATTATTATTGCTAAACAGATGGAAAATAATTGTTTATGGAATTTGTGTTTTAATCGCATTAATGTCTTTGGCAGGAAGATCCACCTAAGTACACAATTCAAAGCCTGCCTTTGATCTGGGCCCCTTGGGGGCATTTTCCATGACTGATAAAATGCTCCTCTGAGTTCATAGGCAAATGATGAAAATGATAAAAAGACAAAAGTCAGGCACCAACCTCCCATTTGGATATTTTGTCTCCTTGGAGAATCACAAGCTCACCAGGCTTGCAGTCATGCTGACGATACAACACATCTCACCCTGTTATACCCACCCAGGGCTCAATATGAACGCCTTCGTCGCTCTCCTCCCTTCTTTTCCAGTTCCCTCCTCCCCTTTGCACACAAACACACACATGCTTGATGCAAGAATTCATGTGCTCTCTCTTTTCAAAGATTCTTACTGCCTTTTTATATGGGCCAGTTTAGATGCTTATAAAGTATTTCTCAATAATAGCCCTTACACATATTTTCCCCTTTCATCCATCACGCATTTCTTGGTTAGCATTATATTGTGACAAGATAGAAATCAAAAGCATTGCTTTTAATGAAAATGAACGTTCTAGTTCGGAAACAGTTTGTCTTCTAAATATTCTGCCATAAATCAGGCTGAGTGCAGTGTAATCAAGACCAAACCCTGAAAACTTGACAATTTCCCTCTTACCAAGACCCAAAGGACAGAAGCTAATGTAGAAATTTTGATAGCTAGTGAAAAAGAAAAGGTTCTATAGATTTTTGTCTCACAAGCACAATCCCCATCTTTTCTTCTCCTGAGAAGGTTAATTAGATACTTTCCTTTACTCTTAGAATAAAGAGAACTAAGGAGGTTTTAAATTCATAAATGTATTTTTTTGTTTATTTGTTTGGTGTATTTTTCCCTCTCATTCTTTCTCCTCTGCAGAACACAACTAGTAAATGATTGGATCTTTGACAGAACAAAGGTATTTTTGATGGGCTCTGTAATCTAGTGCGCTAATGCGCCCAGTCCCCTCATTGTCTTGCTGTCTGATCCCATCCCTTCTGCCAGACAGTCACTGCGGGATGAGTCACTTTTAATGTCTGATAATCAAGGTGAATTTTCAAAAAGCTGCCATTTTGGAATTATGCACTATATCACGGTGTCAGGGAGGAGAAGAGAAGGAAGGATGAAGGGAAGGCTAAGATAGACACCTACTGCACATTGAGAGAACTGCAGGACACAACCAGCACCGTGCCAGACAAGATGTGTCCGGAGGGTCCAAGTCGATCAAGGCATACATAATGAGAAGGAGACTATGTTAATTATAAATTAAAAATAACTTCTATGATAATGAAGATTATATGCACAGGAGGAAATGTCTTAGTTAAAACAGACTGGAGGGATGCAATTAAACACCAGCCATTTGGGGGTATGAATTCTGTACCTACTGAATATATTGTGGTCCATTAAATAACCTAATACAAACTTACATTTGAAAAAGAATAGAAGTGAACTGTGGCTGTCTCCATGGATGCTGAATTGTCTGCCATCCTTATTTAAAGCAACACAAGCGAAGGGATGTTACTTAGTAGATGAAAACAGCCTTCCTTCAACTAGGGAGACTGGTTATTTCTGGAATCATTTAAAGAACTGAACCCACCCCCATGAAGTAGAGAGGGAGATACTGGAAACCCTCGGTAAACAAAGGCCAATCAAATATTCTTGCAAGGCTTTGGCTGTTCAAATATATGGCAGTCAGTGTCTTCTCTAAGGTAATTAACTGAACCCACTGTTAGGTATGATGGCTTTGAAATTTTTTTAATTATTGGCATTATATTAAATAGTAGGGTAGCTGAAGGAAAATGACATAATATGAGAATAGCCTGCTACTTTTGTTTATTATTCAGAGAAGTGAACACCTATAAATAGAACCAGGATGTTTTGACTAGGGAAATGCTATCCTCATTACAGCTGGGAGATGCTGGAGTGATTTAAAGCCAAAGCTTCAAAGCTTTGTCCTGCTGTATAAAAGCATGAGGGTTTTCATGGCTGTTTCAGTGGTCGGTGAGAGCCTGCAGGTGCTTTATCTGTCCTGGAGGAGGGAGGAGAGCCATTTCTGAGAGTGCTATTTTGTAACCATGATGAGTACTTACATATTCCTCCAAGAGGTATTTAAATACCTACATATCTTCTTTAACATAAGTTATGTTTACAGATTATTACACCTTCATATTGTCTACCAAGGTTAAGTAGTCCCTCCTCCCCTTAACCCCCTCCACCTGCACCTTTGCCACTCTCTCTCTCTCTCTCTTGCACGCTCTCCCTGTCTCTCTCTCTCTCTCTCTCACACACACACCACCCAACACACAATTGCAAAATAAGGAAAGATAACAGAGTTACTGTGTTACTACTGTCATATTTACATATAAAAAGATTCAAAATATGAAGAATATTTGAGATGGAAAGGACCCCTTAGAGATCTTTTGGTACAGCCCTAATTGTACTGACATAACAGAGAAGTGACTTGTCCTAGGACACTCAGCCGGAGAACAGCAGATGCCAGGCTGGCATGCTTTCTGCCACAGCATGCTGTCTTCCCATTAAAAGAATTAAGCCTCTACAGCTTGGCTGCACCATGATTCAAGCACAGATGTCACAATGAAAAAATAAAAACCTAAGGAAGAGATAAGAATCATATGCACTTTCAACCATGATACAAAGGAATAAAATAGAATATGGTATGAAATTAAGGAAACCAAAATGCTAACGAACATCTATCTTAACAAAATGATCTGCCTAGTCAGGAATTCTATTAGAAGGCAGAATTGTCCTACTTTTAGTAGAGACGTTTGGAATTAGCCAAGAAAGCAAGCGCTGCTTGCAAAAATCACAATGCTTTATTTCTGTCTATATATTTTCATCTGAAACATTAGAATAATTTGGTCATATTCAAGTATGTAGTCGTTGAGATTCTGACTAAGCTCTGCAAACTAGTAACCATGTTAAGTTACTAGAAAGAAACCAGCATTTCCTTTTATTCCTGTAGAATCTAGGTCTTTAGCAGGTACAGCCTCCTTGTTCTCTGCGCCACAGTCTACCTGATATGACCTGTTAGGTATTTTTGCATCTATAACTTGTATTTACCTCCTGATATGTCCTCCCTCCTATTGGACTAATCTCTAGCTGAAATGTTCTGTGCATTTTTATTAAAATATTTCCCTGGTGCTTAAGGAACCTGAGGTTCTGGGTAAGAAACCCCTAAACCCTCGAGTATATCTCCTATTTTAATATTAAACCTCATGGGTTTTCTTCACAAACACCTAATGACAACAGGAACATTCTTTTTTTTTTTTTTTTCTTTTTTTTTTTTTTTGTACATGGAGTCTCTCTCTGTCACCAGGCTGGAGTGCAGTGGTGCAATCTTGGCTCACTGCAACCTCCGCCTCCTGGGTTTAAGCGATTCTCGTGCCTCCCGAGTAGCTGGGATTACAGGCACATGCCACCACACCCAGCTAATTTTTGTATCTTTAGTAGAGACGGGGTTTCACCATGTTGGCCAGGATGGTCTCGATCTCCTGACCTTGTGATCCACCCGCCTCGGCCTCCCAAAGTGCTGGGATTAGAGGTGCAAGCCACTGCGCCCAGCCAACAGGAACATTCTTGGAGGCACTAGATGATAGTAATGATAAACCAGACATGATTGTAAACCAAATAGGACCTCTCAGTAGCTGTACTTTTCCTTCTAAAAAAGGTTTAAAGAAAGGCCCACACTAGGAATTAAACGGTAAAAAAGAAAATGCATATAAATTGAGAATGTGTTTTATTTAGCATCGCAGAGAATTTTGGGGTAGATAAAGGAATGGATCAAAAGATTATGTATCATGTAAAAAGCCTTAACAAAATATGTGGTGATCAACAGACAATGGAAGGGTTACAAAAGAACAAACTGATTCCTTCAAGTCTCAAAACAAATGGCCTTTCATAGTCTTCCTGATCCTACTTTTTGCTTCTGAGGAAGAAAAAATTGAAGAATATATGTGTGGCTGGTGGGGTAAACATGGAAACATGTTATCGTTGTTTTTGCTTAGAGAGCCATCAGGAGTCTTAATGAGATTTCAGTTTCAATGGTACTATTAGGAAAAAAGTTTCTCAATCTCAGCACTAATAACATTTGGGGCTAGACAATTCTTGTTTTGATTTTTTCCTTACTTTTTGCAAAATCCCTTTTCCTGTTTTTTTGTTTTTTTGGGTATATTTTATTATGCAGCACCCTCTTCATAGAATTGACAGGATAATTATTTGCTGAGGGGAGGCAGAGGAGGGGCTGTCCTATGCATTTTAGGATGTTTAGCACCATCCCTGGCCCCTACCCACTAGATGTCAGTAACGCCCACCCCACCAAGCTGTGACAATTAAAATGTCTCTAGACATTGCTCCATGGGGAGCAAGATCACCTCTGGTTGAAAACCACTAGACTAGAGTGAATGGTTGTTATTTTAGAAAATAGGCTTGGTTGTCCCATGTTTTGGAGACAATCTTTATCTATGCAATAAAGCCTGTGTTTCTGAAAATATGCTCAAAACATAGCAGGTACTTTATGGTTCCTGATATTGCCTGTGAATAGGTCCTTCCACAGAAGTCTGAAAGCTCAAGATATATAATTAAGTCTAAAGGGAAGCATGTTTCAAAAAGAAGTGAGCAATTGATTACTGACATATAGACTATAAGGAACTTAAACAAATTTACAAGAAAAAAATCCCATTAAAAAGTGGGCAAAGGACGTGAACAGGCACTTTTCAAAAGAAGGCATACATGCATACATGCAGCCAACAATTACATGATAAAAAGTCAACATTGCTGATCATTAGAGAAATGCAAATCAAAACCACAGTGAGATACCATTTCACACCAGTCAGAATGCCTATTATTAAAAAGTCAAAAAATAACAGATGCTGGCAAGGTTGTGGAGAAAAAGGAACACTATACCCTGTTGGTGGAAGTGTAAATTAGTTCAACCATTGTGGAAAGCAGTATGGCAACTCCTCAAAGACCTAAAAACAGAACCACCATTCAACTTTGCAATCCCATTACTGGGTATATACCCAAAGGAATATATATAAATCATTCTATCACAAAGACACATGCACACATATGTTCATTGCAGCACTATCCACAATAGCAAAGACATGGCATCAACTTAAATGTCCATCAATGATAGACTGGATAAACAAAATGTGATACATATACACCATAGAATACTATGCAGCCATAAAAAAGAATGAGATTGTGTCCTTTGCAGGAGCATGGATGGAGCTAGAGGCCATTATCCTTAGGAAACTAATACAGGAACAGAAAACCAAATACCACATGTTCTCACTTATAAGTGGGATCTAAATGATGAGAACACATGGACACATAGAGGGGAACAATAAACACTGGGGCCTATTAGAGGGTGGAGGGTGAGAGGAGGGAGAGGATCAGGAAAAATAACTAAGGAGTAGTAGGCTTCATACCTGGGTGACAAAATAATCTGTAGAACAAACCCCCATAACACAAGTTTACCTATACAACAAACCTGCACATGTACCCCTAAATTTAAAATGAAAGTTTTTTTAAAAAAAAGACATATAGAGTTGGCTAGGATCAAGTAGATACAAAACGACATTTTTGTAAGAGATTTAATGCCAAAAAAATTTTTTAAAAAGAAATTGAAGACCTAAATAAATGGAAAGACATCCCATGGTCGTGGATTAGAACACTTCATCTTGTTAAGATTTCAACCCTCCTCCAAAGAGCCAGCACCTAGAATTTTTTTTTAATGTGACTATTTGAGACAAAGATGGCCTGGAACCCCCAGTCTTCTATGGAAAGCAGGCCAAACCCTAGTGGAAAGCATTTTTTTCAGTGCCTTTCTTAGATATGGCCAAGGAGGATAATGAGAAGAAATTACCTCCCTGAGCTATGGACAGCAGCAATATAGGAAGCTTTCCCCAGAGAGCAGAACCAGAACCTAACCAAATAACGTTCCTCCTATCTCTAGGGGTCTCTTCCCATGTCATCCCACAAAGAATTTAGAGTTGGCTGTGAATCAGTGTCTGCTCAATGATTTTCCTTCTTTCTCCTTCTAAGCGGGAGTATTTATGGTAGTTACCCTGTCCCTCTCCCACTACATGTTGGGCATGTGGGAACAGGTAACTTGGCTTTAGTTCATAAATCTGGATCAAGAGGAGTCATGTGAGATCCAGTGTTTTGAGTTTGAAATGTGATTGAATAAGACTTTGGGACTTCTTTAGAGAAGTGATGAAAGTATTTTGCATATAAAAGGGGGGAACAAATATTTATTACTAAAAGAGCCAAGTGTGGTAGATTTTATTACTCTTCTCAATTATTTGCTCCCCTTTCCTGTGAAAGTACTATACATATCACTTATTTTCATTTTATTTTCAGCACCTATCCATATGAGATGACTGTCTCTTTGACATCAAGCTTGGTAAGACTTTCTTTTGCCAGTGAAATGTGGATATAAGTGAGGTGTACAACTTGCCAGCAGAAGCTTACACAGCCATGTTATGGTTTGATCATCGTTTTGTTTTGTTTTGTTTTTCCCCCAAAGTGGGGGTTTCAGTCACTTTGTCCAACTGAAAACATTTAGTGGGTACTGCCAAATCAATTCAGAGATTACAGCAGAAGGAATGATGGCCTTAATCTTGATCATGTCTTGGGTGTGGGGCTTTTAAAAAAAATGAGCCTTATTACTAAAGGCATTTCTCAATTTTATCTTTTGCTGGTTGGAAATTAAAAATAGTTACATTTTTCAATCCCACTTACAAACTAGCAAGTTCCTTTGAGCTCTCTCTTTCTTGTAGTACCTTGTTAAATGTAGCGAACAGAAACTAAGACACACTAGTAACATTTTGTTTCCTATCCTCTTCACTTAAGTTTACAAGTTCATTAAGTACATGATCTGCCTTCCTGGAAAAACCAGACTTAAACAATGCAACTTTTGAATTCAAAAACAGAGAAATAGCAGAATAAGCATTTGACAAAATCTAATACCCATTCATGATAAAAACAGTCAACAAACTAGGAATAGTAGAAAAATTCCTCAACCCAAAAAAACAGCATTTACAAAAACCCCAAAATTAATATCGTATTTAGTGGTGAAAGACTAAATGCATTCCCCCTAAGATCAGGAACAAGAGAAAACATCTACTCTCATCATTTCTATTCAGCCTTGTATTGGAGATCTAGTGATGATAATGAGGCAAGAAAAACAATTAAAAGCTTCCAGATTGGAAAGGAAGAAGGGATACTCACTTTGTTTTTAGATGGCATGATCTTGAATGTAGAAAATCTTAAGCAATCCATATAAAAGCAACTCTTACAACTAGTGAACAAGTTCAGCAGTGTTGCACGACACAAGATCAATAGGCAAAAAATCAATTGTATTTCTATACAGTAGCAATAAACAATCCAAAAATGAAATTAAGAAAACAATTCCATTTATAATAGTATTTTTTTTAAACTTGGGAATAAATTTAATAAAAGAGGTTCAAGACTTGTAACTGAAAACTGCAAATCATTTTGAAAGAAATTAAAGACCTAAATAAATGGTCATGGATTGGAAGACAGCTGTCAAGATGACCGTATTTCCCAAAGTGATCTACAGATTCAACACAATCCCTATCAAAATCCCAGGTGCTTGATTTCAGAAATTGATATGCTGATACTAATATGCATACAGAAATGCAAAAAAAAAAAAAAGAATGGCCAAAACAGTGATGAAAAATAGGATTGTTAGAGACCTCTCACTTTCTTATTTCCAAACTACTACAAAGTTATAGTAATTAAGACAGTGTGGTAATGGCATAAAGATAGAAAATAGTAGATAAATGAAATAGAATTGAGAATCCAGAAGTGTCCCCTTATGTTATAGTCAATTGATTTTCAAAAGTTGTGGTATGACAATTCAATGAGGAAAGAATAGTCTGATCAACAAATGGGGCTGGAAAAACTGGATATTCATGTGCAAAAGGTACACCATACACAAAAATTAACTCAAAATCGATCATAGACATAAATGTAAGAAATAAAACTATAAAAATCTCAGAAGAAAACATAGGAGCAAATCCTGACCCTGGGTTAGGCAATGGTTTCTTAGTTATGACACCAAAAGCATGAGCAACAAAAGAAAAATAGACAAATTGGACATCAAAATTAAAAACTTTTGTGCTTCAAAGTACGCCATCAAGAAGGTGAAAGTACAACCCACAGAATGGGATAAAATATTTGCAAATAATCTATCTGATAAATAACTTGTATCCAGAGTACATGAAGAACTATTACGACTCAACAATAAAAAGACAAGTAATTCAATTTTTAAATGGGCAAAGGACTTGAATAAAAATTTATCCAGTGAAGATATCCAAATGGTCAATAAGCACATAAAAACATGCTCAGTATCATTAGTCATTAGGGAAATAAAAATCAAAACAACAAAGTTGTCAGTGGGTCAGTTCAGGTTCTTGACTTCATGACACAAAGTCATGAGAGTGAGTTCAAAGTAAAATAGGCAAAGAAGTTTATTGCAAAGCAAAAGTACACTTGATAGCAGGCTGCTCGAGAATAAGACAGCCCCATGTGACACTGGGGAAATTCCCTTTATAGGAAGCTTATATAATTATTCGTAAGAGGGTGGGGTTGGACGTTGCTGTTAAGCATGTTGCAGGTAGTCTCCTGGGTGCACATGCCAGTTGCTGTACGTGCTGTGTACATCACATGTCTCATTAGCATCTTAATTCTCTAACCAAGGGTGTGTTTTTTACTATCATAATGAGAATAGGTCAACTCGGGGACACTAATCCTGAGTTTCTGTGTTTGTACGAATTTGGGGATTGTCCCTTCTGCTCATTGTCCTCCTTGCTGCAGGCTGTTTTAATCACAAGTCCCAGATAGTTTGTGCACTGTCGGATGATTTGTTCTCTCCATCTGTTTGGCAAGTTTGTTCCCCTTTAAGGGAAGCTATGACAACAAATGCTGGTTAAGAGAACCTTCATACATTGCTGGTGGGATTCTAAAATGGTGCAGTCACTTTGGAAAATAGTGTAACACTTTCTCAACATGTTAAATATATAGGGACCAAATGACCAGTAATTCCACTCCTAGGTTTAAAACCAGGAAAATTGAAAACATATGTCCACACAAGAACTTGCACAGGAAACCTCATAGCAAAATTATTTATAGTAGCCAAAAGTGGAAAAAGCCCAAATGTCAATCAACTGATGAACAGACAAAATATGGTTTGCCCATACAATGGAATATTATTTGGCCATCAAAAAGAATGAAATACTGACACCTGTTAACAACATGGATAAGCCTTGAAAACATCATGCTAAGTGAAAGAAGCCAGACACAAAAGCCACATATTGTATGATTCCCATGATGTGAAATGTTTAGCATAGGCATATCCATGGAGGTAGAAAATAAAGTAATGGTTTCCAGGGGCTGAGGGAAGGAGGGAATGACGAATGACTGCCGATAGGTATAAGATTTCTTTAGGGGTGATAAAAATATTCTAAAGTCAGATAGTGGTGATAGTTACACAGCTCTGTACACGTTGTGTACATGTACCACAAATCATTGAATTGTATACTTTAAAGGGTTGAATTCTGTGGCATGTGAATTATATCTCAATAAAGTTGTTATAAAAACAGAAATAATGAAGGACAATAGTATTGGTAATTATTCTTATTAGTTACCAACCCATCACAAAGATGCTGTGTTCCATTCAATCTGTTCAAAGCATTTATCTGTTGCATATTTGTTCAGAGGATCTAAATGTGTCCAAGCCCAACAAAGATGTAGGATGACCATCTCTTCTGAAGATTTAAGCCAAGTAGAATTCATTCTTTTCATCCATTATTATTTGCCTTTTTGTGGATCCCTCAGTACTCACTCAGAATGGTTATTTCTTAAAGACTCGATTTTACTTGAATAAGAGCTTTACTAGGTGGTTTGGATTAGGGCTAGGGGTGTTGGTATGTGTACATATAATTTTTGGTGGAAGGTAATTGTCCTAATGAAGAGTTTTTAACCTATCCCTTACTATTGGGGGGGTTCAAGTGCATACTGGACTACAGGTAAATTAAACCTTAGTTTTCCCTTTAGCAACTTATAGAAATGATTTACCTTAACATTTTGAGAGTCATTTTTACCAATATAAATGGCTTTGTAAGTTTTTATGTTTTCTGACAATTCTGACAGAGTTAATCACTGTCTCATCTGTATATCAATATCTTGTATAAATTCCTGTTTCTGCCTATCTCCTACCATTTTGCAATCATTTGTATACATGTCTGCCTCTGACACCAGACTATAAAAATGGAGACAGTGTTTTATTAACTTTGCATCCCTAACACTTAGAACATGTTCAGTGCATGTTTGCTGACCAGAACTCCCACTTCCATAGGATTTGTTTTTCACTGCTTAAAGGCTGTCTCCCTGAAGTCTTCACTCCTCCAACCTCTTCATGTCAGTCCCCTCAAATTGAAGTTTGATCTATAAGTTAATACTTATCCTCTTCATGCACTATATCCATTTCCTTATTTCTAAAGTTACTACTAACCATTATTTCACCATTGGCTATAATGAGAAACAGCCCATGACAGTCATGTTAAATGTGTCTTCTAATGGGGTTTCAAGCCACAGTATGAGGACAGCTTATCTGTAAACAAGATTTTAAGTGGTAAGAAATAAATACCTCTGTTCATTCTTTCTTTTGACTATCCCTGCTTTACCAACATTTCTTAGCCTTTTTAACCTAAAACAATAGTGGGTCTGAGAAGCTGAGATCTTCCTTCTGATGTTTAAGCACAGACTATGCATGTCTTTTCCAGAGAGAGACAGCTGCCCTTGTGTTTAGAATAAGGACAGCAAGAAGCCTGCATATAGCTTGTGCTTGACAGATATTTATTGTTCAGCAAAACCTGCCCCATCACTAGAGTTTCTATCACTGTGGCTATCAGCCTCTCAAATCAGACATCATGATAATTGATTGAGATCTGAAAGGCATGGAGGGACATTCTTTATAGTTGATTGAAAAATCCATCACTAAACAATACAGTGAACATTATAGTCACAGCTTATATATTCTCTAATGAGGGCTTTTAATCCACACAACCATTGTTTTTCTAGAGATTGACTTGGAGCTCACTAGTTTGATAGGTATTTTCTCACGAAATGGTGTCAACTTGGCGTGACCAGAGATTGAAGTTCTCCAAGACCCAAATAGCCAAAATGTTTCCATCTTTGAAGGAAAAATCCAAGCATATCAGATGACAAATGGGTGTCTTCCCAAAAGTATATCTTTGTGAGGAAAATTTTTCCCACCTATCTTTAATAAATGCTTTAAAACAGTGCTATTCAAAGTGAGGTCAATGGACCAGTTTGTTACTGGTTTGTAATAAAACACATATAAAAATTAAGAATGAACACTTAGAAAATTTTGCAGCAGCATGACAGAGTAATTATATATCTGTGCAATCCTCATCATTAAATACAGGCCTTGTATTTTATATTTCTTTGATATTTTATTTTTTAAGATTAACTTTATTGTGTTTTACAAAAATATTAGTCCATAATGTTTGGATATGTTTTAAAAACTGATCTTTAGCTCACACAGTTTGAGAATCACTAATCTAAAACACCATGTCTCATCTCTATTTGTTTGCTAGTCATGTTTGCCTTATTCCAATTTTCAGGCTTCATCCCATTTTATACTCACTGCCATTTTCTCTAAACATGGGAAACTTAGACTGTTTTCCCTTTAACCTTCAGGCAGTGGATGTGTCAAAGGTTTGAGGCACTGGTAGCTTCATCTAAAGCCCGTCATATTTGGGGTTCGTTGTGGTCATGAAACTGAAAAAGCCTCCTTTTAGAGACTGTAGTAATGTATGTGTCATTTTGAGAGGAGAAAAGGTTGTTACTGTTGGTTGTGACTTTGGTTCCTGGAATTATCAAGCTATAATAGGCTTTCGTAAATGATCCTCTGCCTGCCACGTTCACAAAGACCATGTGGCCCTCAAGACACTGGAGAACTTCACCTTAATCCTCTGTGCCCTTCCAGTGCTACCCCCACATCATCTCTGCACAATCCAATCAATGTCGGTTCTCCATGAGTATTATTTAAAGTGAACTGATATATCATTCATTGTTATATTTCATTTGATTCTCAAGCCAAGCAGTCAACCTGTCTCCAGGAGAACTATGTTTAACTGATTATGTCTTAACCTATGACCTCATATTTTTTAAAGAACACGATTTGAAGACATTGATATCTATTGCCGTTTACAGCTCTTTTTCATCCAGATTGATTATATGCTTATGACAGGAATATGAGTGATGGAATGGAGGGAGCAAGACCAGAATCAGGGAGACCAGTTGGGAGGTCACTGTGTTAATCCAGGCAAGAAATAATGAAGAGCTGATCCAAGGTAGCGACAGCTGAGGAGGAGAAGGGATGGGTGTGAATGATATCTAGGTGTTAGAACATCAGGATTTGGTGACTACTTAGATGTGGGGTTGAGAAGAGGGAAGTGTTGATCATGACTCCCAAGTGTTTGGCTTGGGGTAACAAAATGGGTGATGATGATATGGGAAGTTACAGCAGGAAGAGCAAATTTGGACAGAAATAGTTGGGAGTGGGGATGGATCCAGCTTTGAGCGTGCTGAGTTTGCCATACCTGGACCATCTAGGCAGTTGGTCCATCTAGGCAGATGAGTCAACTCAGGAGAAAGTTCTGGGCTAGAGATTTGGATTTTTGAAGTCATGGGCATATGAGTAATTAAAACCATAGGATTGAGTGTAATAATTTAAAGTGTCTTAGAGTCATCTCAACCTATTCAATTTCCCTTTAAATGTAAGATTTTTATAGTTGTGATTTCTCTATCTTCCATGTGACAAAATGGGATAACCTGGTTATATCCTAATGGTTTGTGTATGAACACTATGGGATCTTATGAAAAGGGAAGACAATCAGAGAGGTCAGTTTAAATATTTCCTAAACTTGGAACTCTATTATCCTAGTGCCTAGCTCTCCTCCTTACCAGTCAGTAAAAGCACACAAATGAATGTGTTAGGATTCTACGTGTGTTGGCCCATTTGATTCAACTCAATCATCACATGCTCCCCTAAGAGGTATTGGTAAACCCATTTACAGATGAGAAAATAGGTTCGGAGAAATTACGTGTATGGAAAGTGACTAAAGTCACCAGCCTTCAGCGGTGTGTACCTCCAGCCCTCTGGTAATATGTGCTGCTGGACAGTAACATTTTCTAGGGCCCTACTTTGTACTGGTCACCTCAAGCACTGGTACCTCTGTTTAGCTCTGTTTATCTCAAATCAGGCACCGCAAAAAAAATAGCCAATTTTTATGGTTCAAATATTGGCTTCTTCAGCTGCATTCCCAAACACAAATAGCAAACCCTAATGGACACAGGAGAGACAGTTGTCTTTCAAATAAATGTCTTATAATTTTCTGCAATAAATCTTACCAAGAGTGCATCAAGAAGCCTAGACAGAGGACATGAGCAGACATTTATGAAAAGAAGGCATACACACAGGCAACAAGCATATGAAAAAATACTCAATGTCACTAATCATTAGAGAAAGGCAAATCTAAATCACAGTGAGATACCATCTCACACCAGTCAGAATGCCTATTATTAAAAAGAAAAAAGAAAAAAAAATATTGGTGAGGTTGTGGAGAAAAAGGAATGCTTATGCACTGCTGTGGGAATGTAAATTAGTTCAGCCCTTGTGGAAAGCAGTTTGGCAATTTCTCGAAGAACTTAAAACAGAACTACCGTTCAACCCAGCAATCTCGTTACTGGTTACATACCCAAAGGAATATAAATTGTTCTACCATAAAGACACATGCACACTTATGTTCATCACAGCACTATTCACAATAGCAAAGATATGCAATCAACCTAAATGCCCATCAACAGTGGACTGGATTTTAAAAAGTGTGGTACATATATACCATGGAATATTATGCAGCCGTAAATAAGAATGAGATAATATACTTGACAGCAACATGGATGGAGCTAGAGGCCATTATCCTAAGCACACTAACATAGGAACAGAAAACCAAATACTGCATGTTCTCACTTATAAGTGAGAGCTAAACACTGAAAACACATGGACATAAAGAAGGGAACAATAGACATTGGGCTTACTTGAGGCTAGAGGGTGGGAAGAGAATGAGGATCATTCTCTACCAATGGGGTACTGTGCTTATTACGGGTGATAAAATAATCTGTACACCAAAGCCCCATGCCACCCAGTTTACTCATGTAACAATCCTGCACATGTACCCCCGAACCTAAAATAAAGTTGGAAAGTAAAAAAAAAAAAAAAAAGTAATATATAAAGAGTATACAAGAAAAATATTGTACTCATCTGTAGAGAAGTAAGGGAAAAAATATACAAGAAAGAAAAGAAGCCTAAAAGTGGTCATCCTTTTGACCCAGTAATCTGCTTCTGCAAAACTATCCTAAAGAAATAGAGAGGCACCCCAAATTTATTCATAAGTTTGTAGATTTAACAAATAGTTTTGGTGAGCATTTAGCAGTACCAGACGTTATGCTGGGGACTGGGAATACAGCTGTCAATGAGATGCAGTCTGTGTCCTGTAAGAGCTCACAGTTCAGCTCTGTGTTCCCCACAGTGATGGAGAACTTGACCAGGTATCCTAGAAACGGGAGAAGAGTGTCTCAGCAGGCTGGAGCAGGGATGGCTTCCTGGGTGAAGTGATGTGCAGATGGAGTCCATTGTAGGTGTTAGCCTTGGGAAGATGGGAGTTAAGAACATTCCAGGCAAAAGCAACAACATAACAAAATCGTAAGGGAATAAACTGCATCGGGGTCTTTCAGGAACGAGCAGTTTGGAGGTATCGTACACGATACTCAGAACCTTCCTTTCACCCAGTAGGCCAAAATTCCTCCCAGTGTGTTCAGAGTAGCCTTAGCATTCCTCAGAAATGCTTTAGGGGCCTATGTCAACGACGGTGGGAGAAGGGCTGGGAATTGGTCCAGGCTCGAACCCCACCCCTGCCACAACCCAAGTTGCCTGGGAAGTTTTCCTTAAGATGTTTAACAAAAGGCTTCCACTTCTGAAAAGAAAGTTTGAAAACCTTTGATGGGGAGCTACAGATTTCAAGCACAGGAGTAAGCATAACAGATACATATTTCAGGTAGGTTACCATGGGGGCTACGGGGAAGATATTTCACTTGGCGTTTAGGTGTTTACTTATAACTGGAAACAACCTAAATGTCCAATAATAAGAATGTGATAACATAATAACAATAAATAGCTACCATTTATGAAGTGCTCATTGTGTGGGGGCACAATGCTAAGTACATATATATGCCACATCATTTAACCTTGATAGAAACCACATGTGGTGAATATTATCAATATTTTGCAGATGTGAGGACTGAGGCTTAATGAGGATTAGTAGCTGGTTTTGTATCACCTAGCTGTTAGAGGGGTGGGATTGGAATTCTATGCCACGTCTCTCTGACTCTTAAGGGCATACCATTCTGCCTCCTGAGCAATGATAAATCCACATGGAAGAATGTTATACGGCCCTTTGAAATCATATTTTCAAAGACTTTAATAATATGGGGAAATATCAATAGAATAATGTCAATTTTTTTAATTCAAGTACAAAAATATAGAATCATCCCAATTTTATTAATCATGCTAAAATGTTAAAAATATTTATCACTAGATGATGAACTGTAGGTAGTTTTAATTTTCTTTCTTACACTTTTCTTCCAAATGTTCTAGAATAAGCATGTGTCCCTTTAATCATTGGAAGCATAACAAAAAGTTATAAAAAGGATTCAAGGTGAATTGCTGTCATCAGTCATTCTCACCCTAGACTCAAGAGGAAGGATCAGCTCTTTAACACATCTTTCAGAATAACAGTGCAGACTATCCTGTGTGCAAAATGTAAGGGGAATCAGCATGCTAATTATTAGCCATATAACCTTGAAGTTAACGTCTCTGAATCTCAGTTTCTTTTCCTATTAAATGCGGACATTAAGCTAAGTAGTCTTTACAATTCCTAAAAACACTAAATTTTATAGGCTTTTTTTTTTCTACAAATGAAATCAGGCAGAGGGGCATAAAAGAAACATATTAAATTCTTCTTGGTTTAGTTACATTTTCATGAGCATTTAGGGAGGGTGGGTTTTTTATTAGGTCTCAGCTATTTGGTAATATGGTAATATGCTCAGATTCATTTGACATCCAAGCAATGCCAGGTACTTTCATAAAATTTTTTCTCATCTCATCTTCGCTAAAACCTTTTTAGGTGAGCATTAT
This sequence comes from Homo sapiens, assembly GCF_000001405.40. NCBI lineage: Eukaryota > Metazoa > Chordata > Mammalia > Primates > Hominidae > Homo > Homo sapiens. The sequence goes on along the minus strand of NC_000016.10, from coordinate 72,226,865 downwards.
TATGCTCATTTTTGCTGATGGAGATCAAGGGGTTAAGGAACTGACAAAAGGTCTCTCTTGACATGTTGTGGCGAGACTGAAATCCAAATGCTTCTTTGCGAATCTCTAGAATATTGTTAGTTCAGATGTGGAATTGTTGTTTGTTTGTTTGTTTGTTTTATCATTTCAACCACCTTATGTACCGGTTATCAAATAAAATACAGTTTCTGCCCTCAAATATTTTTTGTTCTAAGAGAGAGACAAAATTCTTACAAAGAAACAATTCTGAAATTAAAATTAAAAATGATATATAATGGAGACAAATGGAAGCTTTTGGCAATGTGTCTGTATCCTTTAGTGAGAAGCAAATAAAAGGACATTATTATGAAATTGAAATGGGGGCAGAAACAGTCACTTGTCATTAGTGTCAGGGTCATTTTAATGAAAATTAACCCCGGAAATGCTTGACTAAGCAGTGGAAGCCTACGCACCACTTGGACCTTGACAGAACCAGGGCAGTTAAATCTTTCCTACCTGCACATTAGCTTAAGAGAATAAATCAGTCCAAAGCTACTGGCCATGCTAATTGCTCTAATTATTATCACTGGAAAGGCTAGATAATACCTATGAGGTATTGAAAGATAACCACAGCCCAGAATAATCTAGTAACCAAAGAATTCCCAGAGGAATACTCAGACACTGCTCACAAAGCCTGGGCCAGTTGGATTGGATAACAAAGCGTACAAATATGTAGCTTGACAGAGAGGATGGATTCCATAGCATAGGGTATAGTCTTCAGCTGGGGATGACCATGTTCAGTGGGAATAAAGTGCTCATAGGAAGAACTGGGTAGGGAATCTCAGAAAGTAGTGTTTGGTAGCTTAGAGATGCTTTGGCTTCTGAAGACTGTTGCTCAGTGTGTGTGTGTGTGTGTGTGTGTGTGTGTGTGTGTCTGTGAGTGTGCATGCATGTGTGTGTGGATGTACATGCACATGTGATGTCAGGTATAAGAATTAACCAATTTTTCATCTGTGACCTAGATTGATTTCTTCAAATGTGACTACACACCTAGCATCTATGGGCTATGTGAAAAGGATTATGTCGAAATAAGAGCTTCTAGGATTTTGTGAGGCTTTATTATTATTATTATTATTATTATTATTATTATTATTATTATAAACAGTCTCATTCTGTCATCCCGGCTGGAGTGGAGGGGCATGATCATAGCTCACTGTAACCTTGAACTCCCAGGTTCAAGTGATCCTCCCACCTCAGCCTCCTGAGTAGCTGAAACTTTAGGCATGCACCACCACACCTGGCTAGTTTTTTGTTTTGTTTTGTTTTTGTAGAGACCCCGTGTAAAGACATGGGGTCTTGCTGTGTTACCCAGGCTGGTCTTGAATTTCTGGGCTCAAGTGATCCTCCCGCCTTGGCCTCCCTAACTGCTGGGATTATAGGCATAAGCCACTGTGCCGGGCCAGTGGGGTCTATTGACTTCTTTATTTCCCTGCTGTCCTGAGATAAAAGAGTGACCTAAGGTGGTAAGCTTGACCTCGGAGACTAAGTGAAACAGGCATCTTGTGCATGACCAGCATGGATGTGCCTTCTGTGCATCATTTGGGGTGTGGGGAGAGCACATGGTTTCTCCTGCTCAGACATTGCTTCTCTGATAGGCTCTTCTTTCAGGTGCTTAAAGAAGTAACTATTCTGAAGTGTTCTAGTTCTTTGAGGAATGCTGATGTATGGATAAAGTATGGTGGAGCAAAGAACACTGGACCAGAAGTTGGGGAGGTCGCCTTAGCTCCACCACTGTGTCTCACCGTTAAATTCATCTACAGGTACCATTAATTCTTCATTATTAAAGATAGAACTACATGCTTGTTTATATAAGTAACTCAGAACAAAAAATGTGTCAAAACACATAAATTTTATTGTTAGTAGAGTATAACTAAATTTAAGAAGCCCTTAATATGTGCAAAGTACAAATTCTGTGTGGGATACAAACAAGGCCTTGTTCATATCTTTAGGGATCCTGGAATCTCGGGAGGTGACAGACCAGTGCACGTATTGCAACCAATTGAGGTGTAAGAGACAATATGAAATTGCTATGAGCAAGTTGATTCAGTCACTCAACAAGTATTCACAGGCACTGTGTGAACTCTAAAAGCAAATTACTTCTCTCTGAGGCAGGCGAGGCAAGGTCACAGAAGCTTTATGGAACTGAGCATTTGGGCTGGTGTTTGAAGAAGAGGTTAAAATTTGTCAGGCAGAGCAGAAGGGAGGCAGGTGTGACAAAGGTCATGTGGGAGTCAAAGGCGTGGGAAAGTATAGGGTGTGCTTGGGAAATAGTGAGTGGTTGGGTTGGGCAAGAATCAAAAATGTGTAATTAGAAAAGGAGATAGGGAGAGATAGGCCTGAAAAGATCAATTGTGGCCAGATTCCAGGTGACAACGTTGAGAAGCTTGAACTTTATTCTGTAGACATCAAAGTCTTGGGGCACAGAAGTCACGTGGTTTCATCTATGCTGTAAGACAATCTGGCAGTCAACGGAGTAGAGGAGAGACTGGAGGAGGGAAACTCAGGAAGAGGCTCTCGCAAGAGCTCAGACAAGAAAGAGCCAAACTAGGGTGGAGTGGGATGGAAAAGAGAGATGGATATAGAGGACATGGAGGATGAAGAATTCACAGAACATGACACCGATTTGGACATGAGGCCAAGGAGAGGACAGAGTTGCTGATGAAACTTCTCAAGTGTTGCCATCAGCAGCCCAGCCCTGGACAAATTTTTGAAATAGGTTGGCTTTATTTTTATCACTTCAGAGAACTCAGTGCAGTACCTCTCTTCTGCAGACCAGGGTCGTGTCTGTTTACTTCATTTCCAGTGTCAAATCTGTCATCTGGAAAGGGTGTGAAATTCATCCTGAAGGTAAGAATTTGCAATGCTATCCTTCCCAGGTGTTTGCCCTTCAATAGATCTCTGGCCTTTAAGGTATAGATAGGAACCTTTAAGAAGGAAATTTCTATTCTTAGCTAGTAATTTTCCAATGTGTTTCTCTTCATGTATTATATTCCTTTCAGTAAAGCTTGTAGTTTCAGAAGGTAAGTCCTGTAGCCCCATCCTCTGATAGGTTCCTGGTGCCTTTGACCATGCAGCAGCCCTCCTTTGTCATGTCTACTAGTTTTTGTCCTTTTCCTGTTCAGGGTACTCTACTCAGCAGCTCTAGCTTGTTGGCCCTTACTTATGATTTGGGCAGGTGACCTGCTACCTAGGAAGTCTTTTATTCTCATGCTTCATATATTTCAAACTTTGCCTTGGTCCAGCATGGTATTCAAAACACTGAATAATTTTACAGCCCAGCCACTGACTGGTCATAAGGAACACTGAGAACACCAACTGTAAACAACTGTTAGGGCCATATCAGAACAGCCAGCTGAGTACCCACTTGGATATTGGCATCTTCTGGGTTACAAGAGCCTTGCAATTAAGGATGAGCCAACAGACCTGTAATCGGGAACTACACCCAGTCTTTTAAAAACAAGATTAAAACAAAATGAAAAATAAAATGCAATCCACTCACTGTCACTGAATTTCCAAAGATTAGTAATGCCAGTTCACTAATACTGATCCACAACTGTCTCCTAGGCAAGGCAGGAAAGAGCCATGGAAATTCGGTGCTGTGACATACTCCTCAACTTTAACCTTTCTTCCTTGTGCAGGATGGGATTTTTTTCCCCAGTGCCTTTGAGATGTCCTGGAGAACAGGAAGCAAAACTTCCCCCCAGTTCTTGCCCTGCTGCATCCCACTCCCATGCACAGCCTGGGGTAGCATATTCATGACCCAGTGAGGCTGTGTGTCATGACAAGCTGGCTAGCCTTTTATTAATACCCAAGATTATTCACTCCCCTTTTTATTTGAAAGAGCCAAATAATTTTAAATACCACCTATAAGACTGCAGCTGTCCCCAGAAATGGAATTCTGATTGAATTCCTACTGCTCCTTTAAGAGTCAACTTAAATGTCACCTTTAAATAATAACTGCTGACATTTACCCAGAGCTTACTCTAAGCCAGGCACTTTGCTAAGGGCTTCTCATGGATTTCTCATTTCATCTTCAAAAAAGAAAAAAACAAAAACAAAAAACTCCAAGGTAAGTACTAATACTATCCCCATTTTACAGATGTGGAAACTGAGAGATTAAATAACTTACCCAACATCTCATAGCTGGTAAGTGGGAGAGTCGGCAGTCTAACATCTGGGTCCTCAGCACCGTTACATAGCAGGTATTCAACAAATGACCTGAGGGATGGGCACAGTCTTTGTTTCCCTTTGTGCTGTGGTCTCTGCAGTGACCCTCACATTTGCAGTGACTTAACCAGCACCTGTCTTCCCAAACTCAACAAGCCCACTGCTCTATCCCCCCAGACCTGATACCATGCTTGGCATATTGCAAGCATGCAATAAAATATTTGTGGAAATAAGAGATAGAAGGAGGAAGGAGGGAAGAACAAAAAGCCTTTCTAGTTTGAGGCTTGGAAAATACAGTGACCTGAAATGAACTTTGGAATGAAAAGAAGCTGAGGGCTGCACTGATCTTAGGTTTAACATGCCAGGGTTATGCCAGGCATGGTGGTGAGTGCCTTTAACCCAGCTACTTGAGAAGGTGAGGCAGGAAGGTCCCTTGAGACCAGGAATTCAAGACCAGTCTGAGCAACATAGCAAGATCCAGACTCAAAAAAACCCAACCAACCAAACCAAAAAACCCCACCAGGATTGCAACCCCAACTCTGCCACTTACTGGCCACACGACTCCCATGCATATTGCTTTACTTTGAGCTTCAGTTTCAACATCTTGTAAAATGGTTTTCTTTTTTGGAGTTACGAAAATTAAATGAAGTGACACATATACCTGAGCCCGGCAAAGTGCCTGCTACTCAATAACTGTTGTTAAGTGAGAGATACAGGGAAGAGGCTGGCATATTTCACCTCATATAGAGGAACATGTGGTCATCACTGATACATAAAATATTGCAAGAGACCAGTAACTCTTTCGAGTGATTCAACCAAATGACTCTATGTCTAAACATTAAAGTATGACATATGAAGTATCATCAGGAACATCAATTTTATGTCTCAATGCCAGCTTTACTAAGATGTGTAACTGTTTATATTTATAATGCAAATGTATTGCACGATTCCTGGTCAGAAGAGTTTAAACATCTGTTCTTTTCTCTCCCCCTTCATCCTTCCCGAGAGTAGGTACTCCTTCCCCATACTCTCCCTCCAGCACCCTTCATCTGCCTGTCACTTTTCAAAGACAAGCTCCTCAGAATGAAATCTCTGCTGTCTTTGTTTTCCTGGTTTCCATTTTGTATCCTAAAATATTCACTCCAAGTTCCGCTTGACAGACATTCCTAATCTAATCTCCACGTCTGCTTTCTAATTTTCACAGTCAGGATAAAACAAATAGGTTGGAGTTAATTGCCGGAGCAGCGGGCCAGAGCACTGAGCTGTGATTTATGAGCTGAGTGCAGGCGCTCTGCAACACATTTTTCTTAATTTATTTTTAATGAGTCTCTCAATTAATTTTCTTGGAAACATCTTAATGATGTTGGAGGCGGGTGTTAATGAGGTCTGCACCAGCTCCTAATTTTGCATATTTTAAAGTGCCTAATGTCATCATGCACCCTTTCTTTCCATTTTAAGAAGAGATGTCAGGGGTGGCAGGGGGCGAGGATTATTGTTGAATGGAGAATTTTCACTCTTCATGCCTCAGTCTTTGCTTAACCTTTCAGACTTTATGGGCTTTTGGTGTTCTCAGCGCAATCACATACCCCTGCTCTCCTTCCCCACCCTTGCTCTCTCTAGGTTCGCTTAGGCTGAGAAGCTGCAGCAGGAAAGGAAGGGAAAGGGCACAATCCTCAGGAAACTGAGAGTTCTGGGGAGCAGTCAGTGGACCTAGTGAAGATGTCCAGGGGGTACTTTTGCTAGGTTGATCGACCTTTCCCAAAGCAGACAGTGATTAGGGAAAAATGCAACTGGAAGAAACAACTCGAGGGATGTGTTCTTACCATCTGGCCATTTGTTCAGAGCCCTGGGTCCCCTCAATGTGTCTGCAGAGCCTAGGGCACCAGATCCACAGGACTGCAGCACTGTCCACCTTGCATCCTGCAAGGCCTGGAGAAAAATGCAAGGCCGAGTACTGTCTCTGAGCCCTCTCTCATACCTCCTGTCTCCACTAAGTCTTCATCATTCTTCATTCTGTGTTTTCTCGTTGGAGCTCATTTTTCTGATTAAATAGTCATTAAATGTTTATATAGAAAATCTAGGAAATGCAAAAGAATTTATCAAATAGGGGAAAACCAAGCTCTACCACTTAAAGACAACCTCTATTCAAATTATGGTATGTTTCCTTCTAGACATTTTTTTCCTATTCATGGGCTTTTGGTTTTTATTTTATGCATTTGCGATATACTGAATATCCTTTTTTCCATTTAACATTATAACATTAGATAACATACTTCCTTCAAGCATCGTTTTTAATGGCTGTTTAATATTCCATCTAGCAGATGTGTCATAATTTACTAAACCACTCCACTGTAGTTGGGCATCTAAGCTAATTCTCAAACTGTTATTGCAAATACTTTGTGATGAACATCTTTGTACTGAAAGCTTCTTTAAAAAAGTTTGAAGTTAGTTTCTTTGGAATAACCTGAGGATTTGATTTAAAGAGTATAATTCTTTTTAAGGCTCTTGATATATATTTCCAAGTTACTTTTCAAAGAGTTATGCCCGTTCATTTCCAACTGCCATACGTGAGTGTGTCTGTTTCTTCAATCTTGTGATAGTATGGAGTATTATACAATTGTATAAAACATTCGCTAAGCTGGCATTTTAAATGTATTTATTTAATTTCTCCACAAGTCCCCTCTTTGGGTAATGTTTCAGTTAAACTGAAGGCTGCTTTTGCTAAAGAACTTTCTAGGCCATGAACCCTAACATGGCCAAGACCTGGATTCTTCTGGTGCATAGCAGAGTCTAAGCAAATGTGTGTTATATTGACTTATCCACAAAATAGAAAATTGAGGACATTATCTCTCCTTTGACTTCCCTGCTTTCCTCTGTGAAGGCTCTCTGCCCTCATTGCCTTTATGTTGATAATTCCAAACCTGTATCTCATCCCTCTTCTTTTTCTGGAATGCCAGCCTCAAATTTCATACCATCTGGGTGTCCCACCTCCACCTGGATCTGCCAATGACCTATCCGGCTCAGCATTTCCAAAACTGAGTACACATCTCCTCACTCATGTTTTCCATCTGGAGCAAACAGGCCCCCCCGCCCACATTGAGCAGCTCCCGTAGGCACCAGACATCAGTCTTCTGCCGGGCCCCATCCTCACAGGCCCCCGACATATGCACATTCAGTCAGTGAGCAAGTCCTGTGGATATACCTGTCCACGCGCTCCTGGGTGCCTCTTCCCTCCCATCCCTGCCGTCCTGCTTCAGACCCATCTCTCACCTACACTAGTGCAGAAGTTGTCTCCCCACTGTCTTTTGCCTGCTGTCTTTCCCTATGTGCCTTAGCCCTTCACAGTGCCAGGGCACTGTCTTTCTAATACAAGTAAAAAGCCCTACAGCGATTCTCTCCTCCTTGAATAAAGAATACAGTTCACAATCCTCAGTAATACATCATGGTGACTACACAACAATATGTTGTATATTTGAAAATTGCTGAGAGAGTCATTTTAAGTGTTCTCACCACAAAAAAATAAGTATGTGAGGTAATGTATATGTTAAATAACTTGATTTAGCCACTCCACAATGTATACATGTCTCAAAACATCATGTTATATGTCATAAATTGATATTTTTACTTAATTTAAAATAATTACTTAATTAATTTTTTAAAGATCCACAGTACATGATGAGGGGCTTTCATACCATTTGTCCCCTCATGTTTTACACATTTTTCAAACATGCCATGCCCTTTGTTGGGGTTACTTCCTAAGCCTGCGATGCCCTTTTTCCCATACCCCATAGAACAATTGCATGCAACCTTTTCCCTGAAGGTTTATTTACCACTGTGGTTTCAACACACCTGGAATATATTTTGCACATGGTAGATGCCTAGTGAACTTTGGCGAGTGAGCATAGGGATAAGGCATCTGTAGAAATGTGTGTCCTTCAAAGCTGTTACCCACTGTACTTTCTGGAATGTTTTGCACATGAGGTTAGAAGTTGATATTTGAAATTTTAAAGAGCCTTTCAACTTGAGGATTAGATGTTTATATTTAAAATGTTTAAGTATTAGGCCGGGTGCGGTGGCTCACACCTGTAATCCCAGCACTTTGGGAGGCCGAGGCAGGTGGATCATTTGAGGTCAGGAGTTTGAGACCAGCTTGGCCAACATGGCATGGCAGCTGTAAGCCCAGCTACTCAGGAGGCTGAGGTAGGAGAATGGCTTGAACCCAGGGAGTGGAGGTTGCAGTGAGCCAAGACCGCGCCACTGCACTCCAGCCTGGACGACTCAAGTCTCAAAAAAAGAAAAAAAAAAGTTTAAGTATTAAGAATCCTTCAGTCTGGGAAATATAGTTTTTCAAGGCATTTCTGTTTTCTGGTAGATTCCATTGATTTTTTGCTGGACATTCATTAATTTCCATTAAAGGATCTATTGAGTGTCTCCCACTAATTCCTTGTGCTTAGTGTAAGTATTGTCAGAAGGTTCCCTGAGAAAAGAGCACAGATTTTAGCTTTAGGTGCTAATTGATTCAAATAAGATTCTGTATCCAGATGCAGACCTAAATATCTAGTAGTCTTAGAGTTCAAACAGGATCTTGTTCAAACAGCCACTTGTATGGATAAGCAGGAAATACTGTATAGCAGTAGCTACTGTGCATTTCTTCCTGACCCCGTGTTTGGAGGCATCATGTTGATAGTTTGAAATCGACCATGGTGGGGATATTTATACCATGGAAACAGGCAAACACTATAAATCAGAGCTTGACTTATTGTTCTGTTGATTTTCTAGGACGTTTTGTTTTGTTTTGTTTTTGAGACAAACTTTCACTCTTGTTGCCCAGGCTGATCTTGGCTCACTGCAACCTCCACCTCCCGAGTTCAAGCAATTCTCCTGCCTCAGCCTCCCGAGTAGCTGGGATTACAGGTGCCCACCACCACACTCGGCTAATTTTTTGTATTTTTAGTAGAGATGGGGTTTCACCATGTTGGCCAGGCTGGTCTCGAACTCTTGATATCAGGTGATCCACCCGCCTTGGCTTCCCAAAGTGTTGGGATTACAGATGTGAGCCACTGTACCTGGCCTAGAGACTTTTAAAAGTTATGAAGTGTTGTTAATCCAGATTAACTAAAAGCATGTTGTGTCTGTAGCCATTACATTCTGAATAGCACAAAATATTGAGAGAGTATCCTTACAGTGTTTGAAAACTGTTAACTGATTCAGCAAAGAAGTTGCCCTCATTACTGATGAAGAAGTAAATTGTGTCATACATAAAAACAACAAAAGCATTCTGAGAGAATCAATCAGCTATATGGAAATTACAACAGAGTACTGTGTATTTTAAAATGTAATTATAATATTATTAATTATAAATAACTTGCTGTGCAACCCTTATATTAGCAAATTTATCATAAATTCAAGTACATATGCATATGTCTTTTCTGGAGGGTCAGTTGTTAAACCCTTACCAGCATACCCTTCCCTCTTCTTATGCTTCATTGGCCAGAACTCAATCATGTGGCTTCACCTAGATGCACGGACTAGAGAGCAATTAGATTAGCTGTGTGTCCAAGAAAGAGAGAACCACGTATAGGACACACTCATCTCTGCCCAGGGAAAACAACTCAAAGTCCTGTCCAGTCACTTCATTCCAGCTCAGAGTCCGGGGTCTCTGGATGATGCAAAGATCTATCATGTGACTCTTCTTGGCGTGGCACCCAATGAACTAAAAGAAGTTATCTTTCCTCCCTTTCTCGCTTCACTACTACTTATACTGCAGCGAAGCAAGCTGCCTGCAATAATTGCAATTACAAATTCCCTGTCAGAAAAGGAACAAAAAGGGGGTACACTGAAGCCACTCTTAACAAATGCTGGAATCCTATGGGGCAGATCTCTGCTTGTTTCTCTGGGCCTTTGTCATTTATGCTCTGCTGGAAGCAGTAAGTTTTTTCAACCCTTTGACTCTGCAAATGTCTGGACTCTTTGCATTCCCATTTATTTCTGTTTACAAACCTGCTAATTCTCTCCTGAGTTTATCTCCTTAATAGCTTAGCAAAGGCTGCCAATAAAAACCAACACACATTACTAATAGTCTGCTTTCTAGACTCCTCTAGAGCCGCCAACTTGAGAGGAGACCTTATATCTAGTGTGTTACCACAGGTGACAGTTTTACTGCTGCATGTTCTGGTTCTTTTCTTTCCGTCTGCTGCTGATGGTGTCCTTGTCACTCACTGCCTGACCATTAAACCAATGCCACATATTTTTGGTTTTTATTATGGCATTGTTTCACTTCCATTTCTGTATTAATCAAATAGGATAGGCTAAGCTGTGATGACAAAGAAATTCTAGCAGCTTAACACAATAAAATCATTTCTGCCTAATGGAAAGTTCATCCAGATTCTTGTCGTAGGGCAGCTCTCCTCTAAGTAATGATTCTGGGATAGAGGATTCTTCCACCCAGTAGTTCCATGTCCCCTGGGGTTTCCTCAGAGCCCTCAACACTCAGCTGACCAACAAGCAAAGAAAGAGCAAGGAGGCCCACATGGTGTACTTTAGGGGCCGGGCCTGGAAGGGGTATATCCCACCTCCATCCCATGGGCCATTGGCCGGGACTCAGTCACATGATCCCACTTACATGCAAGATAGCATATGTGCTTTGGTAGTGTAGAAAGAAGAGAAAGGAAGAAGAAGAGAGAGATTGGTGAACAGTAGCATCTATATACACCCAAAGGGGGTAAAGGTAGTTAGTATATTTATCCTCTTCCTGACAAAAACAAAGATCTTAAAATGCCTGAACTTCCCTCCTAACTTCTTCCACCCATCTTCCCTATTAGGATTTTCTAGTATTGTAGTTTCACCAACCTTTTGTATGAGCCAAATGAGAGTTTTTTGTTGTTGTTGGGTGGATGAGTGGTTAGTTTTTGTGTGTTTTTACAGGGAGTACTTACTTAATTAGCCAACATGTTTCACCTACTTTGTTCACTGTTGCCTCCTGTGTCCTCTTCTCTTCTGGTATAATTTGCCTTCTTGAAACTATTTCCTCTATTCATTCTTTCTGCAAGGGTCTAAGACAAGTAAACTCTTCATCTTTATATGTCTGGAAATGTCTTATACAACCTCACTTTTGAATTATTATTTAGTTGGGTATAAAATTCAGGGTTGTCAATTATTTTCCCTAAGAATTTTGAAGGTTGTTCTATTATCTTCTGATATGATTATCCTGACCAAAGTTAGCTGTCAGACTAATGGCTATTCTTTTGTAAACAATCTTGTTTGTTTTTTTTTTCTCTCTCTCTCTCTGGAAGCATTTATTACCTTACCTTTCTGTGCTTCACTACACTGTGTCTAGGTCTGGATTTATTTCTCTTTGTTTTGTCATGTTTGGGACTCTGTATGCTTCTTTAATTTAAGGGCTCATGTCCTCCTTCAATTTTGGAACTTCTATTTTCTCAAATATTGGTTCTTCTCCAGTCTCTCAGTTTTCTTTTTCTGGAATTTCTGTTAGACATGCATTGGCAGGTTTCATTCTGGGATTTCTCATTACTTCTCTTTCACATTGTACATTTACCTCACTGTATAGTATTTTTTATTATTTCCTTTGGTCTCTCTTCCAGTTTGCTCATTCTCACTTCAGCCATGTCTAATCTTTTTCACCCACCACTGAAGGTATATCTCAAGGACTGATTTTTATTTCTGGAATTTATAAATTTTTTTCAATGTATATTGGGCCTTTCTTTTTTATGATGCCCTAATCTTACCTTAAGTTTTCCATTCCTTTCATTATCTTTTTGAACCTTTTAGATACATTGCTAAAGTCCCTTTTATATTCCTCTAATTTCCATGAGTTCTTTGATATGATTTCTCCCTTTTGATGTACCTGCTGACATCTCTTATAATGTTGGATTTATTCCTGTGTTTTGTCACATAGTCAATTAGCCTATTTTGCTAGAAGTTATCTTTTGTGGGGTCCTACACATGCTCTGTATTGTGAATGTGTCTTTATTATGCATTTCCATCATTATGCTGGGAACTCTACAGGATTCAAACATTCCAGACCAATTTTTATGACTGTTTCTAGACACTGAATTTCCATAAAGCATGATTAGTAATGGAATTTGGCCTCACATACATTAGGAATACTAATTTCTCATCGTTCCTTCTACCCTGTGCTTGGAGCAGTGGCTCCACGCAGTGGCTCACGCCTGTAATCCCAGCACTTTGGGAAGCTGAGGCGGGTGGATCACAATGTCAGAGGATCGAGACCATCCTGGCTAACGTGGCAAAACCCCGTCTCTACTAAAAATACCAAAAATTAGCCTGTAGTCCCAGTTACTCGGGAGGCTGAGGCAGGAGAATGGTGTGAACCCGGGAGGCAGAGGTTGCAGTGAGCCGAGATTGTGCCACTGCACTCCAGCCTGGGCGATGGAGCAAGACTCCATCTCAAAAAAAAAAAACTTATAATGAAGAACAAGAGACTCCTTTCTACCTGTCCCCCATGTACTGTCCTAGTTCTGCTCTGCAAGGGCAACCACTTTCAACTCTTCTAGCTGTTTCTTCTGATAGTTACCTCCACACTTATACACAACATATTTATACTGGTAATTTTTTTGTGATGTTAAAAATTATTCAGTGACTGCATATTATGATAAATGAGAACATAGTTATCTCATTCCACCTATCACTCCTTGTTTCAGTTATATATTCAATATTTACAACAGGATGATTATGTTAATACTGTTCACTGTGGAGCCAAGTAGTGAACTATGATTGCGTTTTCTTTCCAGTGCAACTTTGGAATTTTCTGTAAGTTTCCATTTGCTGTTTATGTGTAAAATTTGCTACCTACTAATCCTTGATCTCTTCCCCAAAAGATTCCATCATATCAGTTTTCGCTCAACTTTTTTGTATTAGTTATCTATCACTGTGTGACAAATTGTCCCCAAAACATTGCAGCTTAAAACAATGAGTATTTATTATCTTACAATTTCTGTGGGAAAATAACCAGACTTGGATTAGCTGGGTCCTCTAACTCAGGATGTCTCACAAGGATGCGATTAAGGTGTCAGCTAGGACTGTAGTCCTCTCAAAGTTCAACCAGGAGAAGATCTACTTCCAAGCCCACTCCAGTGATTGTTGGCAGGATTAGTTTCTCAAAGGCTTTGGCTAGGCCCTCCCTTGGTTTCTTGTCACATGGGCCTCTCCACAGGGCAGCTCACAACTTGACGGCTGGCTTCATCAGAGCAAGCAAGTGAGAGAGCAGGATGGAAGCCAGAGTCTTTTTAAATCCTCATATTGGAAGGAACACCCTATCATTTTTATCATATTCCATGTATTAGAAGCAAGTCACTAAGTCCAGCTCAAGAGGAGGGGATTATAGAAGAAAGGACTACGGGGAGTCTGAGATCACTAGAAGTCTCTTTAGACAATGCCTACCACACCCTTTCCCCACCCCCCCCCGGGCTCTTGCTGTAATCTGGACCAGTTAATCTCTAGTGAGAGTTTCCTTCACCACTTTCTTAAGTTGATGTCTGTTTCCTGGACCCCATGGTCTCCTTTCTTGGTTTACTGTCTCTCATTTTAGGAGAGCACATCTGTAGCAAGTGCTGTCAGCTAAAGATACTGTGAAGATAAATGTTCTAAGTCTTTTCGAGTCTGAAATGTCGTTATATTGATATTCCCTAACATTTGGACAGATATAAAATTCAAGGCTAAAAATTACTTTCCATCAGAATGTGTAAGGTGTTGCTCCATTTTCTTCTAGCATGAAATACAGCTATTAAGATGTCTGATTTTTCATTCGACTGTAAGTGACCTGTTTTTATCCCCGCTGGAAACTTTCAGGATCTTTTTTTTAACCCCAGATGTTCTGAAATTTTACAGTGATGTAATCGAGTTAAGGCTCAGTCTTCATTTATTGTGCTGGATACCCATTCACCTTTTCAGCCTGAGATTCATGTCCTTACATTTTGGTAATCGTTCTTGTATATTTTCTTTGATAATTTCATGTGTCCGCTTATCTCTTCTCTTTTTCTAGAATTCCTATCAGTTGGATGTTGGACCTGCTAGAACAGGAGTAAGCAAGTTTTTTGGTAAAGGGCCAGAGAGTAAACGTTTCAGGCTTGGTGAGCCACATGTGGTCTGTCACATCTTCTTCCTTTTTTTTTTTTTTTTCCAATACAACCCGTTACAAATTTTAAAAGCACTCATAGCTTAAAGAACACATAGAAACAGGCCACAGGCTGGATTTGGCACATGTACCATTCATTGCCAACCTCTTCTAGACAGGTTTATCCTCTATATATCTTATCTGTTCTCTCTTATTTTCTATTACATCTTGCTATAATTTCTGGGAGATTTTCTTGAAGATGTGGTAGGCATCTTCTAAAGAGACTTCTAGTGATCTCAGACTCCCCGTAGTCCTTTCTTCTATAATCCCCTCCTCTTGAGCTGGACCTTCTAATAAATAAAATATGATAAAAGTGATAGGGTGTTCCTTCCAATATGAGGGTTTAAAAAGACTCTGGCTTCCATCCTGCTTTCTCACTTGTTTGCTTCCTATTTTCTATTACATCTTGCTATAATTTCTGGGAGATTTTCTTGATGTTACCTTCCAACTATTTTACCACTTTTTTTTTAATTTTAGAAAAAAAAATTTTTTGATACAAGGTCTCACTATCTTGCCCAGACTGAAGTGCAGTGGCAGGATCTCAGCTCACTGCAACCTCTGCCTCCCAGGCTCAAGCAGTCCTCCCACTTCAGCCTCTCTAGTAGCTGGGACTACAGGTGCACACCACCATACCCAGCTAATTTTTTTGTATTTTTTGTAGAAACAAGGTTTCACCACATTGCCTACACTGCTCTCGAACTCCTGAGCTCAAGCAGTCTAACCACCTCAGCCTCCCAAATTGCTGGGATTACAGGCATGAGCCACTATGCCGGGCCCTAGAAATTCTATTTTTAAATTCTAAGAATTCTTTCTTATTCTCCAATTGTTCTCTTTGCATAACATCTTCTCAAATCTCTCTAAAGATATGAACTAGAAGGTTTTTTTCTTTTTTAAGTTTATTTTCTGTTCTCTGCATTATTTCTCTTTCTGTTTGTCTATTTTTGTTTCCTTTCATTCAGAGGTTTTCCTCAAAAATCCTTGCCTGTCACTGTATTTAAATGTGAGATTCTAAACAGGGAGCATTTTCTTTGGGAGTGGGAGCAGGACTTGCCAACTAACAGGCTTCACTTTAAGGTTATTAAGTAGAGAATGTTTGTATGGGGAAGTTTAGTCCCTAGGGCCATCTAGTTTATTCAGAGAAGAAACTTCTGGTTTTCTGCCTGGGGGACAGATGCCTTGCCTCTGGTGTTCTGTGCACTGAGTCTGGGAGGTGGGAGGAAGGCCAACTGTTCTGGTCACTGATTTTTATCCAAGCCTTTTGACCATATCACACTCACCACACACAGACCTAAGCCCCCAAGCTCCAAGTCTAGTTTGTTTCATAAGACCTAAGTCCCTATGTTGCCATAGGGCCTGACAAAGACAACTTCTCTGAAAGCACCTAGCACACCCTTAAGTGCATTGTAGAATCTCTTTTCCTTCACCTTCCCTTTACTAATCTGTCCTCTAAGGTGATAAAACCATCCCTTGCCACCCTTCACCAACTGTTAAAGAACTTACCTAGCAAAGAATCCACTTGGCAGGGGACTATTTCTAGCCCCTTCTGGCATATGGAAGATCTTGGTAATCTTGGGCTACAAAAGAGTCGGCTACTGGATCATTTTAGTAAAGGTGGCCATGAGACGAACTTAATGTGTCATTTGTCCTGAGAACCCCTGGCTAGCATCACTCTTACTGTACTAGGGAAGACTTCACCTCAACACTGTGTTTTGCTTTGAGTCAACCACTGGTGACCCAGTAGCCGTGGGAGGGAAATTGCCCCTGTTTTCCTCATAGCCTGTCAGTCTCTATTACATCAGAGAAAGCTGAAAAATTGATTCTTTTTTGTCCCTGTCCAAATGTGGCAGCTGTTTAATTTCAATTAGCAAAGCTTGAAAAAGAATATTATGCCAGGAGTAATTAAAGCAGGAGGGGGTTCCTTGCTCACCTGCACTCCATCCTCCTAATTGGGGATCTGAGGTGTCCCCCAGCAGGACTGTGAAGTTTGGGTTCTGGGGAATTCTGGTGCCTGGGGCTTTGATGTAGCTCTCTCTTCAAACAAGTGACAGGACAGGAAGCATAAGCCTCCAGGAAGGATTCATTTAACTTTTTAAAGTCTAAAAATTAGCTGTACAGATCAGACTTGTCTACACCAAAATGCCAACTTGTTCACTTCAAGCCCTTGCTTTTGCTCTCTATAAGTCATCTGTCTGCTTTCAAAGCTCCTCCTACTCTCCTGCTGGGGAAGGCCAACTCCTTTCTCCTTTATCAAACAAGTATTTGTTCTGGTTGACACATTAAAATCTTTACCAACAAGTGAAGCAACCCCCTACCTGCAACTTCGTAAGTTTCGCTGCATCCGTCAGAGTCCCAGGAGGAAACAGAATTCACTCCTAATGGTACAGGTGGATGGAATTTAAGGAAGGGGCTACTGACAGAGGAATAGACAGGGGTATGAGAACAAGCAAGGAAAGGTGCCCAAAGACTAACAACACCAGGAAGCTGTTACTACCCATAGGGTGAAAGGAACAATGGAAGGACCAGAGCCAGTGAGAGCTGGGGGAACGGCCCAGCAGTGGCTGTAGTCAGAGAAGGATGTGACCTTCCCAGAGAGGCTGAAGCAGGGTAAGAACAGGGAAAACATGCCCTGCTGCCTTTCCATCTTCTGCATGTGCCTCCCATGGCCAAATAGCCAGGAGAGTTCATTGTCAGAGTTCATTGTCACTTCTCGTGTATGGGTCTCGTTTCCCAGCTTGTGTGTGGTCAACCTGAGGGTCAATATTATGTCTTGTATTTGTTCTGTATCCCATGGGGCTTAAACTAATACTGAGCACATGGGTACTTAATAAATGCTCTGGTTAGATTATTTGAGTATAATTTGTTATTATATTTTAGAAAAAATTGAGAAGATAGATGTCTCCATATATTGAATTTTACATATATTATGATGACAATGTATATTTAAGAATATGATATACAGTTATATATACATATATACAGATAGTACATGCATGGATAATATATACAGATAATATCATATATACAGATATCTATATACAAAATGATATATAGATAACTATATATGATAACAATATATAATAACTGAAAATATATGTACAGTATCATTGTAAATTAATAAGTGGGTCTCAACTGGAAATACAGAGATGACCTTTAAAATAAAAGTAAGAAAACAGTGAAGTCAGTGAGAAATGACAGCTAATGGGCATGTTTGGCAGCAACTTACATATCATGCAAAGCCAACCTACCTGGGATGCTTGGAGTAGAGATACAGGCATGCTGTGCATGTCGCTTTCTGGACACAAGCGCTATTTGAGGGCTATTTGTACGCTCTTCTTTAAGAGACTAAGTGATGGAAGATATGGGGTTTCCAGGAAGAGGGCTCACCGGGGCTGAGTGTCCAGGCCCACTGGCTATGTGGGATCTGTCTAAGAGCGGAGGTGTGTGGAGAAAAGGCAGCCACGCTGGTGAAACATGGAACTAGGATTCTAGCAAACAGTTTGCACGCTCAAAAAGGATTTCATCACTCTTTACACTTAACATTCTGCAGAGTCTCAAGTCCTCCATTGTGATCATTGCACTGATCAGATGGGGACCAATGCAAGGACATGTCACTGTGCCTCAGCCAACTTACCACCTGCCCCAGCTGACACAACTGCGGGTTCTTTGGCTCCTTTCTGACCCATCTCGCACCAATGCCTGAAAGGTGTACTTCCCTGTATTTCTTTTAAGTGAACACTAAGGCGGTCAAGACGCTGACAGGAAACATCCATTCTTCTGCACCAATGTTGAAAAGCCACGAATCACACAGAAAAATTAACTTTGATAATATCCTTGTAAGTGGCATGCATCTTTATCCACAGCACATTTTAGATTATGAACTGGATTATTCCTTTGCCCCAGAGCCCTTCTGAGCCACCTGCTTCTGCCAATAGTTGGCATGCCTGCCAAAAATGCAAACTACTTTAAAGTTACCTTTGGGAAAATATAATTAGAATGGAAAATTATATATTCAATTTAATAAGCTGGGGGAAAAGGAATGACAGAACAAATGTCTACATGGATTAGCATAAAAGCATCAAGTCAGAAGGTCTCTTTTATCATGTAAAGAAATGTTGGGTAACCCTGCTGCCCATTCAGATTTTTCTGCTTCTTTTGGCTGACAGCATTCTCAAGTGGGTCGTCTGTGTCTTCCTGCATCCTTTTCCCTACCACACATTTCTTCATTAGCCTTCCACAAGCTAACTTCATGGCACTGTGGTGATGAATTTTATGTATCAGCTCGATTGGGCTACAGGGTGCCCAGACATTTGGCCACACATTATCTTGGGTGTGTGTATGAGGGTGTTTGTGGATGAGTTTAACATTTGAATTGGTGGACTGAGTAAAGCAGATTGTCCTCCCTAATGTGAGTGGGTCTCACCCTATCAGTGGAAGGCCAAAAATTCAGACCAAAAAGGCCAAGAGGGAGCTTCTCCTGCCTGGCTATCTGAGCTGGGACATTGGCTTTTTCTGACCTTTAAATGTGTACTGAAACATTGGCTCTTCTTAGGTCTTAAGTCTGCTAGCTTTTGGACTGAAATTTGTACTATGCTCAGGTATTTGGACTCTCACTGGAACTACACATTGACTCTCCTGGGTCTCCTTCTTGCTGACTGTAGATCTTGGGACTTAGCCTTCATATTCATGTGAGCCAATTTCTTATGATAAATTTCTTTATATATGTATATGTGTGTGTATATCAATATGCACACACACACACACACACACACACACACACATGCCCTACTGGTTCTCTTTCTCTGGGGAACCTGGACTGTACTCTCAAATGTCACCAGTGGTTTTCCTGCCAGGCTCTATGAGAGGCTCTCCACCTTCACCCTTGTTGATGCTGGAGTTACCTCTTAGTTCTCAGCCCTCCTCTCACAACCTCCTCTAATTCTCAATGCTGCAATTTCCATTTCTCTACTAAACCACAAGCTTGAGTTATTCTCTGTGTCCCAGCACAAGATCTCCTACTACCTATTAGCCTTGCAACTTAGTGCCCCTATCTCTCCTAAAATTCAGTGGGTCTGAATATTGTTTCTCTCAAAACCATCCCTTTTTCTTCTTGATTCTCTTGCTTCTGGCTGAAAACCTCCATGTCTGCTTCTCCCACCCCAGGATCCAATTAATCACAAGCCCTGTGGCTTTTCCTTTCATTTCTGAGGCCATCACCATCTTTTCATTCCCTCTCCTTCAATCCTAGCCCAGCCTCCTCCTCATGTGCAGCAGCCTTCTCATTGGCCTCTCCATCTTCCATCTCCCTTCACCCTGCACTCTGCACTGTCAGCCTGATTGTAGCAGAACATTAGTTCATCCCATCTGTCTCCACTTGAAAATCTCCAGGGACTCAGTGCCAAGCCCAAACTTCTTTACTGAGCCTCTAAGCCTCTCTACCATCTGACCCACCATTCCAGGGTGGCTACCGAGACAAAATGGAGCTCCAGGCCATTGGAGCCACAGCGCTGCCTTCCTCAGAAAGCTTGTATTCCTTCCAACTCTGAAACATAAAGTAATGGGAAGGACTCATCTTTTCCAATTTAAAATCCCCTTTCTACAGGCATATTTTTAAAATGTTGAGATCACGTGCAGTCTGGGTGATAACATGATTCACATGAAGTTCACTATAAAACTTTTAGGGAGGTAAGCATTTCCTAGCCTCCTTTGCTATTGTTACTTTTAGCTACGGTAATCGTTGGCACGTTGAGTTCAGCTAAAAGCAGTGCGCCGGGAAGCGATGATTAACAGTGTGGACTCTCAAACCAAACTACCTGGATTTGAATCCCAGCTATATCACATACAGGCAATATGGCCTTGGGCAAGTCAGTTAACCTCCTGGGGCCTTAGCTCCATCATCTGCAATATGGAAATAACAATAATCACACCCATGGACTGTTGTGAGTTTCCCAGAAAGTGGTTAGATCAATGTAAATGCGCATTACAAAGGCCGTATGCATTTCAGTGCATTGTTCCTGATGGTGAGCTGCCAGCAGTATCAGGAGTGACTTATCTGTGGAGCTGCCCTCCTGGAATGCTGATGTCATGGCCACGAGTGAGCATCCCAGTGGTTCCTCCAAATCTTGGCTCACCTACAAAAGTTGTAAAGAGGTGCAGGTCACAGAGGCTCCTGACCAGAAGGTGCCTTTCATTCTATTGTCAGACATTCTATGAGGACTGTCACAGGCATGATCTCATTTCAACTTCTCACCAACCCATAAAATGAAACAGAGGCTCAAAGAGACCAAGAAATTTGCCCAAGGCTCACAGCTAGAATGTGAGCCCAGATCTACCTGTACATTTTAACTCATGCCTCTGCTTCTGTCCTGTCTCTGCCAGACCTTCCCAAGTCACTCTCACTCACTTCCCCAGACCCCTGGCCCATTTCCCAATAGCAAGCTATTATCTAGTCAGGACATTCATTCATTCTCAGTGGGCCCTAAGTGGAGCAAAACAAAGCAGTGAGGTTTCTTTCTGGCTCTGTGTGTGTGTGTTTGTTGTCTTTGGAGCTTCCACTTTCATAGACGGTGACCCTAGAGCAGTAGAACAGGAAGAGATGGAGGCCCTCAGAGCCTCCATCTAGATGCTTCTAGAACGTACCTGCTTAGGTTATGCCAAGGGCATCAAGGGTGATGGGCAGGGCTGAATTCTGTGGATAAAAATATGAGTGTGCAGCAGAGTGGACCAAAGTGTGGTTGATGATCTCCAAGAACTCTATGGAAGAGACGACTATAAACAAAAGGGCCCTGCATGTGTGCTCTAGGAACCTCATGAAAGGAGGCCACTCTGCAGCCAGGTGACCATGTATGTGCACTAAGTGTGTGTGCCATGCTCTGTCTTTGCATCATTATCCTAGTTCTGTCCTGGCATCATACCCTTTTGTATGTGTATGGAGAGCTAGCAAAGTGGCCAGGCCTGGGCTGTGTTGGGGTCACCCTACCCACAGCAATCCAGGATGCTCACAGGGGTTGTTTGCATTCTTGCTGTCCAGCTGCAATTGGACACACACGTGGTTACTGTAGGAGATGCCACAGAGCGGGACAAATGTCCTCATGAGAAACTTATTATGCTCTCCAAAAGGAGCTGTCCATTCAGGGAAAATCGGTAGCAGGAGGCTGCTCAACACAAGGCCAACCGCCCTTCTAGCGACGTGCTGCCTCTTGCTGCCACAGCACCACACCAACGCTTCAGCGCTTTGGAGTGCAAGAAGCAGGCAGATCGCTTTTAGAAATTAGGGAAAAGAGTATTTGAGAGCTACTCACCTGTTTTTAAAGCCTCCCCATGAAGCTTCCACATCTCTGTCTTTCTCCTGCACTGTAAGGCCCTGGTCCTGGCCCAGAAAGTCAGAGTCACAGCCTAGACACACTGAGGATGGCATCCAGAGTGTCCTGGCCTGTCATCCTGTCCATGGCAGAATGAGTAGTTAGTACATAGGGCCTGTGTGCCCACCAGGCTAGGATGTGATTTGATGGCGCACTCTCCAATATGGCAGCCAGTAACCACAGTGGCTGCTTGGATTTAAATTAATTCAAATTAAATAAAATTTAAAATTCCATTCCTCAGTCACACTAGCCACATTTCAAATGCTCAATAGTCACCCGTGGCTAGGGCTACCTCACTGGACAGATAGAACATCTTCATCATCACAGAAAGTTTTGTTGGGTGGTGCTGGTACTCCAGTGCCATCATTTAAACTGGCATGAGTTCTTTGAAGGGCCCCCAAAATCCACGTGGAGGAAAATAAAAAATGGTATATCAAGTACTAGCCAGGGAGCACAGCTACCTGTACATCCTTCCCTCTGCTCATTCATTCGTTCAGGAATGTCATCGTGTACCTGAATACACAAGGCACACCAGGGTTGACATACTCAGGACCTGCCAAAATGATCCAGACTGTGCTCCTGCTCTTAAAGGACTGCCCATTTGGTTCAGGGGATAAATGTGCACAATGGCCAGGTGTGGTGGCTCACGCCTGTAATCCCAGCACTTTGGGAGGCCAACGCAGGCAGATTGCTCGAGCCCAGGAGTTTTGAGACCAGTCTGGGCAACATAGTAAAACCCTATCTCCACAAAAAACTAGCAACGTGCGGTGGTGCACGCCCCATCTCTAAAAATAAAGTAAAAGTATTCCCAGCAGCTCAAAAGGCTGAGGCAGAGGAATCACTTGAGCCCACGATGTTGAGGCCGCAGTGAGCCAAGATCCTGCCACTGCACTCCAGCCTGGGCAACAGAGCAAGACCCTGTCTCAAAAAAAAAAAAAAATGCGCATGAGTAACAATAACACAAGAAGAAAGTGATCATTTCACCATAAGAGAAGTATGCTGAGTGCTCACAGAGTTCAGACAAGAAAAATCTGCTTCCAGCTTGGGAAAAGGAGTAGCTTTCAAAGGAGAAACGTAGACGTGGAAGAAAAACTATCCCAAGCAGCGGGAAGGACATGAGCGTGGCACAGAGGCAGACAGGGTCCTCCCTGGCAGAATGGTGGCTCTCCTCCCTGGGAACATCCAGCCTGAGGCTGAGGTAGGACCCCTGCTGACTGACTGATTACCTCAGTGCACCCTGCTCAGCAGTGGGGGATTAATGTCCTAGCCCAATTGCCCTCTGTTTTGATTAAGGGTCAGTCGTAAGGAAGTCATAGGGAATTCACTCTAGCAAGTGAAAGAAGGGTATTAAATGACTTACAAAATTACCAGGAGAGCTGAAGAAACAGACACTAGATTGAGCTTTCAGGAGTGGCTTGAACACCAGGGCACCAAGGAAACTGCTGCCTCGTTGGTGATCAGGAAGCCACCAAGATCAGGAAGTGATATAATTAGAAAGTGGCCACCATCCGTACTTGCCACAGAAAACCCTGACACAACCATGATGGTGCTGCCGGAGAAACAGCAGCCCCAGAAAACATGAGCTCTGACTCACTTCCCCTTCCACATTTCATCTGGGCACGTCTGACTGGCAGAACTTAAATCACATCCAGAGACCCAGGGACAAACGCATCTGAAAAATAGAAAAGAACGTGGAAAACAATGGTTGCTAGTTTTCCAGACTCCAAAGTATAGGAAGGAACATTGGAAAGTTGGAAATCCATTTCACCTCCAACCTACCACACCCTCTTACCCACCAGTGGTGGGGGATTAAGTGACCAGACATGCTCCAGGGTGTTTAGAGCAACTTTCAAAGGTGAGAACCTGAGATATTTTCTGCTAAAAGCAGAAATCAGGAGACAGCACTCATATAAGTGCACTAACAAGAAAGAAAAGTGGAAAATATTTGAAGGAGACTGGGTGCCATTTATAAACCAAAGATTCCAGAACTGGGCAACCTCTTTGTTTCAATGCAGCCACTGTGATTCCTAGCTTTTTGCAAAGAACTGCAAGAATCAGCAGGGTTTTACAACACCCTAGCCAGCCACACACTGTAGGACTGAGGGAGGCCACAGGTAGGGTGAATTTCCAAGTCTGAAAAATACCAGGGAAGCCAAAGAAACAGACACTAGGTTGAGCTTGCAGGAGTGACTCTGAACGTCGGCACCCAGCTCTTGGTTTTGTTTGTCATATCAGTCCCTGCTGAGGAAAGCAAACAGCAGGTAACTGTAGAACACACCTGTCTATAGCAGCTGTTTGATGTTAGTAGGCTTTGATTGTCAACCGAGCAATTTGCTTAGGATTTGGAAACAAAGGAAGGAGATTGTCAAAAGCCCGAGGAGCAGGTGACATGCAGCATGCCTGTGTGCTCCCAGCAGTCAGGAGGAGGATGCGTGAGTGAGAGATTGGCACCAGAGCTAGTGCAGTTTGGGGAAGTGACAGCCTCCTACGGGGCAATAATGGGAACTCTGCAATAATGTGCCAACTTCCTATCCCAATGAAGTGTTGATGTCAGCAGAGACCACACTACAGGCAAACTAGTCTAACCAGTGTCGGGGTGGGACCTAGGGAGGAAAATTGCTCAATTCTTAGTATGGTTAGAGAAAAACGTCAGGGCCAGGCTCAGTGGCTCACGCCTGTAATCCCAGCACTTTGGGAGGCCAAGGAGGAAGGATGGCTTGAGCCCAGGAGTTCACGACCAGCCTGGGCAACATAGCAAGATCCCATCTCTAAAAATAAAATAAAATTTTAAAAAGAGATACATCAGTGAAGAGTCCATGAAGGATGCCAGCTGGAATGATTTATAGGTGATAGTGACTAATCTAGAGTCTACTGTGACTGAGAAGTGAATCAACCCTGCTGACTCTTGCAGTTCTTCAGACACTGAGGAGTGTCTAAACCCACCTGTCCTTTAAGATCCAGCTCCAGTCCCAAGTCGACTCATTCACTCACTGATTCATTCATTCAAGGGTTTCTACTCAGCACCTTTTGTGTACAAGATATACAATGAACCATGCTAGTCATGGTGTCCACAGGGAGATGAATAAAAGTAATTTCTCTCTAATATGATGATAGGACATGAATAAATAACTCTATTACAAGGTAGCAAGTGAAATAAAGTAATGTGAAAATTCCAGGATGGGACAGTTACTTCAGTTTGGTGGAGGAAAATGAGAAGGATCTGGGAGGCCTTCCTGGAGGAGGAAGTGGTCTTGGTGAAGGCCTCGTGGAATTTGTTGTCTTTCAATATATCTGATCTTTTCATTTATATCTGACTTCAATAATGAGCTTTGAAAGTATTTTTTAATAAATCAAGGTAATGTATATAAAGAAAGGTGTTTAACCGTATAGTGGGTAATTAATCAATATTAGCCCTTTTCTGGGATGGAAATGGGCCCAGAGGGAAAGGTAAATGTTGTGATTGAATATAAGTGGGAAATGCACTGCAATGCCTTGATCTGCTTCAATGTTAAAGGATTGTGATTGGCAGCTTTGCTGGAGTTCTTTGTTATTTGTTTTGGAGCCAGGCCCTTCTGTAACCTGGGAAAGTGTTCCCCATCGTATTCTGGAGAATTACTCTGAGCATCTCTGTTTGTTTCTAACTATGATATTCAGAGGAGGCATACAGGATTTTAACTGAATTGAAAACAAGATGTAATGTGGGAAGTACTGGAGATATAGTAACTGTTGGGAATGAGGAAAATGTATGATGAAAATGTGGACATAGTTCCTGTAACTTTTGCACCTCTCAAACTCCAATTGAAATTTAAATCCAAAATGCATTATTCTGAGGATAATTGTTCAGCATAAAATTATGAACTCAAATTAGTATCTCATCACCCTTTCAAAGGAAAGCCTGAGAACCAAGGACATAGAACCAAATTTTAGCTTTCCCATCAGACCCCTCCAGGTCACTGTTAAAGTATTGCTGGGGGAGGGGGGAAGAGCTGGGAAAGCAATGGTGTGGTCACACATTATGCATCTGCACCAGTCTTGAGAGCTCTGCAAATCTGTCCTATAGGTGGTGTGGGAACAAGGAGTTATTCAGGCTGCGAAACAATAAATGGGGAAACATTAAGTGGACAGTTGTCCAGGCAGAGAGTCATAACCAGGCTAAAGCACCCAGGGACCCCCCACGGCCAGGTCCCTATGGATGTCACCAGCAGCATACACAGCAGGCAACTCCCTTTCTCCCCTGGCAGCACTGGACCAGGTGTCCTAAGATCTAGATCCTGTCCTTACTCTGTGTGATTCTATTCTAGCCCCAACCTTTCTAGATCCAAATTTTCTCATCTTTAAAATGCACCCACCTACATCACAGGGTTGCCATGCAGTTGAAATAAGGTAATAGTTATGAAAGTACTTTGAAAAGCTGTAAGAATTGTAATAATGTTATTCCTTGACTATAGATTAACGAACATAATAAAATTGCTATTGCAGATATTAGCATAATAGCACAGATTGTCCTTCCCTTTAATGCAATTCATCAGGAATAAAATGCTTCTGCTTTTTCCTGACGTTCTCTCACCATCTTTCCTCTGTAGGAGGCTATGAGGCTCACTGGTCTCCAGAAATGTACCTCTGTGTGCGGGAATGTTCCAGAAGGCCACACTGTCTACAGGGCCATTGCTTCACTGCAGATTAGATGTCCTCCCAGAACCTTCCAGGGCACTAATTGCCTAAACAGCTCTGGTAAGAAGATCAGCAAGTATTTTAGACTAGTAAGTGTGGAAATTCTGCTCTAGTATAAATCAAACCAATTTTGATTAGAAAATATAATCTGTTTCATGAACAGCTGGACAGTTTACTCTGCCAGTTAAAGGATAGTACTTCCCCCATCCTAGCCAGAGGGAGCTTGCGCTGGGTTGAAGTCCCTGATAGGAGTCAGAGGACTGGCTCTACCTGAGGTCACCCTGCTCCTCTGCTCTGTGGACAAGTGACAGTGGAGTGAGCCTGTTTGGCAAAGGCCCCTCAGAGGCTCCATCCCAGCAGGGCGGGCACAGAGCCTTGTGTGCTACCAACAGCTTGCCATGTAGTTTTCTCCCTCCAGATCCAAATGTCACACTCAAACTGCTGATATAAAATTCACTGCATCGCTTCCCTTCATTTCCTCTCGGGCTGCTTTTCACTCACAGGCTCCATGAAGATTTCCATAGTTACTAAGCTCTCTATGTAGAGTCAGCTCTGACAACCAGCAGCCCCATCCTAATTCCACGCTGCCATTCCCTCTCTTCTTGACTTCTCTCCATGTTTCCTATTCCAGTGCAGCATTAGAACAATGGCTTGGAACTAGCTGAGTAAGTGATTTGCAACTACATTCCCCCCTCTATCACTAGAGGGACCGACCTGCTAAAGGAAGTCACTGCAGAAACTACCTTTTTTTTTTCTGAAAAGCCCTTTCCAATAATCTCCCTACACTTTTTTTTTTTTTTTTTTTTGAGACGGAGTCTTGCTCTGTCTTCCAGGCTGGAGTGCAATGGCATGATCTCAGCTCCCTGCAACTTCCACCTCCCAGGTTCAAGCGATTCTCCTGCCTCAGCCTCCCGAGTAGCTGGGACTCCAGGAGTGCACCACCATGCCCAGCTAATTTTTGTATTTTTAGTAGAGACAGGGTTTCACCATGTTAGCCAGGCTGGTCTTGAACTCCTGACCTCAGGCCATCCGCCCACCTCGGCCTCCCAAAGTACTGGGATTACAGGCATGAGCCACCGCACCCAGCCACATTTTTAATGTTCCTTTTGCATGACGTTCAACATAGACTTTCTGAGGACTGGGCTCTGCATTGTCTTCACTTTAGCTCTTCAAGCAGGTCTTCTTAAAAGTGACATTCATAAAGCGGGGAGGTCACTGAAAGGCTAGGGCCATGCAAAGGCTGTCAGCCACGGAAGATGCTCCCCCTGCCTCAGAACACAGGCGGACTGCTGACAACACCTGAACCGACAGGGGAGAGGTGACCTTGGGTTGGAAACAAAGGGCTAAGCCCGGGAAGCATGCGTCCTAGTTCCCTGCAACAGCACAGCCACTCACCCTAGGCAGCGCAAGAGCACAGAAAACAAAGCCTCATTTGGCATCTCTGATATCATCTTTGGAAGTGAATAAGACAAATCACTTAAAAGGGGCAGGGGAGATCGATGACGCTGCTAACTTGAGACTGTCCATATGAGAGGTTCTGATTTATCAGCCTTCATAGAAGCTGATAAGCTCTTGAAATGAGTGTTCTGTGATCGGCGGCCGTACCTCCTGGTAGTCTGTGTTGCTCTCCTGGTTGGGGTGGGTGGGGGTGGGGGGATGTGACTGTGACAGGGACTGAAAATACACACTGTGATTCCATCATTCACCGATCCACGGGTTTGCCTTATTATGATGGGGCTGTTACTTGTGTCAACCCCAGGTATAGCCCAAAGCTGGTGGGAATTATATTTCAGCACAGGTTTGGGGTGGGGGAGAAAAAACTACTACTGAAAGTGGAGGCCGGTCATTTTTTAATTGGTATTACTATGAAAGCTATGTTCCTTGCATTAGCAGACAGAGCCAGAGAAACCGTGCAGCCATTCGGAAAGGAGGAGGGCAGCTCTCCCCAGGGCAGGGGGATGTGCGGGATCCAGCAGGGAGAGGGAAGCTATTATTAAAAATAAGAATAAAAAAATAGAACTGTAAAGCGGGTGAGTAGCCCTTCTGAATATTGGTGCTGAACAGTGTCTGAGCACTGGCTGGGGCTGCCTGAGTAAGATTAAAATCTGCAGGGAAATTTTGTTCCTTAGCACTGGCAGAAATTAGGAATAAATTCAATTGCATTCTGCACAATAGCTGGAAGCGATTGAGGTTAAGTGGCCTCACTCTATGATGTGTTAGTATTACTGAGCACTCTCTGCTCACGTGACTTGGTGCGATCTGCTCTTGGAACACGTCGCCATGGCAACTGATGATTTCTATTACAGTACATTCAAGTTCACATTCTAGGCCTGTCATACGCTTGGAAATTTCCAGTTAAAATATTTATTTATGAAAAAGGCAAAAAGAAAAGAAAAGCCACCCCCAGACTCTTTCAGGGATAGAAAACAAAAAGGTGCCCCCAACGAAGAATGATTCATCTGCCAACAAGAAGGGAATGCTGGGTTTTCACTCAGCTGTTGCCACTAAACAAAAAATGTCCCATGGGGTGGCCAACTTTGTCAGGGAGGGGACAAGTTGGAATCTTAGCTGCTGTGGTTTGGTGTGCAGATGTGATGTTGCACTGGATGCAGAGTGACAGAAGTGGCCCTAAAAACCTGCAGATCAGAGTCTCCATTTGACCCTCTGAGGCACACTGCTGCAATTTCAGCTTCTCGCTAAGGTTCTGCACTTTATCTTAGTCAATCCTCAGCAGGGAAAGAGCTGCACTCTCTCCTCAGCCACAAAGAAGGGGTGGAGGGAGCTCTCACTGGGTGGGTCAATATTCTGGGGTCCCTGGGGATTCCAAGGCTGACCCCAGTGGAGGAGGAGGGCAGCCGGGGACATAACGTGGCAGACTGCTCTCTCGAGGAAGCCATAACCTTGTCCATGACAGAGTTCCATGTGGCTTTCTCTGTACTCCTCCCAGACACTGCCCATGGAGCCCCGGGTACCCCCAGCCCTTTTAGGAAGACTGCTATTTAAGTGTGTATATGCCTGCTGGCTTCTCCCTGGAGAAAGACAGCCAAAGGTTAAACTAAACCTTTCCTGAGAAAGAAAGCATTATTTCTTGACCATGCATGATGCAGGGTTGCTAACAAGGCCTCCTGGCTTCTCATGCTTTTTTACCTTAGTCAAGCACATTAAATATGTTAATAAAAGATTCCCCAGTGCTTTCTCTATCAGAAGCTTCCAGGTGGCTGCAATGACCATAGGTGCCCAATTACCTGGTGAGGGCATCCCATGACTCACAGATGGTTTTTTCCCTAGCTATTAAAATCTCCATGATCTTCTTTTGCATTGTGGCTTCTGCTGAGTCTGATTGGACTCACACTCTGGTTCGTAGCTGGAACCCACTTTGTACAAAGGGGCAGTGTTTCCTGGACTTGCTTGATCATTAGAGTCACTGGGCTGCTTGTTTAAAATGCATGTTCCCAAGGGGACCTCAGACCTACTGAGTCAGAGTCTCCAGGGCAGAGACCTGAGAATCTGTATGCTTATAATCAAGCAAATGTAAGTCACACTGCACTTGGATTGTAGAGCCTATCAGCAATATTAGGGCTATCTTTCAAAAATTATCTTGCTGACATACTCCTAATGTCTCTCTATAAGGCATTGGGCCAGGAGTCTTCTGGGAAATTCCTAAACATTATTGGTGCAGAATGGCACGAGAGATTGGACAATATTAAAGAGTGGATTGATGGTTGTGGTCCTGGAGATTCCCCAGTGGAGGCACGGATGAATTCAGTCCCATTAATATGAATGTATTCTCTATGCAACCAAATAGTCATCCCATGTGTAAGAAAATAACTTCTTCAACTCAGATTAACCAATGTGCTTACCCAGCTGCTCCACAACAGGAGTGCCGTGCATGTAGAACAGATACCACTCTTTGGAGTGTGAGTGAAATGGTAGGGTTAGATTTTTAGTCCCACTCAGCAGCTTTGCCTATGAGGATTTACAAGACAGGTGTTATGTTTACTGATTGCTAACTGCACATGTCAGAGGTTGGGGGAGGCAGCGTCAAAGATGGCAGTGTTAAAGAAAAAAACCTGGCCAGAGAAGTGCCAGTTCTGTACCACAGAGAAGACACCAAGCACAGAAGAAGCCCCCGTACCCTGTACTCCATTTGTCTAACACAAATGAGTGTTGCCCAGACACCCAACTCTTTGAAGGAATCCTAGATAAAGACTTTGGTGTTGGTACCATTCGTATTGATCTTTCTCCCGTATCTGGGAGCAGGAGGAGGGGTTGCTTAACTTTCAGTTGTTCTGTGGATCCAAAAGAGCATTCATGTAAGGTGGACTCAGGGGCACCTGCAGAAATTAGAGCAACCAGGGTTAGTTTCTGAATCAGTTCAAGAGTTTTTGAAAGCTCCTTCTCTCTCTCTGTCTGTCTCTCTCTCTCTTTCACACACACACACACACACACACACACACACACACACACACACACACACATTCTGTAAGCTCTGAGAGAGAGAGAGAGATTTAACACACTTACAGTCTTTACTAGAGTCCAGAATCATGAATACAAAAATGACTTTTTCAGATTCTGGAGTGGATTGCAGACCTGCAGGCCCTACTCAGCCAAGGAAAGGCAGGACCCCCAGCCCAGGACGGCCCTGGCCAAGCCTAGCTCAGGCCGCAGCCTTTGTGTGGGACAGCAGCATCACCTAGTGCTGCTGAGGTTTAAGTACAAGCTTTTCCCTGAGAACGCTCCAATGTGATCAAACTGTATAACAAGATCAATTATCCACATTAATGAAAGAGAGTAGTAGTATTTACAGCAATCCCAAACTGGAGATAACGTCCAGGTCTGTTTTTCACTTAGCTTGGAATGTATTCAGTGACTATGTAGCATTTGAGTTCTCCATAAAGTAACATAAAAGAGTGTATGGCTGAGCTCATGCAGGCAGGATGGATGGGGGAGGCAGGAGGGGTTAGCAAGGTTAAAGCGGGGCTGGGTTCTTGTGTCAGTTCAGGTCCTTCAAGAAGCAGATGCTGAGATGGTGTTAGAAGTGCAAGAGATTCAGTGAAAGATAAAGGGAGAGGGAGCAGAAGCGGGCAGGGAGAGCCGTCAGACTTCAGTGTAGGTCTGACATCTGTGAAAAGGAGAGGGGGAAGGAAGGAAGATGAGGTAGGAGGAGCCTCAGACTGCAGTGCGGCTCAGAGAACAGCTTGACCAGCCCAACAGGACAATCTGGTGCAAAGATGACCTATTGAGGAGTCCTGCACTGGCCAGAAAACGTGGGCCCTGGTGCCATCGCTGCACCCAGTCATTGGCCGGAAGCTGCCCTGGAGACATTGACAGCTGGAGGCTGTCCGCAAAGTGCACTCCCTGGGGCAAGTTCTCTGTCAAGGGAGACCCGAACAGCAAGCCTCCATGGCTGCTGCAGATTGAAGGGAAGTTGTCTCAAATCACATATTTACCTGCAGATCCCCAGGTCCACAAACTGTCAGAAACAGAATGAAGGAACACTATGGATTGATGCATCTAAATTGATGAGTGTAAAATCTAGCACTTGTTCTCATACCATTAACTAGTGTAAGCCAGAAAGAGGAACTCCTGAGCAGCCTTTATTAAGCATGGATTTTTAAACAGCAAGTGGCCTGCCTTCTGAGGTGTGTTCTCTGCCCAGGAAACCAAGTTCAGTGTCAACAACCTAGAACACCAACAGTGCCTTAGCTTCTTTGTCAAGGATGGATTTGGGTCTGAAAATATCTATATCCTGCCCAAAGCATGAACAGTGACCTCACATCTCTACCGATTCTCTCACTCCCATGAATGGTCTTTAATACTATTGACCACGAGATACCACTGCCCAGATGATATGACCTGATCTCTGTATTTAAAAACATTAAGGAACTTGCTCAAGCTCAAAGATTTTCAGAAATCCAATTTGGGTGAATTAAGAAACACAGATAGCACTACAGGCAAGGGCACAAAGTTTTCAAATCACAGTTAAGCCACAAAGGCCCAGGATGCCTTGAATAAAAAATGCAACGAATCGCTTGACAAAGAATCTTGAAAAGATCTAAGGATGGAAGAAAGCCCACTGCAGAAATAGAGAAAGGATGAGGAAGAGCCAAAAAAAAAGAATGTGCAACTCTTTCTAAGGCTCATGGAGGAAAGATAAGAGCAGCTGCAGAGAAAGCAGAATGAGTTTTTAAACTGGTCTTTAAAAAAGAAAAATAAAGAAAGGGAGCATAGATAATTAGGAAGTAATGAAGACTTTTAAATATAGATGTTGAAATAAACCGGGTAAGGGAATACTTGAAAACATGGTACAATATGTAAATCAGCAGGTCCAGAAATGCACATTCCCCAACCTTAAGAGAATTAGATAATGAACTCGCTGAACTACTGACCATTATTTTCAAAGGCTCCAAGAGATCAGGGGACTATAAAATGAAAATATTTGACCAGTCTTTTACCAAATTAAAAAAAAAAAAAAAAGCAGCCTTGATAATTACCATACCTGCCACTATAGACTCTTCCACCTCATGGGGAGGTTGTAATGACAAATGGAACTAGAAATATTAACCCGCCCTGTGGAAAACTTGGGGAGGTGTGGTTAGCTAGCGGTGGTATGTGTGCGCCATGCTGATGGACTGGAGCCGGGCACATATGATTGGGGTAATACAGATGTTTGAATTTTTGTTCAATAGAATGCATTTGGGGGTTGTGTAATTGTATTTCTTTTTTTTTTTTTTTCCTCACTGATATAAAGTCAGTTTGCATCCCCAGAGAGCACTGCAAGGGAGAAAAGTTCTTCATAGTAGGTATCAATGATTTTAAATTTTCCATCCACAGATGGATAATGGACTATAGGTCACATAAAAAATCTCCAAGCTTTCTCTTTAATAAATAGACTAGTACAAGCTATTTTTCATTTTCAAAAAATAATATATTACTCTTCTAGAAAGACAAAAAATACAGATAAGCAATAATGATAATCACCTAAAATCTTGTCCCTGTTTATACAATTTGGTGTTTTTGCCTCCACAATTTTTTTCATACATATAAATTTATTTATTTATTTATTTTTAGAGACAGAATCTCACTGTGTCACTCAGGCTGGAGTGCAGTGGCACCATCATGGTTCACTTTAGCCTCAAACTCATGGGCTCAAGCAATCCTCCCACCTCAGCTTCTTGAGCAGGTAGGACTACAGGTGTGCACCACTACACCAGGTAATTTTTATTTTATTTTATTGTAGAGACAGAATCTCACTCTGTTGCCCAGGCTGGTCTCGAGCTCCTGGCCTCAAGTGATCCTCTCACCACAGCCTCCCATAGTGCTGGGATTACAGGCGCGACCTACCATGCCTGGCCAGAAGTTATTTTTATAAAAATTAGAGGGTCCTCCATATAGGGTGGTCCATGTAACTGTTGTTATTATATAATTGTTATGTATTATATAGCTGCTTTTTTCCCACTCAATATAACGTGCACATTCTTTCATCATTTTAAATCACTGCATATTTAACCAATAACTTTTGGACATTTAGATTATGTCTTCTTTTTTTTTTTTTTTTGAGACAGAGACTCCCTCTGTCACCCAGGCTGGAGTGCAGTGGCAGGATCTCGGCTCACTGCGACTTTCGCCTCCCGAGTTCAAGCGATTCCGCTGCCTCAGCCTCCTGAGCAGCTGGGACTACAGGCATGTGCCACCACACCTGGCTAATTTTTTGTATTTTAGTAGAGACGGGGTTTCACCATATTGGCCAGGATGGTCTTGATCTCCTGACGTGGGATGGTCTTGATCTCCTGATCTGCCTGCCTCGGCCTCCCAAAGTGCTGAGATTACAGGTGCAAGCCACCACACCCGGCCCTGCAGTTAACATCCTTAAAAAAACATCTTTGCATACTTATTCTATTCTTCCCTTAGAATAAAATCCTGTAAGGGGTAATGCTTGGCCCATTGTATTTTTTTAAGGACTTTAATTCCATCCATATTGCTAAATTACTTTCAAGAAAAAAAGGCAATTAACACTCTACAAACAATACATGAAACTGCAAGTTCCCTTCTACGTGCACCAGCTAGATTTAATAAAATTAAAAATTTTTCAGTACAATAACATATTTAGCATCCTATAACAGTTGAATTGGGACCATTAGGTGAAACAAAATACCTGAGGAAATGTGTGTGTTTTCTAAAGTGACATTAAACTGTTAGGGAATTCTGTCTCTCTCTCTCCTCTCAAACGTGTGTGTCTCTTCTTCCCTCCCTCCTTCCATCTCTTTCTTTCTCTCTCCTTCCCTCCCTCCTCTTAGGAGGATACATATGTGATAAAAGTATTTTTTAATCACAGGTAAATAATAAACACAAAATTCAGGATGGTGGGGAGAGGCAAGGGTCAGAGGAATGCCACAAGGAGAAACACTTAGAAGCCACATATTGGTAATGTTTCAGCTCGCAGGGGATCACACACACGCATTTGATCATTCTGCTTCATAGCTTATGTATATGCTGTAAGCATCTGAATGTATTAGCTACAGAGTGGGGATTATGCATTGCACACTCAGTAGTTAGCAAATTTCATTTTCCAGTATGTAAAATCGGGTTCTCATGTCCCCAAAGAGTAGAAGCAGTTTTTCACTGTTAAAACCAGGCCCGATACTTTACTAGCTGGGTGCCTGCCAGGACAGAGCCTCTTCAGAGGATTCCAGAATTCCCCAGAGAGGTGGCTGTGCCCTCATACCTCAAGAGGAGAACTCCTCCCTGCTGGAGAACCAGGAATGGAGAAAAATGAACCAGAACGTACAATAGATACAACTTCTCAAGGAATTACCTAAGGCTCAGGACTATGACCTTACCCATTCTTCTGTACTTTTCTAAAAATAGATCCCCAATTCTGGTAAACTGTTCAGAGAAAATAGCCTATTTTTAAAGGAGAGCTCCTAAATAGCTAAATCATTTTGCTTAAGCAATGAGCCAAGTCGCTTCTAATGAGGTTGTAGCATTACTGGAAATAAGAGATATATTTAAATAAATAGTCCATACATTGCTCCAATAAATCACTTGAAAAATATTCTCGAATGTACTAAATGTGTTTTTAGTGGCATGTGCCTGACCTTTCTGGAAGAAGAAAGATAATGCTAGAACATTTTGAGAATAAACATTTATCCAAATTAGTAGGCAAGACACTAGTAAAATTGTTTTACATTTTCTTAACACCTTTAACTATACCCTGCGCTTCCGAAACAATTTATTTTTCCTACCTTTAATAAAATACAGAATCTGTCTGTAAAGTAGCAGGAATATAGGGGCAGAAAGTTTTTTGATGACCCAATGAGAAATCCTATAATGGCCCTATTACCTCAAGGCCTCGGGCAGGATGGATGGATGTATTTGCAGCATTTCCTGAAATGACTTGCAGGCCATAAAATTTTCATGTTTTATGACTGTATTTCCAAGTGTTTTAAAATCAGTGTCATGTTCTTTTTTCATAATATTCACAATAAAAATGTGAATAAGACCCATTCATTCATTCAACAAACACACGAAGAACCTTCTCTTTGCCTGGTACTCCGTTAAGGAAGCCTAGGTCTTCCCTCAAAGTCCTCACGATCTAAGATGTCCTATAAAGCTTCCTGTATTAAATCTGCAACTGAACCTGTTAATGTTATGCTTCACTGCCTGAAAGAAATAATAATTACATTGTGCCCCAAAGAGTGTGTGCTCAGATTGAGGTGTGCCAGAGAGAAGTTCTGAGGCTCAGTCTTCTTCATCTGGTCTGCCTCCCCAACCCCACCTCTCTCTCACCCCTGCAACTCTCTGTTCTCCCGCCTGCCTCTGACCCCAAGCTAGGCTCACTCTCTTTCCTTCCATCCCATTTCACTCCCTCTCTGTCTCTCCCTTTCCCTTTCTTTTCTCTCTCTCCCCTCTTCCCTTTATTATGAAACTTCTAGAAAGACATTCACAGCACTCTCTCTTCCCATCAGTTCTTCATCAGTAAGTGTAACTGCAGTCCTCTGTTCTACCCACCCTGTGTTCACTGAGGTCAGAAGCAAAATTGCCTTTGCAAAGATTATGACAGTGAGAGAAATCAAGCATGGCTGAATCCATCTTGCCTCTAGCTTCACGAGCTGGCTGTCCACACTCATTCCTGGGTATAGGCCAAGTTAACCATGGGAGGAATTTCGTTCATGGTTTAACTTTGAAGCAAGGATGATAATAGTCCGTCCCTAAAACCAACCCCCTCCTTGCTCAGAGACTGAATAAAACTAACAAAGGTCAGGAGATTAGGATTATGGGAGAGGCCTGAATTCTACTTAAAATGTAGACATAGTTTCTATAATCCCTTACTGCTTAGGAGTCATGTAGCCAAAGGTCACAAGATTTGTGACTTCCCCGATTGCTGCTATAGATAACGTTGCTAGTGTAGAACCTAAGATTGGTTTTTTGAGATTTTTTTTCAGAATTTTGCATTCTAACAACTGACTGACTGCCTGCCAAGACCCGTGACTCATGACTCAACCAGTCCCATGACACTCACCCAGAGGCAGACTCAGCATACAAGGACTATTTTCCACACCCCTATGATTTTATCCTCAACTAATCAGCAGCACCCATTCCCTAGCCTCCTACCCACCAAATTATCCATTAAAAACCCTACCCTCTGAGTTATCAGGGAGACTGATTTAAGTAGTAACTGTCTTCCATGTGACTAGCTTAGCATTAATTAAACTCTGTCTTTACTGCAATACCATGGTCTCAGTGAATTGGTCTTATCTTTGCAGCAGGCAGGAAGACCCCTTGGGCAATTACAGCAGAGGCTCCTAATCTCCAAAAGAATGGCTTGGTTTTCCTCTTCTTACTTGAACTTCTGTAGCAGCTGACACTGTGGACTCTGCCGTAATTTATCTTCCTTCTCCTCTTTGGAGAGGCCCCTCCTCTGGTTTTCCTTCTGTGGGCTCCTTCTCAGCCCTCTTTGCCAGTTCCCTTTCTCTGCCCATTCCTCCAAGATTGGCACTCACACCCCAGACAGCATCTCTTCTTATGCCACTGTTCTGACCACTGGATCTCTCCTTGTGGGCCACACGTGGTCACACATCAGTGCCCTTGAACAAGCTTGTCCCATTCATCTTCCAGGGACTGGCTTAAAGGGACGGCAGCATGTGGTGGCTGAGGGCATGGACTCTGGAGCAAGATGGTGTGAGTTCAAATCCTGGTTCTGCATTGATGAGCTGTGTAGCCTTGGGAACATTACTTAACCTCTCTGTGCCTTAGTTTCCTCAACTGTAGAATGAAAATAATAATAGTGTCTGCCTCTGGAGGTTGTTGGGAGAATTAATGAGCTAATATTTGTAAAGTCCATAGCACGGTGCCTGGCACATCCAAAGTACTGTGTATTTGTTCAAAAAAAAAAAAGTCAACACTAAAAGTATTTTCCAAATGCCCAAGCTTTTAATCATCTGCTACCGACTGTTTGTCACCATGTGTTACACTTTTTAGATAAGTGCCTCCCCAGGGCACTCTGCGCTCCCTTGGTCGGGGACCCTGTCCTAGTCACCTCTAAATCCTAGCCTGGCACAAGGCAGGTCTCTGCAAATGTTTGCTAAATGAGCAGGAGGTCATAACAGATGGGTTTTCCATGGCCGCCGAGCTTAATAGCAAATTAGGGAGTATGGGCATAGAATTTCCTTGGGAAGTATTTTGGCGGGGGTGGGGTTGAGGTAATGTTAGGCACCAGCGCTTTCCATTCCCACAACTTCTTCAGTCCAGTAAACTGATCAGCTGACAGGAGCCATAATCATGCCAAGCCCAATTAATCCACACCAGAATGGCACACACTGTACCTTTCTGTATCCCATCAGTTGAGTTTTATTTTCCATCCTTCATACCTGTTTCCTTCTCTGTGTGTACTTTATGAGCTTCATATGTAAAGCATGAAAAATCCAATAAAACATGAAAACCACAAGTCAACAGTGCTTTATTCAAGAATATTCCTATTAATCAAGAAACTTTCCCAAGTAATGCGCTCAATCCACCCACCAGGTGCCAGGTGGCAATAGGTGCTTAGGGAGAGGGTTAGGGAGCACGTAAGAGAGAAGAACTGTGCCCCCTGGCCTTGGAAAGCTCTCAGTGCTGTCTACGATTAGAATACACCATCCCCTTCCTAGGAAAACATCTTTAGAAATCAAAGGTGTTCATAACCCACTAATGCATCTGTACCTTTAATTAGCCCAATCGAGCATATAACTTGGAAAAATCTCTCACCTCTTTTGCTCCTTTCAACTAGTTTCTGAACACTTCATTTTCTAGTAAGATTTCACTGCATAACAAGCAGTAATGAAATGACCAATATTAACCCATTGTTATATTAAACAAACTACATCATTGGCTGACGGCATTCTATAGTCTTGGGGTTTGAAATGGGTTCTATCCTATGATGAAAACATTTGGCATTTGCCTAATGAGACCATTCTTGTACCTACAAAGGAAAAGAGACATTGTATTAAAGCATTTCATGTTAATGACAGCATGTTCAGCACTTTCTGCTCACAGCCACATCTGTGGGTGAGGCAGGTTTCTCGATATTAAATGCTGCATTTGGGCCCATATTCTTAGTGAGGTGTCTGATTGGCTACTCCCCAAATATAACTTAAATTGGCTTAAAATAGAACAATCACATGCTAACCCGGTAGCATTAGCAACTCTATTAACAGCCAATTTCACATCCACACCAGAGGGAGTAAAAGGTAATTTGCTCATTATCAACACCCTTCGGCAGTGGGAGGAAATGACTGTTCATCAGAAAGTATTTTCCAACATAACAATAGCAGTGCCCATATGTAACCACCTCACTCTCCCTTCCCTTCCACGACTTGATCACTGAAGAACCGCTATAGGAAAAAGGCTTTGCAATATAAACGGGTTCAATATAAGAAGTCTCACCACTCCCCCTCCAAAATCAGCCCTACCATCATCTCACCTTTGCTCTTTAGGGTTACAAGTGAAGTGTTTGGCAAATCACCCTACAGGGTACAGGGTGGATCCCAGTATAATATTAGATAATATCATGTAGACATTGTCTAGACCAAAAAGCTTCCCCATCCCTATGACTTGACTAGTACCCCAGACAGCTTTAACCCAATGAGTTGAATGTGGACAGATCTTGGAGCCCACTGTAACCAAATCTATAATCTGCAGACTCATCTAAGGATGGAAGATACTGGACCATTCAAAATTGTAGTATTGTCCTAATGATTATTTTAAATCGCATCCACTATCAATCTTTATTTAGTAAATGTTTCTTCAGAAGTTAAGTTTCTTTGTTTGCTTGCTTTTATTATTTTTTTATTTATTTTTTTTTTTTTTGAGATGGAGTCTCACTTTGTCACCCAGCCTGGAGTGCAGTGGTGTAATCTTAGCTCATTGCAACCTCCACCTCCCGGATTCAAGCGATTCTCCTGCCTCAGCCTCCTGAGTAGCTGGGATTACAGGCGCACACCACCATGCCCAGCTAATTTTTGTATTTTTAGTAGAGATGGGGTTTTGCCATGTTGGCCAGGCTTGTCTCGAACCCTTGACCTCAGGTGATCTGCCCACTGAGGCCTCCCAAAGTGCTGGGATTACAGATGTGAGCCACCTCGCCCAGCCTGTTTGCTTGCTTTTAATTGCTGCTTAATAAACTTCTATAAATGTGTTTATATATTTGGATATAATATACTGTTACAGTGACAAATTAAAGAAATAGATTTCACACCTATCACTCTGCTCAACTGGCTATTTTTATTTGAAAAGAGTCATCTCCTAACTCCTGTCTAGCTTTCTAGGCCTTCTGCTCTGCTTCCTCTCTCTGTCTATTCGGTCTCCCACACACAGAGGTCAGGCTAATGTACACGAAGCAATTGTTGATGTGTCTCTCCCCAGCTCGAAAACCTTCATGGCTCCCTGTTGCCTCTAGATAAATTTCAGACTCTGAATTCTCGCATCTACAGCTCTTCCCATTCCAGCCTCTCCTTCTCTTCCAGCTTCAGCTTGAAAATTTCATTTCTCCTCAACATCTTAGAATATAGCCCATCTTCATCTGTCAGAATCAAAAGTAGGATCAAATGCAACTATCTCCATAAAATCTTTCTTAATTATTTGAATAGAAAGTGATCCACTGCACCTCTGAATAGCAGAAGCCATTTGGAACATACTGCAACTTCAAAGTAGATTACAGGGGAGCTTCTTCCAGAACTTGAAAATGAGAGAAAAGTTATTCTGGGAGAGCTGAACCATACCCAGCATCACCTTAGGGAGACAGGATAAATCTCAGATCTGCAAAACTTGACTGGACCAGAGTAGTCTATGTAAGAAAGAGCTTATCAATCTCATGATGCAGACGGGTGGAACATATAGTCCCAGAGGGAATGATGGGTGGACCCCTCCTAGCTCTGTCCTGGAGAGAGGGAGCCTTAGCCAACAGACTGATTGTATCAGCCCCAAGATCTTTGCTATCTAAGATAGTTACAAGATGCTGTCCTAGTCAGTTATAATTCAATATCAGATTATTTCAGTATCCCTTACTTCTGATTCTGTCACCCAAAACTCTCTTTGGCTTCTCATATTGGTCTACCTCTGGAGAGAGTGTGTGCTGGCCATGTGGACTGAAAATATTCCAGTTCTCATGACAGTGATCTCTTACTGCAAATTAGTTAATTTGACTCTTCATTCTTTCAGTAAATATTACTGAGCATCCACTATGTGCCAGTTATTTCTCTACTCACTTCAGATAAGATGGTGAACAAAAATTTACAATCCCTTGATCTATGGAGTTTGCAGTCTAGAGGGAGATACACACAAGTATGCCCACAATTCTAATATAGTGTGAGGACTGCCCTGGTGGGGACGTTCAGATCAGGAAGGGAGCATGTGCTTGGAGGAAGAACCCAAGCTTGGGGATTCAGAGAAGGCTTTGTAGAGGAAATGATATTTACCCTGAGTTCTGAGTGAACCCAAAGATGATGGGAGGAGAGAAATGGAATAATGCACATAGCCGTAGCACAAGCAGAATGGTCCAAGGACTGGGTGTGTGTCCAAGAAACTGAACATAGTTCAGTAGAGCTCTGGCGGGAAACGTAAAGAAGGGCAGGGAGGAGGGTCAGAAAACAGGACACAAGGCTGTGCACGGTGGCTCATGCCTGTAATCCCAGCACTTTGGGAGGCCAAGCTGGGTGGATCACTTGAAGTCAGGAGTTCAAAACCA
Source organism: Homo sapiens (assembly GCF_000001405.40). Lineage (NCBI taxonomy): Eukaryota > Metazoa > Chordata > Mammalia > Primates > Hominidae > Homo > Homo sapiens. The sequence continues at coordinate 72,185,236 of NC_000016.10, read as the reverse complement.
GCCTAGGCAACATGGTGAAACCCCGTATCTACTAAAAATACAAAAATTAGCCAAGCCTGATGGTGCACAGCCATAATCCCAGCTACTCAGGAGGCTGAGGCAGGAGAATCACTTGAACCTGGGAGGCAGAGGTTGCAGTGAGCCAAGATTGCACCACTGCACTCCAGCCTGGGTGACACAGCGAGACTCCGTCTCAAAAAAAAAAAAAAGAAAACAGGACACAGATGAAGAAAGGCCTCCTAAACCATTTAAGGAACACTTTACCTTGAGAGCAATGGATAATTATTAAAAGGCTTTAGGCAAGCAAATGACATGATCGTATCTCTAGTTGTTGGAGGAGTGGGCAGTAGTATTGGGGTTGAGGAGAAGAGGACCAACATAGAAGATTAATTGGGAAGATCCAATAGGCAGGACATGGTAAGTGATGGGATGAAGGGTCTGGGAGTTGAAGTGAGTGAGAGAGAAAGACAAAGAAGAATCAAGATGGTGCTTAGATTTCTGGGCTGGAACAAATGAAGTAGACGGCAGTTCCTTTCACTGATGCAATATATAGTAGTGGTTAAGAACAAATTCCAGAGTTGGGCTACTTGAGTTTGAATTCCACCTTTACCCCATGGTACTCTGTGATCTTGGGCAAGTTTATTCACATCTCTGTGCCTTAGTTTCTCATTTACAATAAAAATAACCACAGTACCCATAGGGCTGTTATGCAGATTACATAAGTTAATAGTGAAGTGCTCAGAATTGTGCCTCTCCTTCTCACACAATAAACGTGATGCAAGTTTGTTAAATACCTTAAAAAGGTGATATCAGAGGAGAAGCAGGTTTGGAGTAGAGGCTTACAGATTTAGTGTTGGAGAGATTGAATTGCAGAAGCCTGTGGGTCAGTGGAGCACACCTGTGTAGAAGGCAGTTGTTATCCAAATCTGGAGCTCCAGATGGAGAGCTGTGCTGGAGATGTTATTGTAGGAACAACCTGATATGGATGATAACTGAAATCTGACAAGAGAGAACAAGACCAGGGAGGATGTAGAGTGAGAATGGGGAGGACAAGACCAGGAAGACCAGGAAGAACCTGGGACCATTTCAGGAATGGCCAGAAGGAGAGGACTTGCCAAGGAAGCGAAGGAGCCGTCAGAAGAGCAGGAGGAAATCTGGGAGAGAGTCTCAGAAACCAAGGACAGAAAGCATTTCTAGAAGGAGAAAGTGCTTCTAGAAAATATTTCTAGAGGTAGCCACTGATGTCAAGTTTGTGAGATACAATAAGGACCAAAAAGGGCCCCCTGGAGTTGACACCCAAAACTTTGACCTTGGCCATTCAGAGTTGCTGCCACCAGGGTAGGGGTGACAAGGTGAATATGGGGAAAGGGGGATAGAGGAAATATCAAGAGGCAGCAAATGCGAACAATTCATCCATGAAGATGAGAAGTGAGGGGCAGAGAGGAGAGAGAAGACGGTGGCTGGAGGAGGGCAGGAGAGGATTTTTTTCCCCAGTATAATAGAAGATAGTTGCTCATAGGTAACTACTGTTATGGGTTTAGTTGTGTTGCCCCCACCCCAATTCATATGTTAAAGTCCTGACCCCCTGAACCTGAGAATGTGACTTTATTTGGAAATAGCATCATTGCAGGTGTAATGAGTTAAGATGAGGTCAACCTGGAATAGGGTGGCCCCCTAATCCAATATGACTGGTGTCCTTATAAAAGGGAAATTTGGAGACAGACATGCACATAGGGAGAACACCATGTAAAGATGAAGGCAGAGACTGGGATGATGAGTCTACAAGCCAAGGAGCACCAAAGGTGGCCAGCAAACTGCCAGAAGCTAGCAGAGAGACATGGAACCAATTCTCCATCACAGCCCTTAGAAGGAACCAACCCCACCAACACCTTGATCTTGGACTCCCAGCCTCTGGAGCCACCTAGAGTGTGGTATTTTGTTACAGTAGCCCTAGGCAACTAATATGCCTGCATATGAGACTTCCTGTTATTTACCTTATAAACTAAGATCCCACCAGGAAGCAGATGGCATGCTCAAGCTGAGTAATTTGTGGACTACTTCATAGAGGAACTAGGCATAAAGCTGTGACCATGGTATAAGGAAGCTACAAGGTGGCATGCAGTGCCCAGGTATAGTAAGGGTAGGTCTTGATCACCTCCAAGCCTCAGGGGCCAGGGGAGAGAGCAGACCTGAAATGGGGAGTGGAGAAAGCCCCAAGACCCTCTGGGGACCTGGCAGGGCAGAATCTGAGGACCCAGTCCCCTCCCCCACTGACCTTCCTGCTGATTTTCCACACTGGTCAACCAAGCAGGGGCCAGAGAGCAGAGGGTAAGAGAGCTGGTTGATGCAGCTCATGGGACACAGAGCGGAGGGGAGAGAGGCAGAGAGTATGTGAGGGGCAAAGGAAAACCCAGCGCAACTCCATATCACATTTTGAAACCAACAGGACTGTTACATATTCAAATGTTGAAACATTAACATGGTAATAAGAAGAACTACTGGAGAGGGAGAGGCTACAGCACAAGGTAGCTCATTATAGGGCATGGGTATTTTTGGAGTTACACTTCTCATCGTACATTTCTGCTTCACCCAATGCATACTGGGTTCTCAGCACTTTTGAATTAATAAGTAAGTTCATATTTATAGTCTCTGTTTCTCCTTTCATCTTTGGAAATAATCACTGAGAGAGACATTTCCTGCTATCCCCTAACCTCTTGGCCTTTTTTTTTTTTTTTTTTTTTGAGGCAGAGTTTCACTCTGTTGCTCAGGCTGGAGTGCAATGGTATGATCTCAGCTCACTGCCACCTCTGCCTCCCAGGATCAAGTGATTCTCGTGCCTCAGCCTCTCAAGTAGCTAGGATTACAGGTGTGCACCACCATGCCTGGCTCACTTTTGTATTTTTAGTAGAGATAGGTTTTTGCTGTGTTGTCCAGGCTGGTCTTGAACTTGTGAGCTCAAAGCCATTTGCCCACATTGGCCTCCCAAAGTGCTGGGATTACAGGTGTAAGCCACCTCTTGACTTTTGAAGTGCCTGAGGTGCACCTCTCTTCTAGAATACCTGTGAGATATGCCGGTGACCAGGAGAATAGGTCTGGTTTAAATTACGGGCTCATACAAAGCAAAGTGACTCCATGAGAAGCTTCTAAACCAAGCTTGTCTAATCAGCGGCCCATGGGCCACATGCAGCCCAAGACAGCTCCGAATGTGGCCCAACACAATTTCGTAAATTTTCTTAAAACATTAGGTGATTTATTTTTTATTTTTTATTTTTAGCTCATCAGCTATCGTTAGTGTATTTTACATGCGGCCCAAGACAATTCTTCTTCTTCCAATGTGGCTCAGGGAAGCCAAAAGATTGGACACCCCTGTAAACAGAAATGTAAACACAGCACAATCAGTAACAATCATTTCTTTTATCTGTGATTATAAACATTTATTTAACTAAACCTACCAGAAAAGGCTATATTATCTAAACTAATACATGTTGGCATGCTATCTTCTTATATGCTTCTATGCTAGATTCAGCCAATGCTTTATTTTATAATGAATATGATCAATTCATTAAGGAAGTCAGCACCATACTCATTGATAAGAATAACAAGTCTTTTATAATGAAGGACGATGTTCACATATTCATCTCAGTTCACCTTTGGGTTTTGCAACCTGAATAATTTTTTAATCTCACAAGGAAGGGCTAGCTTCATGATAGTCTTTTGAGTCCCTGGATTGGGACCCAATGTTTGAGTTGACTCTCAGATGTTTGAAAAGTGGACAGTAGTATAGGGAGAAAACTTGTGAAGCAATGAGAAAAAGCCATAGATAGCTAAGAACTTTTTTAAAAGTAAAAATAAAAGAGGTAAAAGACAAAATGGAAATGAAGTGTGCAGTATCCCAAGGTCCAAAATGTCTTCCAATAAAATGCTCTTCTGTGATGGCCCATAATCCTTATCGAGTATTTAATTTAATTTAATTATTATTATTATTATTTTTTTTTTTTTGAGATGAAGTCTTGCTCTGTCGCCAGGCTTGAGGGCAGTGGCTCGATCTGGGCTCACTGCAGCCTCTGCCTCCTGAGTTCAAGCGATTCTCCTGCCTCAGCCTCCTGAGTAGCTGGGATTACAGGCGCGCGCCACCACGTCCAGCTAATTTTTGTATTTTTAGTAGAGACGGGGTTTCACCATGTTGGCCAGGATGGTCTCGATCTCTTGACCTCGTGATCTGCCCGCCTTGGCCTCCCAAAGTGCTGGGATTACAGGCCTGAGCTACCGCTCCCGGCGAGTATTTAATTTTTTTAAAAAAGGCACACCCAAATGCTGCAGTGCACAGGAATCTTTTCATTTCTTCCACTCATTTTGGGGACAGACATTCCCTTTGAAGGCTCCTGGTTACCGGGACCACGGGAGCACTGGGGTTTCCTCCCTCATTGCCACTTGTGCAGTTGATGTGGTCTTAGTTACAAAGCACCAGACTGCTGCTGCCTTCAGTCAATCTGTTTAGCCAAAGGCCTCTGATTTGTTCACGGTTACTACAACACATACAGAGGGCTGGAGAATTTTTTTTTTTTTTACTATTGATCTAGTGCTTTAAGAGGGGAAAAAATCTCCTTGGCTGTCTAAACACTATCGATCCCTGCTTGGGAGTCGCAGCAGAAGTGTAGAAAGGGCGTGGATGAATTGAAATTTCATTTCCGACAACTTGTTCCTGTTATTTTTACCCTTTTGGTTGGGGAGAAACACATTGCTGCGGCTTCAGTCAATGTGGTCGATAGCTCCACTGAGAAACTCAACACGGCTTCTGCCAGAGGTTTGGCAATGAGACATGATGTTGGATTTAGAGTGTATGAAACTGAAGGATGCTTGTGAAAAGTATGAGGTCTTAACACCAGTGGAGGCAGAACAAGTGGCTCTGGGCTCACTACAATCTACAAGAGCTGTGGCTTTGCAGAAAAGCAGGATTGTGGAGACTAATACCAGTCCCATGTAGGAAGGGCCCAGAGTATGCACCAGAAGCTTCCCTGGCCTCTAAGTGCCTTGCTTCCTACTCTTAGCTGGCTTTCTGCAGCAACCATGGGAAAGGTACCCTTTAGCAAAGCTACATTTCAGCCCTCAAAGAAGACCATGATGTTGAGCCCTTACAGGAGGTTGCTCATGTACTGTGCGGGAAAGGACCCCTGTAGAAACTGGAGCTGCAGGCCTTCAGGGAACTAGTGGACAGACTGGGCATGCAAGGATAGGTATCTGCAGCCAGTGGTTTTGGGAAGCTCCCCACCCCTCGAACACACCAAGTAGGAGATGTGGTTTGGTGCCAGCAGCACCAGCTTTGTTCTTTTATTAGATGTTCAAAGAATACAGGAGAGAACCAGGCTCCTTCTTCCTAATGGCAACATCTGGCATTTATGTAGCCAGGCACCTTTGATCCTTAAGGATCCCAAAGCACTTTACAACCTGCTGTAGTGCTAATGGCCATAGCAACGATCATACAGTAAACATGGCCAAATATTCCCCGTACTGGTTCCCTCCTCTCCATTCTGCAGTGTACACACAGTTTTTCCTTCTGGAAGGAAAGATTCCAGTTTGGATCCAAAACATCTCTTTTGTTTGTCATTTTTTGCTAAGTTTGTTCAGAACTGCCTTTTTTTTTAACAAAAATACTTCACAATCATTTCTTAATAAACAGTACTTCATTTACATTTTCAATTATCTTATAAGCCCATTTCTGCCCCTCATCCTCATCCCTCCCACTCTAGAGAAAGATGGAAATGTTCTTCTCTCCTGGGAGTCAAGAATCTGCATTGCGGATGAGGTTGCAAATTCAGACACAATAAACAGAATTAAGAAAAACTGAGCTGGCGTTTGACAGAAATTGTAAAATGACACTCAGAAATGTTGCTCTTGTGGAAATTACTGATATTAAAATATAAATCAGTGTCTTGTGTTTCCCATAGCACCAGGGGCTCTATTAGGTTATGCAGTTTGATTGCTGAGCTGAACCTAAGAGACTTGGCAGTTCAGAGCTGAAGTTATCACAAAGCATTTAACCCTTCTCCTGCTGGAGAGCAGGCACCTCTGAGAATGCCAGTTGATAATATCGCCCTCAAAAGTCCTTGACTTTTTTGTTGAGCCCTTTGAAACCTGGGAGAAGGTGGAGGAGGGCTGGGTTGGGGAGAGAAGATAAAGGAATTTGGAAAATCTTTTCTTAAGACAAGAGTCTTGTTGCATAGTGCCAGCCCAGGGCAACTCAAGAAGCAGAGTCTATGTTGGAGAGTTTATGGTGGAGAGGGCAAAGAAAAAATGCCCATTAAAATTGTCTGAATATTACCCCATTACATTATTTATTTAATCCCCATAACCACCCTGTAAGGTAGGTATTATTGTTCCAGTTGTTTCCAAATGGGGAAACTGAGACTCAGAGAAGTTAACTTGAGTCAAAATGTGAGCCCTGACTCCATGAAGAAGTGGCTGAGGCAGGGAAAAGTATAAGATGAACCTGGAGCATCTCGTACCCAAAAGTAAGAATGTGCTTAAGAATGGGTATTGTTGAAAGGGCTCAGGAGCCAACCTTTGGCCCATTGGCCAAAGCTGGAACATTTGAGCAACAAAATAAATAACAGTATTAGATTATAGCCCATATAATAGATATCCATGAGTTCATAGTGATGTAAACAATACATTAATTAAATGGGTGAGAAAGAGCAGCTCTTTCTTACAGAAGAGTTCCAGCGAATAAATGTAGAAGAAATAAAGGAAAAAGAAGACCCCCATTAGAATACTACTGTAACAATTATTGCAAGTGAGATCCACCTTGCTAAAGATAGCAGGTGACAGTTTGAAGAAAAACAGGATATTTGTATACTCTTAAAGTATCTCCCTTAATATATTTATTAATTATAGTGGGGAAAAATAATAACTTTATAGTAGATAAACCCAGTAGACACCAGCATAACCAGGTGACCAAGGTCAACATCATCAGGGATAAGATGCATTGATATCATGTATCCCTGACATGATACACTAAGAAGGTGTATGACACACTTGCCCAAAATGCATAGCCTCAATCTCAGCACAGAGAAACATCAGGCACTTTGGGAGACCGAAGCAGCCAGATCGCTTGAGCTCAGGAGTTTGAGACTAGCCTTGGCAACATGGTGAAAACCTGTCTCTACAAAAAAATACAAAAATTAGCCAGGCTTGGTGGTGAGTGCCTGTAGTCCCAGCTACTTGGGAGGCTGAGGTGGGAGGATTGCTTGAGCCTGGGAAGTCGAGGCTGCAGTGTGCCATGTTCACACCACTGCACTCCAGCCTGGGCAACAAAGTAAGACTCTTTCTCAAAAAGAAAAAAAAATCAGGCAAATTCAAATTGAGGGGCATTCTATGAATTAACTTTCCAGTACTGTTTAAAAGTGTCCAAGTCACGGAAGACAAGGAAAGACTGAGGAATTATCATAGATTAGTGGAGTCTAAAGATATAAAACAACTAAATGCAATGTGGAATACTGAATCAGATCCTAGAACAGAAAAAGGACATTAGTGAAAAAACTGGTGACATCCTAACAAAGTATGCAGTTTTGTCCATAGTTTTGGACCCATGTTAATTTCTTAGTTTTGATCATCGTATCATCATGTAAGATGTTAATATTGGGGAAACTGGGGAAAGGGTATACAGGAACTCTGTGTACTATTTTTGCAACTTTTCTGGAAATCTAAAATTATTTCAAAAAGGTCTGTGTGTTCCTGTTCTTTCACCAGAATAGATCACTTCTACCTTTGGGGAGAGACAAAGCAAATCACAAACAACCATAATAAAGGCAGATCATTGTGTTAAAAGAGGTATGGGAAAAGGGCTGTAAGGGGGAAAGGGTACACACCTGGCAAGGCTGCTGTGAGGATTAGCTCTGTTATTTTATGTTCAGAACACTGCCTGGCATATAGTAGCTGCCATACAAGAGTTAATGTGACATGTAGTTTAGGGAAGTTGAAAGAAATGGCAATTGGGTTGGGTCTTGAAGATGTGTGACTTTGGACAGGCAGAAAGAATATATCTCGTAAAGAAAGAAAGAGCAACCAATTGGGAGAATTTTCTCCATGTCAGTCAATGATAATGGCAACAAAGATTAGGTGGACTGTGTACTTCAAAATGGGAAATTTTCCAAAATGGCATGGGAGTAATAGTGGTGGCAGTAGGAAGGCTGAAATGTTCCTCTCTCCCTGACCCTGGCTGTTTCTACTCCATACAGCAAATAGAGAAGGAGAAAGTGAACACAAAGAACTGACATCTCAAGAGAAAACCAAGGCAAGTCGAGAAAGGGAAGGGGCATTTGAGAAACATATCTGTGGAATCGCTGAAGAGCTGGTCCACCATGAAACAGGGGTTCCAAAATGTAGAGTATAAGCAACTAGTGGAGGTGCTAGAAACGGTGAGTGAACTGTAGAGAGAGATCTCTGAGAGTAACTTAAATAAGTGTGTTTTGTCAGTGTCAGCTTGCATTAGATTCAGGTGTATGAAACAGAAAAATTAAAAACAAAATCATTACTTAAGCAAGATAGAAATTGCTCCTTCTATCCAGGGCTGGCAATGATAGTTCCATAGCATTAAGGCCTCATGTTCCAGATGGCTGGTGGAACACCAGGCATTAAGTCAGCATTACAAGCCATTAGAAAGGTGGGAAGAACAAAGAGCTGTGCACTACTTCTCTTTCAGAAGATTTCATGGAAGTCCCCACAATACTCCATTTTATGTCTCATTGACCAAAACTTAGACACATAATCATACCTAGCTGCAAGAGAGGCTAGGAGATAGAGTCTTTTAGATGAGTGCATGCACATCCCAATAAAATGAGCATCTGTTACTAAGGAAAATAAAGAGTATGGATGTTGGAACAGACAACAAACAGCCTCTGTGAAAGGTAGCAAAGAAGAGAGCCAGGGGGAGACATTTTCACCTAGGACAGTGAGTCTCATAAATCCTGGATTCCTTCTCCTGCTCCTCCTGGCCCCTAATTTCTTCTGTCATTCAAAAGCCTCTTTCTGGAGAGACCCAACTAGCCCTACTTTCTCTCCAGAAGAACTCCAGTCCTGGAATTGGACTGTGGCTCAGTCAGTGACATTGGTGTCAGGTTCCTATTCACTGTTACTCTGCAGAACCCCAAACCCTGGCAAAACCATCTCCAACATCATCTCCTCATACCATCTCCCCCTACCAGTTATGCTCTGCACTACCAGGGATTTTCTCCTTTAGAACCGGGTTTGGATTCAAAAAGGCGAACTCTCTGCATGCCAAGCCTCTGCACACCAAGCCTCTGCACATTGGCTCCAATCATACTTTCTGGGTAGAAATAATTAGTATACAATAAGTATCCCTGTCTGTTCATGGGGCTCACACATTTTTAAAAATAGAGAAAACCTTTAGCTCCCTCTCATCATTTCAATAATTAAGAGCTCTAAGATTCATCACACTTTTTTCACTGGTAGGAGGTAGAACATTGGAGAAAAATCTAAAGCCCAACATAAGTAAAGGAAAGACTTATGGCTTAGTATAGGTAAGCCTGAGTTAGTTTGTATTATCCCACAAAGATAGCTTTAATTTTAAACCAAAAAAGCATCTCTTTCCTGAAAACCCGGAAACATGTTTTAGATTAGGAAAAACAGACCCTTGATATTCTTCCATCCAGGCCATGAAGGAAAAGGAATAGTCGGTGTTCCTTGGAGCAACAAGGTTGCTGTAAGGCCAGGAGTCAACCATATACCCAGGCACTTACCAGTTCCTTGGGGAGGGAGTCAAAATTAGCAGTCTGTGATTACGGCATTTGTGTAACCCAATGTGGGCAGGTGGTATGTGAAGTACTAACTGATGTGTTTCACATCCTGGCCTGCTAAAACTGCATTTCAGAGAACTTGTTCACTTATGCCCCTTTTCCTTCCTCTCTCCAAAACCACACAAAGACTGTTTGAGTTAGGAAAGAGGAGGAATAGGGTAACTGGAACATAAGCAGGAGAATTAGACCCTGGTGAGATCTATGAGATGGGGCAGAAGGGAGGGAAAACAATAGATTCCCAGATAGGTTTAGTGATCGAAGGGCAGAGGGACTTTTGATCAAAACCAGGAAAGTGAGCATTCTGTCCTCTTTCTCTCAATACCTTTCAAGGTAAAAGATAGAATGCTGATAGGACAAGTCTAAGAGACAGTCTGAATCTACTCTCATGTGGTGTGTGTGTATGTATGTGTGGTATGTGTGTGCATGTGTTTGTGTCTTGATGGGGAACAGGGAGGAGCATCTTCAAAGGATGAGGAAGTGCCAGATGACCCAAAGCCCTTAGGATGAGGAAGACACAGGATATAAGGTGATATGGTTTGGCTGTGTCATCTTGAATTGTAATCCCACAATCCCCATGTGTTGTGATAGGGAGCTGGTGGGAGGTAATTGAATCATGGGGTGTTTTCCCCCATGCTGTTCTCGTGATAGTGAATGAGTTCTCACGAGATCTGATGGTTTTATAAGTGTCTGGCATTTGCCATGCTGGCACTCATTCTCTCTCCTGCCACCTTGTGAAGAGGTGCTGTCTGCCAAGATTGTAAGTTTCCTGAGGCCTCCCCAGCCATGCAGAACTATGAGTCAATTAAACCTCTTTTCTTTATAAATTACCCAGTTTCGGGTATTTCCATATAACAATGTGAGAACAGACTAATACTAGTACATGTGGCCTACTGACCAGGACAGTGACACCTCGGCATACTCTAGCTAGGAGAGATGCCCATGACCATGGACCACAAGCTTCCCCTGGTGCCAGGATCCAAACTGGGACCTCAAAATCTTAAGCACACTCTGGAGACGCCTTAAAGAGGTTGAGAGAATCATGAACTGTGAGGGAATCATGAACTGATTCATTTTTAACCTGAAAGTCGTGGTGCTTTCTCAGAAATAACTAAGATTGTGTTTTCTGCCATTTGGTGAAAATGGGGCTAAACAAAAACACTGAGTAATAGAAAGAGTTACTTTCTCTTTTTGCACACCTGACTTGATACTTGCTACCTTAGTCACCCATTTGAGGTGTGGTGTTAGGTGTTTCTTGGGAATCTGCAAGGTGCTCTGATAGTAGACTGAGGGAAGGCACAAAACATCACTAGAAGCTCTGACCAAGTTTTTGTTTTCACTACAATCATTTCTTTAGGCACAGCTGTCACCAAGAGAAGTCCTACTTTGAAAAGCAGATGGCAGGAGTTTTGAATACAAAAAAGGAGTTGCCTGGGCAGATGGCAGTAGACAAGGCATGAAGAAATGAAGGTCTCAACAGAGACGCAAGAGGCAGAACAGAATATGTAAGAACAAGGGTTCAAGAAGAGGGAGACATGAGCAAAGTCCTGGCTTCAGAGAGTCAGTAGCCGGGGATCTGGTAGAGAGTCCCTGCCTCTGGGATGAGCCCTTCCTCCACAAAATATCTGTCCAGCCATACTCCTCAGTCAGACAGCACTGTGAAGGTTCACATGGCATTTCGTAAAGCCTGTGGGGCTCCCCCAAAACACTCTTCCCTATCCATCTGGCAAACATTACTGTCAAATGTATCAAAAACTTATCATATAACACTTCCAGTTTTTTCATCATAAGCCCTTCCAAACTGCCTGCTGCTATTGTTAATGACTGAAGATTCTGACATCTCCTTCATGGAACAAACTCCAGCTCTCTTTTTTTCTTCCTACTTACCTTACTTAGTAAATTTCAATATATTTTCATGCAAATGTTAGAACCTATGCCTTCTACTTTTCCTTCGAAATGCTCTTGGCTCTTGCAACTACAGCTGTGTAACTCCATAGCGGATGAAACCATCACAATCTAGAAAATCATTTCTCTGTCTTTTGGACAAGATTTCATTTGATTTCAGAATCATCTCCTGACTATCCAGTGGGCTTGCCTGCAAAGAAGTATGATTCTCAAGGATACATTTGTTCCATTACAACTTTTTGTATGATACTTGGGTGAGTTCATAGTTCCTCCTAAAGAAAGGTGTCCATCGTGGTAGAGCACTGAATCAGTGAACTTTAAAGCTAGGAAAGACTTCTAAAGGCCATTTATTATAGCTTCCTAGCTTACAGAAGCAGAAATGAAGCCTCAGAGATATGAAGGCCTTTGCAAAGGCCACTCCTCCAGTGAGGTGCTGAACCAGGTTTAGAAGCTTGGTGGCCTAGAATCCTGTTTAGTGTTCTTTTATGCCACGCTATTTTTAATCTTGCTTGACTAGTGTGGAAGTCATTTGTGAGTTCGCCAGTACAGGCATACCTCGTGTTACTGCTCTTCACTTTACTGTGCTTCACAGATATTGCATTTTTAACAAATTGAAGGTTTGTAGCAATCCTGCATCAAGCAAGTCTATTGGCGCCATTTTTCCAACAGCATGTGCTCCCTTATGTCCACATCAGCATTTTTTTAGCAACAAAGTATTTTTAATTAAGTTATGCACCTTGTTTTCTTAGACATAATACTATTGCACGCTTAGTAGACCACAGTATAGTGTAATCATAGGTTTTCTATGCACTGAGAAACCAAGAAATTTGTGTGACTTGTCTCATTGTGATATTCGCTTTATTTTGGTGGTCAGAAACCAAACCCGCAATCTCTCTGACATATGCCTATATTTCTTTGAGGAGGTAAAGGAAGAAGTTAGGCATGGCCATGTGACTTGTTTTGGCTAATGAAATGTGAGCAGAAGCAAAGTGTTTCACTTCCGCTTTAAGAACCAGTAGGTGATTCACCAAGTTCCCTTTCTGCTACCATGGCAACAGGCAACATACTAGATAATAGAAGTTCACCAGCTGAGGACTACGAGGATATTGAGGACAATGTGGAGCAGAGCCCCAGCTGACTCATAAAGGACATGTAGCATGAGTAAAAAATAAACCTTCACGGTCGTAAGCCACTGAGACTTGGGGGTTGTTTGTTACTACACCATCACCTAGCCTGTCCCCACCAGGTGAGCCTGAGCCACACCTCCATTTCCATGATGCACCTCTGTGCATGAAGACTTCAGAGGGTACTCAATGCAGGAAATCAGAATTCAGCTCCATAAAACATTCCAGATTCCACATATCACCAACATTCTTTCTTCCTCTTGGCTTATATTAGGGATAGGGGATGTGGTTTGTTACAAAGGATGAGTATTTTGATAGCTTCTCATTCCTTGAACTATTCTGCAGGTAAGTTCCTGGTGGAAATTCCTCTATTCTTAGGGTTAAAAACAGAATGAATGAGATGATTTTAATAAGCTCAGTGCATTATGACCTCAAATGCATCATCCTGTACTTACATGCACATACATGTGCAAAGATCTTTGGTTTCCTGGGAGGCTTTCTAGCTAGATAAGTCTCAGCACTTCACATGTTTCCTAACTTTATGAGCATCAACATTATGGCAAGCTGATGCTTCAAAAACACCATATCATCAGATATTTCATATGAATAGTTACAAAATTAATGGAAGCTCCTCATAGAGTAGTAAGAGAGCCTCTGTGACCCTGGGTAAGTCACTTAGCCTCTCTGGGCCTCAGTTTCCTTATCTTTAAATGAGGATAGTAGTAGTCCCTGCCTCCCAGGGTTCATGTGAGAATGAAGTTAGGTCATGCACATCATGTCTGGTTCATAATAAGTACATAATATTAGCTATATCTGAGCCATAGAGTACATAGAAATCTAAAAAGTAAACTCGATTCAGACTTTTTGCTTTCCAAGAAGGGTAAATTCAGAAACTGTTTGGTTCACCAAGTAGTGGTTTTCTGGAAAAGATGTAAAACCATGGTCCTGCCATCTGGAGGTTTTAACACCCTTTTAAAAACACAAACAGATGGGTAAGCAAGTGGGTATTGCTAACAGTTCAGGAAAATTTTCCAAACCTCTTGCTGAGGGCATAGATCCAGCTGGGAAAATCTTTAAAGGGCAGAGGCTCATTTATACTTTTTCCATCTTAAATACTTGGACTTTTTCAGGTTTATAACAAAGCTCAGAAAATACTAAAGGTTAAAGGAGAATTGAGAGCTGCCAAGGAAATGAAAGATGAGGTAAGGCTCCTAACTCCTCTACATGCATGGAGTTGAATATTCATTACAAGGGACTTTTTTCATGTTTTATGATTCAAAATTCCAGTAATAAGCATCACAAAATATCATGGACAGAGGTGGGCAGCAGAGCATCGTGTTTAAGAGCCCAGACTCGAGCTGGGTGGGTCTGGGTCCATATCTACCAGCAGTATGATACTGAGTTTGTTTCCTACTTTTAAGTTTCCTTTGCCTTATCTAGAAAATATGAATTGTGATCACCTACTCTAAGTTTCCTTTGCCTTATCTAGAAAATATGAATGATGATCACCTATTCCAAAGACTTGGTATGAGGATTAGCAAAGGTAGTGCATGTAGAAAGCACTTAATCGATATTAACTATTGTTGCTAACATTCTCTCTTTATCTGGAATGATATGAAAATGGAGTGTCTGATTAGTTTAATATTTTGGTCAAACTGTGTTTATGGGGCCAGGCGCAGTGACTCAAACCTGTAATCCCAGCACTTTGGGAGGCCGAGGCAGGAGGATCACTTGAGCCCAAGAGTTTAAGACCAGCCTGGGCAACATGGTAAGACCCCTGTCTCTACAAAAAATAAAAAAAATTAGCCAGGTGTGGTGGCACGCTCTTTTGGTCCCAGCCACTCAGGAGGCTGAGGCAAGTGGATCACTTGAGCCTGGGAGGTTGAAGCTGCAGTGAGCCATGATCACACCAGTGCATTCCAGCCGGGGCGACAAAGACCCTGTCTCAAACAACAACAACAGCAGCAAACTATGTTTATGTATGCCCTACCTTGTTCCAGAAAGGATTTAAGGGGACTTTTTTGATGAGTAAAGGATTGTCCCATGTACCATATGCTTTTTAACAGACCTCCTACCAAGAGGTGAGCAGATTCTGAAACAGGCAGTCCACTCCTTTCCTGCTGCATTACTGGAGCCATACAGAACTTCATACCAGTTCTGTGGGGAACAAGGATCTCGTATGGATTTTCTAGAAGGCTCTTTCTTCATTTAATTTATATCTTTGGAGCACCTTCAATATGCCAGGCGTTCATTGTTCTAGGAGCTGGGAATAAAGCAGTGAACAAAATAGACAAAGATCTCTACTCTCATGGAGCTTACCTTCTTAGTAGAATAATTTCTCAAATGATATGATAGTGAAAAAAGTCTGTGAAAATTGCCCAGGTGCCAATAAAAATCAGCCCACGTTCCATAGGTGGCTGATCTCCAACATATGTCATATGTATCCTAGTCTGTATACTTACAGGGTGTGCCAATTTTGTTTTTATGGCAAACACTAATCTAGCCTTCCATGATATGTGTCAGACAGTGTTCTAAGTACATTGTATTTACCAATGCATTTAATCCTTGCAACAACCTTAAGAAAGCCATAATTATCTCTATATTATACATGGGGAAATGTAGGCACAGAAGTTAAATAACTTGTGCTTGAATACACAGCTGATAAGGGGATCTCTCAGATATCTTTTTTAATTTGTTAATCTGTGTGTGTGTGTGTGTGTGTGTTTATCTTTCTTACATTTCATAATGTTTTCTTTATTTTTTAAATCTTTTTTATTATACTTTAAGTTCTGGGATACATGTGCAGAATGTGCAGGTTTGTTACATAAGTATACACCAATTTTAAAAGAATTTAGAACACCATAAAATATAGTCACTCCTCAGTATATGAACATAATTGGTTCTAAATTTTTGTTCACAGGCAAAACCTTGTATAAGTACCCATTAATTTCATTCATAAGTAATGCAAAAACTGTAATATTTCTATAAATGGAAAAGTCAACTTGGGAATCAAGTCAGTAATATCAATAATAGTGTTTAAAATTACTGTAGATAACTGTAAACTCTACTATTACACAAGTGAAATGTAAGAATTCCTGAATCAATATTAGTTTTTAAGGTTTCATGATTCTTAAGGCATAACTCTTACCATAAATTGAATGGTTGTGATATTAGTGGTGGTTAAAAGTGGTTTCCCATTGATTATTGAAGATTTGTCCTCATCCTCAGACAAATAAGATAATATCCCAAAGATGATGACCTTTATGGTGTTATTGGTTGAATCCAAAATTACTCCGATTTTCATGTTGAAATGCCACATCCCTGGGAATGCTGCCATTTTGAATCTTTGCAATGCTCTTGGGCTCTGAAAATGCTACTGAATCACGAGCTTCAATTTAACATTAGCTTCCCCCAAGAAGAAGCTTGAGACTGTTAATACTTGGAAACCTAAAGCAAAATGTCTTCTCCTATTTTGAAATATATGTTTGAGATACCATGCTTTTTGACAAAAGACCCATTTAATCAATACAGAAAATTTGCTTCAGTAAATAACCTATTTTCTAATAGTTATCATGAATATGGTAGCAACTGCAGTATCAGCACTCATCATTTTGCCTGTGGGTTAATAGCTGCTGCTGCTGTCATATGTTTCAAAGCAGAGTGACCAGGTTCCAGCCTTATATAAGAGAAACCGGGTATCTAAGTACATGACTTATGTAAATGAAAACTCACCTAGCAGTGGAGACTTATGATTTCAGCCATTGTTAATGACTTCAGATCCAGGACAAGATCAGATGGTGCCTGAGGGTCAACATTATGACTCTCAGTTCATCTCATGCCCCAGTAATGGTTACAGAGCTATGATTGATGAAATGTCAGATTAAATCTATCCCTATTGCATGTTGATACTCAAAAGGCATCTGCCTGGAATTTAGCCTTCATAAAGTAGATAGGATTATAAATAGTTTACAGCTAATATCTGTGCGAGATACCAGCAAGAAATTAGGTTCACTGAGACCCCAGAAACATTGGCTTTTCTGGGGTTCTGAGGTGAACACAGCCTTTTCTAATAACTCCCTATAATTAAAAATCGAACATCATTCTCGAAATCACCTGATCACTCTCCCAGCATTTTTACTCCTTTTCTGATGCATCAAAACCTCTTTATAATTTGGTCTTCAGGAGTGAATGGTTTTCTTTTCAAAAGTAAATTTCACTTGACATCCATCAAAACATATTTGTTATTCAACTGGTTTAAGGAATATTCAAAGAAAGATGATTTATTCCAAACCTTGTTTCATGAATGAAGACATTTTCTCAGAGACTCTGAGCCGATGCTAAATGTACAAATTAGATGAGATCATCTGTATTGAAGATCCAATTCTGAACTTCTGGTGGTGCAAAAGAATTGGGCTGTCAGGCCTTCTACTCAGAGGACATCCAAAACTGGAGGGAGAAAGGATATTTTTATTGTCCTGAGAGAGAGCACTTAACTTTTAATTTAGAGAGACTCAAGTGTGTATCGTTGGCATTTTGTTAGTGAGCCCTCAGTGTGCTGGTCTCCATGGGGAACAATCTGGTGTCAGGGTCCCTGCCTTAAGACACGTATATTCAGCACCAAGGCAAGAGTATAGGGTATTTGGCTCTCCTGTGGAGCAGGCATCTTGTTGTCACCTAACCTGCTCATAGATGCCAAAGAAAGACAGTCCTGTGGCCAGAGTGGAGAGGCTCCTTAGGGTCCCACTTCCTGGAGAGGCTCCATACCCTATTCCCAGTGTGGTGACCACAGGAAAGGGATCCAAAGCACCAGAATCAAACTACCACTCTTCATCGAGTTAAGGATTTTGTTTCCAAGTTAGAAAACAGTGTCTGTACACCATCTTTTAAGGCCACTCTACACATATTGTCTTAAGAGAGTCCCCATTAATTGTCTTAATGGTAATTACATGCTTGGGGCAGTTGACATCCACTGTTATTTTTCTGGAAGTGAGGAACAAAAGATAGGAGCAAGAGAGGAGGAGGGAGAGTTTTGAGATAATGAAATCCTTTTAATGACAGAGCCATGCCGTTAACCTAATTAAACTGTAAAGTGGTTAAAAAAAAAAGTCCAGGTACTAAATGGAAATGAAGAAATAAATCAGCGGAGACAGCAGCAGTTCTGGGAAACCTTCTGAATTCTGAATACTCTGACATTGCAATGTCCAATTCTCACCGTTGTCCTCCGGCCCCCCTCGGCCTTGTGCAGGGGTCCTTTAAACTGACCTGTCCAGTAAGGTTTGATTTACGATGTCCATATCAGGTCTCCAGTTCCTCTGGGAATGTGTGTTATGCAGCTCATATATTTCAAAAGACAGACCAGTCAGTTGGATATGAGGGCAGAGCACTGGCTACAGGGTCAGGAGGAATGTGCTCTCCTGGCCCTACTGCTAACCAGATGTGAGACCTTGGGCACTTTGGCTTAGATCCCTTCACTATTTCCATGCACCTATCCCCTGTCTACTATGCACTTTTGCAGCTGTAACTCTCTTAGAAGAATTGCCTTTAGACTATTGAAGTCACTTTGCCTACAGGGGCAGAGAGCTGGAAGTTCTTAGGAGCTTATAACCCATGGGATGGCCATTGGCCATTGACTGACTGATGCTGAGTTTGACAGCCCAGCTTTCATTGACACCAATCAAGACAGACTCTAAGGTGTAGCTCATATTCCAGAGTTTCCTGTATGAGCAGGCTAAAATTACTGACCACAGGACTCTCTGAAAATGTACCTATACTTGGTTTTTACCCCTTCCCTGTCCTGCTTCCCCCTCTTCCATGCTGGTTTTTCTTGGGAGTGTTTCTTTAATAGATGCCATGAATCCTCACTTAAGAACCCTCTTGGTAATCTAACCTAAGAGATAGGTACTGTATTAGCCCATTTTCACACTGCCATAAAGAACTACTGGAGACTGAGTAATTTATCAGGAAAAGAGGTTTAACTGACTCACAGTTCCACATAGCTGGGGAGGCCTAAGGAAACTTACAATCATAGCGGAAGGCAAAGGGGAAGCAAGGCACATCTTACATGGCAGCTGGAGAGAGAGAGTGAGGGGAAGTGCCACACTTTTAAACTATCAGATCTCGTAAGAACTCACTCACTATTACAAGAACAGCATGGGAGAAACCACCCCCATGACCCAATCACCTCCCACCAGGTCCCTCCCTCAACACATGGGGATTACAATTTGAGATGAGGTTTGGTTGGGGACTTGGAGCCAAACCATGTACTGACCATGAAGGAGCCAGCCTCAGTTCCTAGATTTAAAACTCAGTAACGGTAACATCTGTGCTCACAAGTGTTGTAGAAAGCCGGCACAGTGACAGAACTGAAGCACTACACAGGTTCACACAGGACTTCTTCCACCTTCCTTTTCACACCATTGCCACCCACAACTCTGGGAGTGGAGGTGGCATCCTGGAGTGATAAAGCCCCACCATCCTACAACAGCTCTGCACCTGCACCCCCACCCAAGTTACTATGCCCCACACATTCTATTTATATCTCAGTCACTACTTTCCATCCCCATCTAGCAACAATTAGCTAATTCTTTTCACTCATAATCAAAGACAGAAATCTTACGCCACCAGCCCAGGGATTTCACTTTTGTTCCCATTGTGAATGCCTCTAAAGAAAAGCACTGGGTTGGCCAGGCACGGTGGCTCATGCCTGTAATCCCAGCACTTTGGGAGGCCAAGATGGGCACATCACGAGGTCAGGAGATCTTGACCATCCTGGCTAAAACTGTGAAACCCTGTCTCTACTAAAAATACAAAAAATTAGCCGGGCATGGTGGCGGGTGCCTGTAGTCCCAACTACTCAGGAGGCTGAGGCAGGAGAATGGTTTAAGTAAACCCGGGAGGCGGAGCTTGCAGTGAGCCTAGATCGTGCCGCTGCACTTCAGCCTGGGCAATAGAGCAAGTCTCCGTCTCAAAAAAAAAAAAAAGAAAGAAAGAAAAGAAAAGCACTGGGTTTATAGGTGAGGGACATTTTTTGGTCTAGTGGGTAGAAGAGAAAGGTAAGAGACTTCAGAATCCCATATCAAGCCCATCATGGATTCACTATACTTGTCTTGACAAGTTCATTTGACATCTCAATATGTTCATCAGTGGCAGAGCCATTAATATTTATAGACAGTCCAGTAGGTGCCTAGAATTATTCTAGACACTGACTTCCTCTTGAAAAACAGGGGAATTGTCTGTTGTGCACCCCCAGCAGTGTGGTGAAGATTTAATTAATATAAATCAGTAATTGTCTGAATAATGCAGAACGGTCAGACACCTGGCAATTGGAAACTGTGTAAATGTTACACAGGATGAGTAATAACAGCTAATGGTTGATGGACAAATTTCCAGCAAATTTCAAGTCTCTGTCAACCTGTTAAGTGAATGAAAGCAGCACTTTCTTGATAGTTTATAATTGATGCTTTTGTTTTTCTGGCTGCCTAGGCGGGGGAGAGAGACAGAGAAGTGAGCAGCCTGAACAGCAAGCTGTTAAGCCTGCAACTTGACATCAAGAATCTGCACGATGTCTGCAAGAGACAGAGGAAGACCTTGCAGGACAATCAGCTCTGCATGGAGGAGGCAATGAACAGCAGCCACGTAAGGGACTTGGCAGCAGCCGCTCACCCCTGCTCTCTTGACTTCTGCCTCTGCTCCCTTGGGCGGGAATAATAGAAAGTTCTTCCACTGTTCATTCAGGAGTACTTATTAAGCAAGCAATGAGAGAGAATTAAGAGAATTAAACACACACACCCCAACGCACATACACATGGAAAATGCCAGTCCTGCCTTCAGGACTTTTCCATCTATCTCCAAGGTCATGTACATCCTAGGCACGATGTTTTCCTTATCTGGCCTTTCACACCTGTATTTACAGCTCATTGCCCTGAAAATATCAGATCATAGTGATACAAGGGGAGCAGCGTCTGCTATGGATCTCAGACAAACTTCTAAGTCAACCATGAAAATAAAAACCATCACACCTGCTCTAAGGTATCAGTGTCCATTGGGGTAGCAGGGGGTCTTTATTGCTGCACCTGCGTCTCACTGCCTGCAAGCTTTTCTTCTGGATGCAGGAACCTGATCATAGGACAAGCTCAGGTTCTCAAGAGTTAATGCCCCTAGAAGCAACCCTCAAGCAATGTCAGATGGGGAGATGGTAGATTACATCTCCCACCTTCCTTTCTCCCTAATCAGAGGTAACCCGAGGCGTGCTGTCTCACAGACTTCCTCCATGGACCTGAGCCCAGTTGCTCACAGCGGTACCTGACTTGATGACACACCTTTTTTTTTTTAACCCAATGTTGTTGTTGTTGTTGTTGTTGTTGTTACATGAGTAAGTTCTTTAGTGGTGATTTGTGAGATTTTGGTGCACCCATCACCCAAGCAGTATACACTGAACCCAATTTGTAGTCTTTTATCCCTCACCCCCCCCACCCTTTCCACAGAGTCCCCAAAGTTCATTGTTTCACTCTTATGCCTTTGCATCCTCATAGCTTAGCTCCCACTTATAAGTAAGAACATATGATGTTTGGTTTCCCATTCCTGAGTTACTTCACTTGGAATAATAGTCTCCAATTCCATCCAGGTTGCTGTGAATGCCATTAATTCATTCCTCTTTATGGCTGAGTAGTATTCCATTGTATATATATACCACATGCGAAAACATGGAACCAGTCAAATGCCCATCAATCAATGAGTGGACACACCTTTTATCTGCTTCCTTCCCTTCCTTGTTTCAGTCTCCCACTCCCCAACCAGAGTTTCCTAAGACCACCTCCCACATCAACTACTACTTGACCCTCAGTTCCTTGTCACAGAGCCTGCTTTCAGGGGTGCCCAAGTGAAGACACTCAGTAGCACTGATCCTACACATGTGTGAACATGCAGACCTCCTGGCATAAGCATCTTTCTTGAGACTGTGATTTTGGACTAATACTTATCTAGAGTCTAGGCTGTTCATCAGCTGAGATAATTTCATTTTAGCCTGGGGTTTGCTTTCTTTGGAAGCTCTAAATCTAAGGTCTTTAAGTCAGTCTCTAAATTTTTCCACATAAGCTGGGGAGCCATCTGGGAGATATTTTCCCACAGCTCCCTAACACTTTGGGTTTCCAAGAATTCTTTACTTGTGGTCTTCATTTCCATTTAGTGACATGAGTTCTCGGTAAACATAAAGAAGGTCCTAGCTGCACAGACCTGTTGCTGGACACCCAAAGTTAGCCTCTGGGAGGCTGTGAAGCCGCCACTGTGTTCTTCACTGTTTGTGGTCAAGGATCTGGCCTCTTTTCATTGCATCTATTAGAGTTCTCCCAGGACTTACCACCTCACTATTGAAACCACAAATTGTTCCTCTGCAATGTCCTAGAAATACTACCAACAAAGCATTTCTACTTCATCTTGTAAGCACTGCTTTCCTCAGGAAGTCACAAATAGAGAAAAATCCACCAGTTTCCTAAATGGATCTCAGGAAGAAGATTATCATAATTTACTTCTTTCTAAATATTAACATTTTAGGATATTTTCACCATTGCTGTCATGAGTTTACTTATTCCCCCAGTCAGGGAAAGCCATGTGGCTTATAAATGTACCTGGCAACTTGGAAGGAGAAAGGTATTAAATTGCATTTTATTATTCTAATTGCCCAGAAGAAGGTCTAACAGCTTGAAACAAGCTTTAAAGCGAGCTCTTTTTTCCCCTAGCACTTAGTGCAGAATTTAAATAGCAGACTATGCATACAAATCCACAATTAGATGTAGACTTACACTCATCCGCTCGGAAAATCCCTTTAAGATCTGCCTTCCACATGGAAATGTAATATGGGAACAAAAGGGAAACCAAGACTTTCTGAAATTCTGACTACTCTCTAACAAGGAGCTGGGGAAACAAGCAGGAGGTCATAGTTTACAACCGCAATTATGCAAGAAGATTAAAATGTTACATTAGCTGTTATGTATAACAAAAGGAGTGGCAGGGAAGGGGCAAGTGATAGAAAAGAAAACGGCATGACCTTGCAAATCAAAACTACGTTATGCTCCCAATCCCAGGAACACAGCAGGAAATAGGGTGAAGCAAATGAGGTGGCTAAGGTGCAAAATTCATGGGCACAAGCTCTTCAGGTGCCAACCTGCATGTGCTCCACCCTGAGACTGAGTGCCTCCTTAAAATTTGCACCTCACTTCCCTCACTGTAGTCCTGGCCCTGCCCAGGAATCAAAAGAGCATCTCAAAGTGAAAGGAGAAAAGAACAACAGAGACATCATAATAAAATGATCAAACCAGAAAAGAAAGGGCCTTTTGAGCAATTTTCCCAGGCTCCATTCCCTGATGGTGGCATAGGGTGCATGCCCTGATATTCAGTAGAGCTCAGATTGCCAAACTCATCTTTGAAGTGTACAGAGGACACTTTTTAGCATAAAACTATATAAGGCAAGTTTGATTCCTGTGGATAAAAGTAATTTGTTGAAGATGTAAAGATTAGTAGAATCTTGATGGGCATTATTACACAGTATCGTTTTGAATCATTGGGAATGAAAAAAAATATTTCACTGAATCTTCTAAATGCAATGTGAAATCCTGGATTGGATATTGGAACAGAAAAAACACGTTAGTGGAAAAACTGGTGAAATCCAATAAAGTATAGTTCATAGTAATCTTCCAACATTAATTTCTTAGTTTAGACAAATGTACCCAGTTATTTAAGAAGTTAACCTTAGGGAAAGCTGTATGAAGAACATATGGGAACTCTCTGGGCTACTTTTGCAATTTTTCTGTAAATCAAAAATTATTCTAAAATACTTTTTTTAAAGTGAATGTCAGGCAAGCAGAAGTCACTAGTGAGAAGAATGTCTACGTCAGAAAGATGCATCTAAAATTAATTCATGTCACTTAAACTTACAGTTCTATGCTCTGCTAGTACAAGGAAGTACAAGACATGCAATTTGTAGAAGACATAAGAAATAACAGATAAGGCCGGGCGCGGTGGCTCAAGCCTATAATCCCAGCACTTTGGGAGGCTGAGGCGGGTGGATCACCTGAGGTCAGGAGTTTGACACCAGCCTGGCCAACATGACAAAACCCCATCTCTACTAAAAATACAAAAATTAGCCAGGCATGGTAGCAGGCGCCTATAATCCCAGCTACTCGGGAGGCTGAGGCAAGAAAATCGCTTGAATCCAGGGGACAGAGGTTGCAGTGAGCTGAGATCATGCCACTTCACTCCAGCCTTGGCAACAGAGTGAGATTCCATCTCAAAAAAAAAAAAAAAAAAAAAGTAACAGATAAACCTATCCAGTGATATAAGGCTAAACTAGAGTTCAAAGGAAATATCTCACTTACTTCAAAGATAGGAACAGAAGTTCATGACAATGACTGAAAAAGTGAGTTAGTCCTCATCTGTGCTAATGGTTGCTGCTGCTACCTTGTGAACAAGGAGAAACTGATTCAAAAGCCAAATAACCCCTCATGCAATTCAGCTCAAAGTTTGAAGACTTCCTAGATTGTTCTATAGACCTCAACACCAAGAATACATATCACAAATTTAATAGATCATGCTGTATCAAAAGGTCAAATATGAAGCACTTAGAATTTTTCAACTATACAAATGTATTCTCTGGGTTCTGCTATGGCCCGGACAGTGTTAACTTCCTTTTTCTATTGTGGGTTTTGGTCCCCTCCCCAGGAAATTAATTCAGTTTGATGTATCCAAGTCTTAAGTTTCTCAATAAAGAAAAATATCTCCATTAAAAAAAGATAGTGAGACTTTTCGGTTCTTAAATGAAAAAAAAAATCATTAGGGATTCAGTTATCAGAACAATGCCAACCTAGTCAGCGCAAACTAGAACAGGGAATAAAATGGTTAAAAAGTATTTTGAAAAGCCAGCTTTAGGCAAATCAGCAGGGCCTGATGACATACTTCGAAGAGTACTTAAGGAATTGGCAAGTGTTATTACATAGCTGCAAGTGATTATTTTTGAGAACTCAAAAGGATAAAGAAAGTCCCTGTAGACTGAAAAAGGGTAAATGAAGTGCTCATCTTTTTAAAAAGGGAAAAAGGACAATCCCGGTAATTATAGACCTGTCAGCTTAACTTCAATACAAGGAAAATACAGAACTTAACATCAATCAATTAGCATCAACTTGAAAAGCATAAAGTATTGGGTGGAAACCAACGTGACTTTTCAAAAGGCAAATCATGCCAGGCCAATTAATTTCCTTCTGTGATCAAGTGGCCACATAGGCAAGGAAGGAGCAATAGCTATAATCTCTTTGACCACAAGTAGGGATGAAATGTGTACTAAATATGGGAACAGGTTCCTATGGACAGCCAGCAGTCCCCATCTTTTCTAGCAGCTGAGACCTGGATAGAAATCCAGCTGAGAAACCTGGTAGACCAGATGGCCTCCAGAATCACATCTCACTCCAGATGGTCATTTTAAGAACTAGTCTTACCTCTGTAAAATCATTTCCAACGTACTTATTTTCTTCAGATCTCAGTTTAAAAGTCAAAGAAGACTCTTAATAAAATATCTGTGTCTTCATTAGGAAGAATGTTTTAAAAAAAAAAAAAAGACAAAGAAGCAATAGGAAATAAGTTGGTGCCTTTGTGATACTGCTCTTCAGCACATTTGTAAGTGAAATGTAGGCTTCATCCATAGCGTGTCTTTTTCTATTCCTTTAGAATTTAGAAGGATAAATAAGTAGAAATTTAACTGGTCTCAAATAAGTCTAGGCATTTCTCCAAGTCTTTGAAATTTGATTCCTCTAAACCCATTGATATCTATAGTGTGCAAATGTTTAAAATTCCTATCCAAAGAACTCTAGTTTCTCTGCAGATAGAAGCAGTCCTTGGATCTTTATAACCAGGCAAATTAGGTTGGGTGCTATATTTGTCCTGTACTGGAAGAGTTGCATAAAATCTCATCATCTGGCTAGCCCATCATGTTGCCTCAGACCAAAATTAAACCCAGAAGATCCAAGACGACCTCTGGGGAAGATAAAGCATTGACATTTCACCAGTATCCCTGCCAGGCTGCTAAGTTTTATACACATCATTTAGAAAAAAGCATTTATTTCCCACCAGAAGCTTTAAGACCAAAGAGTAATTCTGAGCACACCTAAGTATAGATGGGGGTACCAGGTACTAGAGGGGAAGCCCTAAAGAGAGAGAGAGTTTGACTTCTTTTAAAAGAAGAGCATTTCTCTCATTCTTCTGGGCAGTGAAGAAAAAACAGGGACGTGGAAGCAAAGAGAAGCAAAGAATGAAGGAGACCATGGTTAGTTTTCAGCAGGGTCATACACACTCAGCAGTGGACAGATGCTTACAAAGCCAAAAGAGAAAGGATTTTGGCAAAATCTGATAAGGATATTTTCTGAGACAGTGTCTTGCTCTGTTGCCCAGGCTGGGGTGCAGTGGTGTGACCATAGCTCACTGAAGCTTCAAACTCCAGGGCTCAAGTGATTCTCTCGCCTCAGCCTCCCAAGTAGCTGGGACTACAGGCACGTGCCAACATGCATGGCTAATTTTTTTACTTTTTATAAAGATGGTGGTCTCGCTATCTTGCCCAGGCTGGTCTTGAACTCCTCATCTCAAGCCATTCACCCACTTTGGCCTCCCAAAGTGCTGGGATTATAGGGATGAGCCACCATGCCTGGCCTGATAAGAATTTTATTGGATTTATACTAAAATAAGCCCTTCTGAATTAACCCTACCACAGGATGTTCACTCCTTTGCATTAATTCTGTCCACGTTAAGTACTTATTTGTGATCATGTTTTTTTCCAGGTAGCTCCCCACCCTCCTAACTTACTATGTAAGCAGGAGGACTCAGGCTCTTCAGAAGCCCCTCTATCTGTGTATGTGCATGTACACACACATACATGAGCACACCACACACGCCACTCCCAACTCTCTTCTCTCCAAACCTCATTCACAGATGAGTTGTGAGAATAGCAGTGTTTTTATCTTGAAAAGAATGAAAGCCCTTAACAACAACATTTAATATAAATGCTGGCAATTATAGCTACACAGAGTAAATACAAAATTTAGCTTTGTTCAACTTAGAACAACTTAGAAAAGAGGTCTCATCAACTTTCCTCCAGCCACATACACTGGCGTGTCTTTGCCTAGGATTTCTTTTGCCTGGTGACCATAGTGGGTCCATTTTCTCTGTCTCTCTTCTCAATTCTGAGGCACTTAAGATGAGACACTTCCAAGAGAGCCTGGAAAGGGTCATTCAGATTGTACTGACACAATCAGCTATCATCTTTCTGGTTCTGGACTGGGTTAAGCCTCCTTTACCTTCCCTGTGCTGCCACCACCACTCTCTGTAGAGATTTTTTGTCTTTCAGGTCCCAGCTCTTACTGAATTAATCTCATTAAAATTCCATCTCCCCAGTTACTCAGACAAAAACCCTGGCATCATCTGTTACGGATGACCATCATGTCCCACCATCTAACCTGTAACCCAGCAGCAAATCCTATGTCCTGTCATTTCAAGATACATCTAGAACCCAACCACTTCTCCCGCCCTCCATTGCTACCATCTTGGTCCACGCCGTCATCCTTTGTCTGGATTATTGCAGTAGCCTCCTACCTGGTCTTTCTGTCTTTGCCTGCCTAGAGTTGATTTCCAATAAACAGCCAGTGTGACCTTCATAAAAGCTCAGGGAGATCATGTTGCTCCTCTGTTCAGTACCCTCCAAAGGCCTTTCGTCTCCCCAAAAGAAGTTAAAGTCTCGAGAATGGCTATACGATCCTAAAGACCTCACCTCCTTTTCCTATCTCACTCCATCAGGCACAGCTTTCCCCCTTACTGTCTCTGCTCCAGCCAGAAAAAAAAGTGGCTGCAACCCCTGGGGCTCCTCAAATACCACCAGGCATGCTTCCACCTCCAAGGCCATCACTCCCTGGAGCATTCCAGATACCTTCTTTTGCCTCCTTCAAGTTTCGGTTCAAACGTCAGCTTCTCAATTTGGCCTTCCATGCAAACATTTAATTCAAAAATGTAACCTCCTCCATCCTGGAATTCCTCATCTTCCTCCCGTTTCACTCTCCCCTGTT
The DNA here is from genome assembly GCF_000001405.40 of Homo sapiens. NCBI lineage: Eukaryota > Metazoa > Chordata > Mammalia > Primates > Hominidae > Homo > Homo sapiens. The sequence continues at coordinate 72,157,306 of NC_000016.10, read as the reverse complement.
GCATTTTGTCCTTCTAATACACTACATATATACTTGCTTAGTTTTCGCTCTCCCCATATTAGATGCAAACTCCACAAAGTCGGGATTTTGTCTGGTTTTTTTTTTTTTTTTTTTTTTTTTTTTGAGATGGAGTCTCGCTCTGTTGCCCAGGCTGGCGTGCAGTGGTGTGGTCTCACTGCAAGCTCTGCCTCCCGGGTTCACGCCATTTTCCTGCCTCAACCTCCTGAGTAGCTGGGACTACAGGCGCCCGCCACCACACCCGGCTAATTTTTTTTTTATTTTTAGTAGAGATGGGGTTTCACCGTGTTAGCCAGGATGGTCTCGATCTCCTGACCTCGTGATCTGCCTGCCTCAGCCTCCCAAAGTGCTGGGATTACAGGTGTGAGCCACCGCACCCAGCCGATTTTGTCTGTTTTATATACTGCTATATCCCCATTACGTAGTGTAGTGCTTGATATACTAGGTGTACCACATTATTTGCTGAGCACATTAATTAGATGAAAATATCATACCCACACAAAGGCTAATATGGTTAATGTTCATAGCAGCAGTATTCGTAATTGCCAAAAACTGAAACAACCCAAATATCCATCAACTGGTGAACAGATAAACCAAATATGGTATATTTATACAATGGAATACTATCCAGCAATAAAAAGGAATCAAATACTGATTTTTTTTTTTTCTGAGACAGAGTCTCACTCTGTCGCTCAGGCTGGAGTGCAGTGGCACGATCTCAGCTCAATGCAAGCTCTGCCTCCCAGGTTCATGCCATTCTCCTGCCTCAGCCTCCTGAGTAGCTGGGACTACAGGCGCCCGCCACCACGCCTGGCTAATTTTTTTTGTATTTTTAGTGGAGACGGGGTTTCACTGTGTTAGCCAGGACGGTCTCGATCTCCTGACCTCATGATCCACCCACGTCGGCCTCCCAAAGTCCTGGGATTACAGGCGTGAGCCACCGTGCCCGGCCTCCAATACTGATTCTTGCCGCAACCTGGATGAACCTCAAAAACATTATGCAGCCAGGCACAGTGGCTCACACCTGTAATCCCAGCACTTTGGGAGGTCAAGGTGGGCAGATCGCATGAGCTTAGGAGTTCGAGACCAACTTGGCCAGCATGGCAAAACCCCATCTCTACTAAAAATACAAAAATTAGCTGGGTGTGGTGGCACACACCTGTAATCCCAGCTACTCCGGAGGCTGAGGCATTAGAATCACTTGAACCGGGGAGGTGGAGGTTGCAGCGAGCCAAGATCACACCACTACACTCCAGCCTGGGCAATGGAGCAAGACTCTGTCTCAAAATAAAATAAATATATATTTTTATTTATAAGAAGCCAAAAAATGACATATTATACAATTCCATATGTGAAACGTCTAGAAAAGGCAGAAAATCCATAGAGGCAGAAAGCAGATTTGTGGTTGCCTGGAGCTGGAGGAGGGAGCAGGGGTGACTGAAAATGGGCATGAGGAAACGTGGGGGGTTGATAGAAATGTTCTAAAACATTGTAATGATGGTCACACAATTCTATAAGTTTATTACAAGTCACTGAGTTGCACACTTAACAATGGTTGCATTTCATGATATGCAAAGTATACCTCAATAAATCTGTTTTCAAAAAGTTAATTTAAAAATTTGAAAGCCACGGTATTAGAAGTACTCTGTTAATGAGGCCAAGGCCACAAGCTCAACCCCTCGGGAGCCAATGAGATTGCTTGGACGCTATTTTCATTTCTTTCATTCAATTCATAGGTATGTATGAATCTGTAAACTAGGCCCCATAAGAGCAAACATGGCCCTGCCCTCCAGGAGTTTATAATCTAATTAGAAGTTAAAATGCACAGAAATAATTACAGACAGAATACAGAATAGCACATTAAGGACATGCTAGCAAAGTCTGTGGTACTGGTGCAAAGACAGCTTTGCAGGGAAAAAACAGGAAGGAGAGCAGGATTTAAACAGAAACTTAAAGAATGTGTAGGAGGATAATAAGCAGGGTTGGATGCTAAGGACTGCCCAGAGGCTACCCTCTTTATCCACCTTAACCTCACGTGTCATTGTCATAAGGGATGCTGGAAAATATAGGAAATATAGAAGCATCAGCAACTCAGGGATGTGTCCTACCAGCAGAATACCTGGTAAAACATAGGTGCTTAGCCTGTGTCTGTTGAGTGAATGAATGAATGAATGAAAATGAAGGATGAGCCTAGCAGCATTTCAGATAGATTGTGGATTAGCAAGAAGAGATCACACCACACACACACATACACACACACACACGCACACAGAGTCAGCATCCGCAAGGTCACATCTTCCTTCAGGAGAAGGAGACAGAGTCAGTGCCCAGATGTACCTGAACAATATCTCTGGCTCTCATTTTTCAGCGTTTCAAAATCCCCAAGAATTCACCCTTGACTCATTGCAATGCTCCTTTACCCAGGTGTTTTTAATACCAAGTTTAGTCCAAGAACCAAGGCCAGAAATCCATTTCCTTCCAAGTCACTAGTGTTATCTTTATATGGGAAGGCAACACCTCAGCATATTATTACACATATCTCCCTAGGTCCTTTATGTGTATATTTTTTCTTCTGACCTAAATAATAAGATTTTGGTAGATAAGAACCATTTTTTTTCTTCTACTGAATTCTTCTTACTGAGTGGGAATACTAAGTGATACATTTCCTTGTGAATAGAGTGAAATGTTTAATAAGATCTCTGTAGATGAAAAGATAAAAAGATGGATAGATGGATGTGAATGACTGAACAAATGAAAAAAAAATCCTGGAATGAATACGTCCTTAGTGATGATCTAAAGCCTTTTTTGTATATCCTGTCTCTATGGTAGGACAAGAAGCAAGCACAGGCATTAGCATTCGAGGAGTCAGAGGTGGAATTTGGGTCCAGTAAACAGTGTCATCTGAGACAACTCCAGCAACTGAAGAAAAAATTGCTGGTCCTTCAACAAGAACTGGAGTTTCACACAGAGGAGTTGCAGACTTCTTACTATTCTCTCCGCCAGTATCAGTCCATCCTAGAGAAGCAGACTTCCGACCTGGTTCTTCTGCACCATCACTGCAAACTGAAAGAAGATGAGGTATAGACAGATTAACCATGGAAATAACCCACATTCTTAGGTACCTGCAGAAATCAGACCAAGCCCACTAGAAAGCAGACGCTGGACTTAGGAGAGCTTTGCAACATCCCGAGCAGGTTTTATAAACCTTCCCCCTTTAATTCTTGATCTTTTTGAAGCTGAGCAGAAGGAAACTAAACTGAATGGCATAACTCGGTGAAAGCTGCAGTATTCATGCATGTGGAATATGTGGAGTGTGTGTGCAGGCATGTGTGTGTGTGTGTGTGTGTGTGTGTGTGTGTGTGTGTGTATAAGTCCATCTTCTCCATTCTATTACCATTGCAATGTAAATGCAAAAGACTGTAGGTCTCTGAGGGTTATCAAAGAGGTATAAGGTCCATTAAATCCACCATTTTTAGAAAAATAAGGTCTTGATAATATATAAATTCCTGGCACGTGCACACTAGATAAGATAACCAGATGTTGAGTGGGAGTCAATCATTGAGAGTACCAGGTAATTTTTTCAGACTGGAGTTTTAGATCATATAGGCTTCACTTAGGTATATTCAGGACATTAATTCCCATTCATGTTCCAGGGTGGTATTTTCTAAGCCGAAGAGTACCACCCCTTTAGAATCCCAAGTAAATTCCAAAAACCCAAAGCTGCAGCACTAAAACCACTTGAGCAGTGATAGCACTAGGTGCAGTAAACCATGGGTTCTAAATGATGGGACAGACGTACTCTTCCATCCTGGGGTTTCCCCTGGCATTTTCTTTCTTTAGATTTAAAGATAAAATTTCAAGGAGTTAGGTTCTATTGGAAGGACGGAGAAGAAAAAAAAATTTCAAAGAGTGTTTTGGATGGTGCTGTTGCTTAAGGACTAACTTCAAGGACTTTAGGTAGGACCTTACAGACCATAGACTTTTTAAAAAGGGAATATTGTCACCTAGTGAAAATCTGCTCAAAAGAATTAAGAGTGGGAGGAACAGAGAAAGGTTATTCTAATCCTACAAATATAATCTATGACTTAGCCTGTGCACATACACATAGTTTTAAAAAGATAGTGCAGGGCTGTGTTAAAACTTAGTGGTTCACTACAACTTAAACAAAAGGGTCCAGCCTGGATAAAGTGACCCTGAATGAGTTGGGATTCTATTTAGCAGCATATAACAGAAAATAAATAAGCTAGTTGATTTCTGTGTCATATTTAAAAAGGTCAGAGACAGGTGGTCTGTTGCTGTTATGGCAACTGTGTGTGTCATCAGGTCTAAGGGTCTATCCTTGGGTTCCACCAGCATCAGCTCAGGGCTTCCATTCTCTAAGTCACCTGAGGTGCCTGCTGGAGCTTCAGCCGTCACATCCTTTTTTTTTTTTTTTTTTTTTTTTGAGACGAAGTCTCAATCTGTCGCCCAGGCTGGGATGCATTGGCCCGATCTTGGCTCTCTGCAACCTCCGCCTCCCAAGTTCAAGTGACTCTCCTGCCACAGCCTCCTGAGTAGCTGGGATTACAGGCACGCACCACCACACCCGGCTAATTTTTGTATTTTTAGTAGAGACGGGGTTTCACCATGTTGGCCAGGCTGGTCTTGAACTCCTGACCTCGGGTGATCCGCCCATCTTGGCCTCCCAAAGTGCTGGGGTTACAGGCATGAGTCACCATACCAGGCCACATCCTTGTTCCAAATAATCCAGATAAAAGGGCAGAGGACCAGGTGACAAGGGTGGAAAGGAAAGGCACACTCCCTTCCTTTTAAGGACACTTTCCGGAAGCCACAACACCTTCACTTAAATATCCCTGGCCAGAATTAGTCACATGGCAACAGCTAGTTTCTAGGAAGCCTAGGAAATGTGGTGTTTTAGGAGGTGCATTGCTGCCCCCAGTAGAGTCAAGGTTCTATTAGTAAGGAAGAGCGGGAGAATACATACAGGACTCGGCAAATAACAGTCACTGTCAAAGATCCCAAACCGAGAAAGCATTGAGAGAATTATTTTAGACATTCTGCCAAGTTCCCCCAATGTCTTGTTGCACAGCCTCATCAAACATCTGTCTAAGGTTGGGTTCACTCAACAGCAGACCCTAAGACAAGGATATAAATTCAAGTAACTAATTCCGGAGGTGATTCCTGCATGCACATGAGCAAGTGAGTCAAAGAAGGACCGGAAGCCCATAAAGGACACTGGTATTGAGTAGATTGCTTGCTTGGTCCCTCTGGGGAACTCTGGGAGATAGTGTAGAACATGCCTCAGAGTGAACCCACCAACATACCCCCAGTCATTGGTTGAGGGCTGCTCCTGAGGGCGTTAACCCCCCAGCACTTCTAACCTACCCTGTCTTGCCTCTCTGGTTGAATGGGCTCCTGGTATTAGAGAAGCCCTCAGGCAGAGTTGAATATGCTTGCAGTGGGAATGGGGTTAACTTGCAAAGAAATAGCAAGTGCCCAGGGGATATGGGCTGGCCACTGACAGCTTTGGTTACAAATATTTGGATATAAAATATTCCTCTCTTCTTCCCCTTACGTAGTAGACACCTTACACAAAGTTATCCTTTCCTAAGAAGAATCTCAAATGACAGACAGCAAGTATAATGAGCTTAAACTAATGGAACATGTTCTATCAGCATTCTACATTGGATTATTTAAACTAATATAAAGCCATCCTTCATGACTCTTCTGCTGTTAACTCCTTCAACACATCAAATTCGAGCCATACAATTTAGCACACTCAACTACCTACAGCTGTTTATTCATTTTAAATCTTATGTCCCCAAGATTGTGAAAGTTTTAAACTCTTTGAGGGGTGAGCATATGTCTAATATGTATATATCCCCTCTGCACTTAACACAATGCTCGTGAGCTTTCAATAAATATCTGTCAGTTTGTTGACTAATTACTTGATGAGGAAGAAAATAAATCTAAACAAGGATTGTGCAAATCCCAGAGGAACTTTGGGTCATGTTCCCCACCTATCTCTTGGGAACTTTCCTGACATAGTCCTGTGTGCAGGAGGAAGTCTGCATTTTCTAAGTTCAACCTCTAGAGAATGCCTGGGAAGGAAAAAATACCAGCATTTCAAGCCCTTAAAAAACAGAGCTATACAAATTCATTCCTATTAATCAACTAGCAAGTATTCATTGAGTTTCTGCCACATGCTGGGCAGAATGGGAAATGGATATGATCCTGCCTTGAAGGAGCTTACCTCTAACTAGGGCCACCTTTTTTTGTTTCCAATCATTAGCATCTTGATATTACATACTGTAGCTTTTAGATCTGTGCAGCCTCTCTTCTGTTCATCTGGTCTTCTGGTTCAGATACAAGACTTCTCTGCAGGGAATCTTACAACCGCATCCTTTCCTCATTACGTGCTTCCATGGGCTCAATGTGGATTTATTCCTACACCTACAGGTGATTCTCTATGAGGAGGAAATGGGAAATCACAACGAGAACACAGGGGAGAAGCTCCATTTGGCGCAGGAGCAACTCGCCTTGGCCGGGGACAAGATCGCCTCTCTAGAGAGGAGCTTAAACCTCTACAGGGATAAATACCAGTCTTCCCTGAGCAACATCGAGTTACTAGAATGCCAAGTGAAGATGTTGCAGGGGGAACTCGGCGGGATCATGGGTCAGGTAGGACTTAAGTCAGGCCATTCAATCCAGGCAAGTGGATGTGCTCCCAGGTGGTCCCCTCAGACAGTCCCAGCCTCCTCCACTGGAAACCCAAACCTTTACCCAGATGTCACTTCCTGCCCTTGATTTTGTAGCCCTCAGCTTTTGAACCTCCAGCTTTCACATATCCTATAAGATCACTTCTTCACAATTTTGAGGCTCTTTAATTAACATAAAGAGTCACCACTTCAAATAACGCCAAAAGAGAATTACCAAATAAGCTTCAGCCCCACAGTTCCCTGTGGGGTTGGCTGAGCCTTTGTTGAGATTGCATCACAGCTCATCTCCCTCTGCCCAACCCTGCTTCCTCCCTCTTCCTTTCACAGGTGTTAATACCAACAGCTCTCCCTAACAATGTCCAATCTTTTCTTAGTTCTCATGGGGGTCCGGCAGGGGGCTCTGCTAGGCCACAGGACTCATGCAAACCACAACTTCAGGATCAAATAGGAGGAAAAAGCTGTGAAACATGGGAAAGAAAAGTCGAAACACCTGATTTGTTTCTTTTTTCCTTTAACTGCTATTTTTAATTACACAAGTAATACGATTATTATAGGCTCTCTAGATAGAAGTATGGAGATTAAATATGAAAGTCTGCCTTCAACCTCTTCCCCATCATTCTCCTCCTCTTCTTAGGTAATTACTTGAATCATGTGTTGAGAATCCTCTCGGGGCTTGTGCTATATACAGTTACATATATAAATGGGCAGGAGGTTATTTTTACCTAAGTGGTTATCAATGTGGTTTTAAAACTTACTTTCAAAATGCACATTTTTTTTTTGAGATAGTGGTGCAATCTTGGCTCACTGAGGCCTCCATCTCCCAGGTTCAAGTGATTCTCCTGACTCAGCCTCCAGAGTATCTGGGACTACAGTCACGCGCCACCATGCCCGGCCAGTTTTTGTGTTTTTAGTAGAGACATGGTTTCGCCGTGTTAGCCAGGCTGGTCTTGAATGCCTGACCTCGTGTGATCCACTCACCTCAGCCTCCCAAAGTGCTAGGATTACAGGCGTGAGCCACCGTGCCCAGCCTAAACTGCACATCTTGACAATTTATTTTACTTACTACCTTGTATTCTGTAGTAGGGATGTACTACCTATTGACCTGTTTTTTCCTCTTTTTTACAAACGAGCTGTAATTAACTTCCTTATTTCTTTTGGATAATTCTTGAAGTGTGATTGCTGGGTCAAAGGATATGCTTATTTTTATTGTTTAAAGATACTTCTAAATTATATACCAAAAAGGTTCTACCAGTTTACACTTTTACCAATAATAATTAAGAGAGCGTATTTCCCCACACCCATCCACACTGTACGTTTTCATTCTTTTAAAGTTGTGCTAAACACTGATGGGTAGGGAGATAACGTTTACTGGTTACAATTTTCATTACCTTAGTTCTAATAGTCACAGGTTGGGTTCCCCAGGAAGCCAACTCTAAGACAGAGTAGTGTGCAGGACGTTTTTAGGGAGAGCTCTTGGTATTAACACCAGTGAAAGGAAGGAGCGGAAAGCAAGGTTGGGCAAAGGAAGAAGTCGAGCTGCGATGTAGTCTCAACAAAGGCCTCAGCCAACCCCACAGAGCTGGATGAACCTTCAGAGCCTTGCTAAATTGAAGGGAAGGGAGCTGGCCTTTAAGCCTCCATGTCATCATCAGTTCTGGGATGTGGGCCCCATAGGGAGAGGTGCTTGGCCTTGGGCAAAGCAGTTTTCTTCAGCCTACACAATCCCCATAAAGGGCAACAAGTCCTTCATTGCCAAAGGGGATCTGGAAGGCCCAGCACAGTCTCCACCACACTTATGAAGGATTGAGCACTATTCATAAGCATATTGGTCATATGGATTTCTGTTTTATGAATTACTTGTTAACTCATTTTTTACTGGGTTTTTAGTCTTTTTTTCTATTGGTGTATAGGAGCTTCTTAATATATTACAGGCAATAATGCTTCATTACATATGTGGCAAATATTTTCTCCCAGTCTGTAACTTTTCATTTTACTTTATTAGTGGTATTTTTCACCATACAAAATATTTTAATTTTTTTTATTTTTTATTATTCTACTTTAAGTTCTGGGGTACATGTGCACAACGTGCAGGTTTGTTACATAGGTAAACATGTGCCATGTTGGTTTGCTGCACCTATCAACTTGTCATTTACATTAGGTATTTCTCCTAATGCTATCCCTCCTCCAGCCCCCCACCCCCCGACAGGCCCCCATGTGTGATGTTCCCTGCCCCGTATCCATGTGTTCTCATTGTTCAACTCCCACTTATGAGTGAGAACATGCGGTGTTTGGTTTTCTCTTCTTGTGTTACTTTGCTGAGAATGATGGTTTCCAGTTTCATCCATGTACCTGCAAAGGACATGAACTCATCCTTTTTTATGGCTGCATAGTATTCCATGGTGTATATGTGCCACATTTTCTTTATCCGGCCTACACTGCTGGGCATTTGGGTTGGTTCCAAGACTTTGCTATTGTGAACAGTGTGGCAGTAAACATATGTGTGCCTGTGTCTTTATAATAGAATTACTTATAATCCTTTGGGTATATACCCAGTAATGGAATTGCTGGGTCAAATGGCATTTCTAGTTCTAGATCCTTGAGGAATCACCACCCTGTCTTCCACAATGGTTGAACTAATTTACACTCCCACCAACAGTGTAAAAGTGTTCCTATTTCTCTACATCCTCTCCAGTATCTGTTGTTTCCTGACTTTTTAATGATCACCATTCTAACTGGCATGAGATGGTATCTCATTGTGGTTTTGACTTGCACTTCTCTAATGACCGGTGATGATGAGCTTTTTTTCATATCTTTCTTGGCTGCATAAATGTCTTCTTTTGAGAAGTGTCTGTTCATATCCTTTGCCCATTTTTTGATGGGGTTGTTTTTTTCTTGTAAATTTGTTTAAGTTCTTTGTAGATTCTGGATATTAGCCCTTTGTCAGATGGATAGATTGCAAACATTTTCTCCCAATCCGTAGGTTGCCTGTTCACGCCTCTGATAGTTTCTTTTGCTGTGCAGAAGCTCTTTAGTTTAATGAGATCCCATTTGTCTATTTTGGCTTTAGTTGCCATTGCTATTGGTGTTTTAGTCATGAAGTCTTTGCCCGTGCCTATGTCCTGAACGGTATTGCCTAGGTTTTCTTCTAGGGTTTATATGGTTTTAGGTCTTACATTTAAGTCTTTAATCCATCTTGAGTTAATTTTTGTATAAGGTGTAAGGAAGGGATCCAGTTTCAGCTTTCTGCATATGGCTAGCCAGTTTTCCCAGCACCATTTATTAAATAGGGAATCCTTTCCCCATTGGTTGTTTTTGTCAGGTTTGTCAAAGATTAGAGGGTTGTAGATGTGTGGTGTTATTTCTGAGGCCTCTGTTCTGTTCCATTGGTCTATATATCTGTTTTGGTACCAGTACCATGCTGTTTTGGTTACTGTAGCCTTGTAATATAGTTTGAAGTCAGGCAGCATGATGCCTCCAGCTTTGTTCTTTTTGCTTAGGATTGTCTTGGCTATGCGGGCTCTTTTTTGGTTCCATATAAAATTTAAAATAGTTTTTTCCAATTCTGTGAAGAAACTCAGTGGTAGCTTTATGGGGATAGCATTGAATCTATAAAGTACTTTGGGCAGTATGGCCATTTTCATGATATTGATTCTTCCTATCCATGAGCATGGAATGTTCTTCCATTTGTTTGTGTCCTCTTTTATTTCCTTAACAGTGGTTTGTATTTCTCCTTGAAGAGGTCCTTCACATCCCTTGTAAGTTGGATTCCTAGGTATTTTATTCTCTTTATAGCAATTGTGAATGGGAGTTCACTCATGATTTGGCTCTCTGTTTGTCTGTTAATGATGTATAGGAATGCTTGTGATTTTTGCACATTGATTTTGTATCCTGAGACTTTGCTGAAGTTGTTTATCAGCTTAAAGAGATTTGGGGCTGAGACGATGGGGTTTTCTAAATATACCATCATGTCATCTGCAAACAGAGACAATTTGACTTCCTCTTTTCCTAATTGTATACCCTTTATTTCTTTCTCTTGCGTGATTGCCCTGGCCAGAACTTCCAATACTACACGAATAGGAGTGGTGAGAGAGGGCATCCTTGTCTTGTGCTGGGTTTCAAAGGGAATGCTTCCGGTTTTTGCCCTTTCAGTATGATATTGGCTATGGGTTTGTCATAAATAGCTCTTATTATTTTGAGATACATCCCATCAATACCTAGTTTATTGAGAGATTTTAGCATGAAGCGCTGTTGAATTTTGTCAAAGGCCTTTTCTGCATCTATTGAGGTAATCATGTGGTTTTTGTCATTGCTTCTGTTTATGTGATGGATTACGTTTATTGATTTGCGTGTGTTGAACCACCCTTGCATCCCAAAGATGAAGCCGACTTGATCATGGTAGATAAGCTTTTTGATGTGCTGCTGGATTCGGTTTGCCAGTATTTTATTGAGGATTTTCGCATCAATGTTCATCAGGGATATTGGTCTAAAATTCTCTTTTTTTGTTGTGTCTCTGTTTTGGTATCAGGATGATGCTGGCCTTTTAAAATGAGTTAGGGAGGATTCCCTCTTTTTCTATTGATTGGAATAGTTTCAGAAGGAATGGTACTAACTCCTCTTTGTACCTCTTGTAGAATTCAGTTGTGAATTCGTCTGGTCCTGAACTTTTTTGGTTGACAGGCTATTAATTATTGCCTCAATTTCATAACCTGTTATTGGTCTATTCAGAGATTCAACTTCTTCCTGGTTTAGTTTTGGGAGGGTGTATGTGTCGAGGAATTTATCCATTTCTTCTAGATTTTCTAGTTTATTTGCATAGAGATGTTTATAGTATTCTCTGATGGTAGTTTGTATTTCTGTGGAATCAGTGGTGATGTCCCCCTTATCATTTTTTATTGCATCTATTTGATTCTTCTCTCTTTTCTTCTTTATTAGTCTGGCTAGCAGTCTATCTATTTTGTTGATCTTTTCAAAAATCCAGCTCCTGGATTCATTGATTTTTTGAAGGTTTTTTTGTGTCTCTATCTCCTTCAGTTCACTCTGATCTTAGTTATTTCTTGTCTTCTGCTAGCTTTTGAATTTGTTTGCTCTTACTTCTCTAGTTCTTTTAATTGTGATGTTAGGGTGTCAACTTCAGATCTTTCTTGCTTTCTCTTGTGGGATTTAGTGCTATAAATTTCCCTCTACACACTGCTTTAAATGTGTCCCAGAGATTCCAGTATGCTGTGTCTTTGTTCTCCTTGGTTTCAAAGAACATCTTTATTTCTGCCTTCATTTCGTTACTTACCCAGTAGTCATTCAGGAGCAGGTTGTTCAGTTTCCATGCAGTTGTGCGGTTTTGAGTGAGTTTCTTAATCCTGAGTTCTAATTTGATTTCACTGTGGTCTGAGAGACAGTTTGTTGTGATTTCTATTCTTCTACATTTGCTGAGGAGTGTTTTACTTCCAATTATGTGATCAATTTTAGAATAAGTGTGATGTGGTGCTGAGAAGAATGTATATTCTGTTGATTTGGGGTGGAGAGTTCTGTAGATGTCTATTAGGTCCGCTTGGTGCAGAGCTGAGTTCAAGTCCTGGATGTCCTTGTTAATTTTCTGTCTCATTGGTCTGTCTAATATTGACAGTGGAGTGTTAAAGTCTCCCACTATTATTGTATGGGAGTCTAAGTCTCCTTGTAGGTCTCTAAGAACTTGCTTTATGAATCTGGGTGCTCCTCTATTGGGTGCATATATATTTAGGATAGTTAGCTCTTCTTGTTGCATTGATCCCTTTACCATTATGTAATGCCAGAAGATTTTAATTTTTATGGAGTTGAATCTGTCAGTCCTTTATAAATTCTAGGTTTTATGTCTTGCTTAGAAAGGCCTTCACTACCTTCAGGATTATAAAAGTTTATTGTATATTTTCTTTAGCACTTTTATAATTTTGCATTTTTATGTTTTTATCTTTAGTCCATCTGGAATATATATTTTATATGTATAATGACATAAGGCTCGAATTTTATTATTTAAATAAATATCCAGTGGCCTCAAAACCATTTATTGAACATCCCAAGCCTTCCACACTGGTTCAGGTACCAGCTCACAGACCGATTCTTCTGTACACGGGACCTTCTCTGGACTCGGTATTTTTTTTATCTTTCTGCCAGTTCGTGTGCCAGTGTCAGAGTTTTTTAGTGACTTTAACTGGTAGCTTGTTTTAATAGATCCTGTTAGGACAGGTCCTCCTTCACTCTTCTACACTTTCTATTTTTTCTTGGCCATTTTTTTATTTCTTTTCTTAATGAAATTTAGATTTATGTTGACTGACTTTCAAATTATGTACTAATTTGGGGGAAATTAGCATGCCCTGTGGAATATGACATATTTTTACTTTTATGCAAGTTTTCTTGTGTGTCCTTCAGTAAGATTTTGTACTTTTCTCTGTAGATCTCACGTATTTCTTGCTATGTTTATTCCTGGACATATTTCAGTTGTTATTGGTTTTATAAATGGGATCTTTTATACATTTAATTTTATTAATTTTTTTTTTTGAGATGGAGTTTCGCTCTTGTTGCCCAGGCTGGAGTGCAATGGTGCAATCTCGGCTCACTGCAACATCCGCCTCCCAGGTTCAAGCGATTCTCCTGCCTCAGCCTCCCGAGTAGCTGGGATTACAGGCATGTGCCACCAGGCCTGGCTAATTTTGTACTTTTAGTAGAGAGGAGTGTTTCTCCATGTTGGTCAGGCTGGCCTCGAACTCCTGACCTCAGGTGATCTGCCTACCTTGGCCTCCCAAAGTGCTGGGATTACAGGCATGAGCCACCACACCCGGCCAATTTTTTTTGTCTCTGAGATGGAGTCTCACTCTGTCACCCAGTCTAGAGTGCAGTGAGGCAATCTCTGCTCACTGCAACCTCCGCCTCTTGGGTTCAAGCAATTCTTCTGCCTCAGCCTTCCAAGTAGCTGGGACTACAGGCACGTGCCACCACAGACAGCTAATTTTTGTTATTTTTGCAGAGACAGGGTTTCACCATGTTGGCCAGGCTGGTCTTGAACTCCTGACCTCAAGTGATCTTCCCACCTCAGCCTCCCAAAGTGCTGGGATTACAGGTGCAAGCCACCACGCCCGGCCTAATTGTATTATTACTGTTGTATAGGAAAACTTCTCTCTTATCCTGCCACCTTACTGAGCTCTCTTACCAGATTTTCACTTGACTGTCTTGGATTTTCCTAAATTGCTTTCCCTTTCAAAATTTACACAACTTATTTTCCATCTTATCGTATTGACCAGCATCTCTAGAGCAAAGTGGAATTGTAGCCTCTTTGCCTTGCTCCTCATTTTAAAGGAAGTAATTCTAGTATTTCACTATTAAGTATAATGCCTGTTCTTGGCTTATTTTCAATATCCTTTCTCAAATTGTAAGTATGACTGTCTATATTTAGCTTATCAAGAATTGTTATTAGGAATGAATGTTGAATTTTATCAGATGTTTTTATTAGCATCTATCCATCAATGAAGCAGATTACACGAATAGATTTTCATATATAGAACAATGTTTATGTTCCTGGAATAAACCCTATTTGATCATAATATATTATTAATAATTTTAATGAACTTTACTAAATTTGTTAAAAGTTAATTTTTTTTCATCTATTTTCAGAAATGAGATTAATTTGATGGCCTAAATTTTTGTGCTTTCCTTGCATATTGGTGTCTGGATTATGCCATCCTAATATAATGAGCTGGAAAGCTTTTCACCTTCTTTTAAATCTCTGCCACTGTGTATATATAGGAAGTATCTATTTCTTTAATATTACAAATAAACCCAGCTGTTTCTCATTACTATGCTCGGCAGTCCCTTCACCTCTTCTGCATTCTTGGAGTTTTCCTTTTGCTGTAAATAATTCCTTCTTAATTCTTTCAGAAACAATTGTGGGTGGCACAATTTCTCAATATTTCCATGTCTGAGCAAGGTTTATTTTGTCATCATCCTTGAATGCTAGTTTGGCTGGATATACAAACTTTCAAAAGCATCTTCCCTTAAGTCTTCAAAGATACTGCTGCATTTCTTTGTACCACCTTGTACCACAGTATTAGAGATGCATTGTTAGATGTCAGTGTGTTTCTCATTTTTCATAGTTTACCTATTTTATCTCTTTGAACACTGGAGGTTTTTAGGCTTGGGGTGTTAAGCCATTCAACACTTCACTAATCCTTTTAGTCTGAAGATCTACATTTTTCTTCACTTCAGAGAATATTTCTCCTATTCCTTCTAAATTAGTTTCCATTTTTCATCCCATAGTATTAAGAAGATATGTAGATATCTTCTTCCTTGTTAGCTTTTCTGTTTTGTTTTCTAGTCATTTGCCCCTGTAGACTCTGCATTATCTACATGAACATTATTTACAGTCAATTTTAGATTTCTGCCTGGCCTTCCTGCAGCTTGCTCACAGAAGGCTTTCATGCTCACTGAACATGAAGTATTCCTAACTTTGCCTGAAAAAGCCCAGTTAGAGAGACAAGTTTAATGGGGAAAGGATCTACCACCCAAACTAGAACGCTTTGCTTTTTTTTTTTTTTTTCACGATGTATATCAATTTACCCCCTTATGATTGTGAACCAATAAGAGGGCAGTAACCTTCGTGCATGATTTCAAACGATCTAGGGAAAGACATTTAAAACAAACATGGTTCAAGGAAAATAGCCATACTCATGTTGATGACAGTGTTAGGTGTTAATTTCTTTGAAGGACAATAGTACAATATCCAATTTTAAATATGATCTGGGAGTCCTACTTCTATGAATTTAATGTACACAATTACCAGAATAAATACTCAAAGATTTATGTACAAAAGTATTCATTTCAGCTTTGTTTCAGAAAAAAAAAAATATGGAAACAACCTATATTCTCATCAGTAGGAAACCAGATCAACACATTTAAAAGCAATTTAAAAGAACAAGATAGAAGCACATGTACTAGCATTGATAAATCTCTAACTCATCTTGCTGAGTAAAAAAACATTTTTTATGTTTTAAAAAGCCAACATAATTTATATTGTACAGATTCATTTATATTATGTAAATATAGTATAAAGTTCTAGAATATGCACAGACTGTCATCTCTGGAAAGTAGAGAGATAATGAAATTAGAAGTGACGGTCAAAGAAAAATTCAGATCTGCCTGTAGTGTTACAATGTTTTAGAGAGACAATATAAATATAATTACTTATGTAATTTGAAATTAATTTTAAAAGAGGAGTAAGATAGATCAACAAGTAACAATATGAAAACTATCTTAAATAAATTGTCAAGTGAAAACACAATGTTTAAATACTGTATAAGACACTCATTTGTCCACCGGATGTGGTAGCTCATGCCTGTAATCCCAGCACTTTGGGAGACTGAGGCGGGTGAATCACCTGAGGTTAGCAGTTTGAGACCTGCCTGGCCAATGTGGCGAAACCCTGTCTCTACTAAAAATACAAAAAAATTAGCCCGGCATGGTGGCACATGCCTGTAATTCTAGCTATTTGGGGGGCTGAGGCAGGAGAATCGCTTGAACCTGGAAGGCGGAGGTTGCAGTGAACCAGGATAGTGCCACTGCACTCCAGCCTGGGCGACAGAGTGAGACTCCATCTCAAAAAAAAAAAAAAAAAAAAAAAAGACTCATTTGTGTAAGAAAAAAAGTGATTTTTATGCAAATATGCATAAAATATTCCTGAATGATATCCAAAAAGCTGGTAACATGGATTGTCATCAAAAAGGACACCTGAGTCATAGTTAGGATGGAGGAAGACTTATCTTTCAGTGTCTTCTCTTGTGAACCATTTGGACTTTTTAACATGTATATGCACTAGTTAATATTTTTTGTTTTGTTAAGGAAACCATGATTTCCATATATGAACATATACCTTTAGAATATAGGTCTAGAGATTTTCCATGTTCATGGAATTCTGAAGTAACTCACAAACTATAAGCAAAATCAACCCATTATTTTTAAATCTCTCAGGAGCCTGAGAACAAGGGTGATCATTCAAAGGTACGGATATACACTTCTCCTTGCATGATTCAAGAGCATCAGGAGACTCAGAAACGACTGTCTGAAGTCTGGCAAAAGGTCTCTCAACAGGATGATCTCATTCAAGAACTTCGAAATAAGCTGGCCTGCAGTAACGCTTTGGTAAGTGCCTTCTTCTAGAACATGTCTCTGGGAGACCCTCAATCAAGACATGGGGAGAGAAAGGAGGGGAAAAGAGTCACCTAAATTAATCTTTTTCGCCGAGAATCCTCAAATGTCTGATATATACTTGCCCCCCAACTTTGTTCATATTCTCCATGGTAATGCTTCTTCCCACCCAAATAGTGTGAGATTCTAAAGAATCTTAAAATCTCTCACACAACAACCTAACTGCCCATCAGTGGGGAAATGGTTAAAGAGATTAAGAGAAATAATTGAAGAGATATCCCTACTGTGGAATAATATGCAGCCAGTAAAAAGGACTAAGCACATCTGTAAGAGCTGCATGGAAGGCGCTTTGTGACTTATCGTCAAGAATAAGTTGCAGAATTCCATGTATAGTTCAGTCCAACTTTTGTTTTATCTCTAATGATAATACTAATATATAAGTACAAACTGAATTTTCAATACTGTCCTCTCCCTTAGTGGAAGTGAGAGAAGGGAGAATAAGTGAAGAGGGGGTTTCACTTTTCCATGCTCAGGTCTTATTTGAATTATTTTCAACAAATTCAAAAAAGCATAAAATTAAAACCAAAATTTCATGTTTTTTATTTTTCAAAAAAAAATTACACACACAATTACACACTCCATAAGGAACTTCCTTCTTTAATTCTCAAACTTTGTATCCTGTCCTCTGATAGATTAGGTATATCTCTCCATCACAGCCCCTGAAGAACCTTCTTCTGCCTCATCAAATGGACCAAACGGAGGTTTAGGAGAGAGTGCAAGGGTGGGCATTGATGAACTTGAGACAGATCACATATGCCTTAGAGAATCTTGATGTAAGATGGGGAGCTTAATTCCTTCTCCCTACCTACCCCACAGGGAATGCCTGATGAATTGTATAATTCTGCAACAAACTTATGCTGCAGAAAGGAACACTCTGAAATAATAGTCATGGTAACAAGCACGTTCCATTGATCATCCAGCATAACTGATCTAAGCTTATTTGCAGGTTCTGGAGCGTGAAAAGGCTTTGATAAAACTACAAGCCGATTTTGCTTCCTGTACAGCCACCCACAGATACCCTCCTAGCTCCTCAGAAGAGTGTGAAGACATCAAAAAGGTGGGAGAAATTTGCTGATCTGTGCCTACTGGGATCGGGCTGAGCTGGGTTTGATTCTGGGCTTTCCTACTTATTTTTTATTTTTATATGACAATTTATATTTTATTTTATATCTGTGTGAGCTTGGTTGGCCCTGCCACAAGGATACTGTGTATAATGTATGCCAAACCCAAAAGACAGGCAGCATTCAATTTTGGAACTGCACCTGTCTCTTAACCCACTTCTAACAGTACACCTAAACAAGACAATATTTCTGTTGCCTTGCTACATTCAAAAGGACCATCTAGCCTCCTCGTGTCTGGCTGGAGTTGAAAAGTACTAATTTAGGAAAGATTATTAATCCAAATTTATTCCCCCTGCTTTTTTTTTTTTTTTTGAGAACTCTGTGTTTGCAAAATTCAAAGCAGTATCAAAAGTTGATTCTAATAATAAATGAGCAGTTAAACCATGTAAACAAATAGCAAGAATTGAGTGGCCAGGTGTGGTGGCTCATGCCAGTAACCCCAGAACTTTGGGAGGCCAAGGTGAGCAGATCACTTGAGGTCAGGAGTTAGAGACCCACCTGGCCAACTTGGTGAAACTCCATCTCTACTAAAAATACGAAAATTAGCCAGGTGTGGTGGTGGGTACCTGTAGTCCCAGCTACTAAGGAGGCTGAGGCAGGAGAATCACTTCAACCCAGGAGGTCGAGCTTGCAGTGATCTGAGATCACACCACTGCACTCCAGCCTGGGCCACAGAATGAGACTCCATCTCAAATAAAATAAATAAATAAATAAATAAAAGTTGATGAACCAGGAGTTAAAACATGGCCAGGTGTCCTCTTAGGTGAGGTCCTGTTAAGTCAGCCATGACTGAACTTGGTACCTGGCAAAGCCAGCCACAGGAGGCCATGCTGGGCAGGTGCTGGCATGCCTGCACGCCCCAAGACTGATGCTGAAATGGGGGCGAAGCGGGGTGGCAGAGGGAGTAAACAACACATGTCAGCTCCCCAAGGGGTTCTCTAGTCGGGGAGGAGGAGATGCTCCTCTT